>NC_000003.12:62434242-62737272 GCF_000001405.40 Homo sapiens | reverse complement strand
GGCACTATGTTACCCAGGCTGGTCTCGAACTCCTGGCCTCAAGTGATCTTCCCACCTTGGCTTCCTGTATGACTGATTTACTTAGATTGTGGGGGTTATTTTTGTGTGTGTGTTTGTTTGTTTTGTTTATTTTTTTAGATGGAGTCTCTCTCTGTTGCCCAGGCTGGAGTGCAGTGGCGTGATCTTGGCTCACTGCAACCTCTGCCTCCAGGGTTCAAGTGATTCTTTTGCCTCAGCCTCCCGAGTAGCTGGGACTACAGCACGTGCCACCATGCCCAGCTAATTTTTTTTGTATTTTAATAGAGATGGGGTTTCATCATGTTGGCCACGCTGCTCTTGATCTCCTAACCTCGCAATTAACCTGCCTCAGCCTCCCAAAGCACTGGGATTACAGGCGTGAGCCACTGTGCCCAGCTACTTAGATTTTTTAAGTTTAATAAATCTGTAGTTCGGAAATAGAATTGTTCGCCATGGTATCTGGATTTCTGCAAGTTGTACATGTATGCAGGATATAGTAAGAAATCCACTAGAAAGAAATAAGGACTTCTTTTCATATTCTAGCATTGTTTCCTCAGTCTTTCTATCTAATTCAGTCTAACTTCTTTTAAAGAAACAACCAACATAAAGGTGGAAATTTAATTTTTCCTATATAATGACTCAACACTTTCCTTAGGTTTATTCTAAGTATTTGTTTCTTTCTGGAGTAAGATAGAAAGTTGTAGAATTTATGGGTCAAGAATGTTTATGCAAGAAATTATAAAAAATGCTTATTTAAAAATTTGCCTACTAGGAGAATTGCATGCAAACTGCCCCAGATGATTGTTTAAGTGTCCAAGATTTGCTCTGTGGATGTCTCACCTATAAATCATATTTTAAATAATATGTTCATGTGGTTAATTCTTTATGAACCTACTGGAATTAACTGAGTTTTTAATTTGTTTAAAAAATAATGTTTTGGGGAAATGGTATCAGGTCGTGCAGTATCTTTCTCTTCATGCTAATTTAGATTTTATACCAAGTTAGGCAGTTGGCATTATTTTATTTGGTCTTCACAGCTCTACAACAAAGCAAGGAGAACATCTTCCTATTTCCCCTTAAAGATGAGGAAAATGATACCTGGACAGGTGAAGGACTGGCTCAAGGTAACACAGGTATCCTTGGAACTTGAACCCAACCTGTCAACCTCCACATGTGAATCTTTGCAGTCTTGTGGTACTTCTCATGCCTCATCTCTAAAACTGATTCCCCCTTATGGTAATCAGGGAGATCAGTTGTATCAGTTAGATCCCACTGGTCTAGCTGACTGTATTATAATAGCTGGATATAGTATAAACTGCTATAACCTAAGAGACCCGGAGAGCTTTATTCTTCTGTGATGTAAAAGCCTGAGCTAGTAGTTCTTCAATTTCATTACACTATCATCTCCTACAGTATCATCTGTGTGCATGCAACCAAAGCTGTCTCACCACCAACACATTCATATTCAGCCCAAAGAAAAGAAAAGGTGGTAGGGATAGGCAAGATGCTTCCTTTTAAGGATATAACCCAGAGGCTGCACTCACCTCTGCTCAGATCCCATTGGCAAGAGCTCAGTCACATGACCGCATTTCTTTACAACAAACCTGAGAAGTGTAGTTCTAGCTGGGCAGCTATGTACTGGGTTGAACTCTTGTAGGGGTTGAGGGATTCAAGCATTGAAAAGGGAGTTAAAATGGATACTAGCACAGGCTTAGCAGTCTCCACCACTTTCTGGATTCCTTATTATTATATAATATTTAAGACATGCAAAATGATACCTAATATAGTATCAATACCTGTGTACCTGTTACACAGGTTAATGAATAAATGTAGTGGTGCAGTTGAAGTCTCCTTCCCTCAATCTCCCCCAAGCGCAGAGTAACATTTATTGCTTTGCTGTTAATCCCTTTCTTACATTTCTTAATACTTTCATTACTGAAATACATACACTTAACAGATCTATAGTAGTGTTTTGACTATTTTAAATCTTTATATACATCATATTGAACTGCAATTTTCTGCCACTGCTTTTTTGACTCATCATTAAAGTGGAGAGATTGATTTATATTTATGCATGTAGCTCTATTTTTCTGGGTGATATCTCAATATGAATATACCGTCATTTACTTAATGAAATAAGTATTTTTTTGCTATTACAAAAAAATGCGTTATAAATACTTCTTGTGCACATATATAAGAATTTCTCCAGGGAACATACCTAGAAGTATAATTACTGGGACATAAGGTAATTGCATCTTAGTTATTGGATATTATCCATAATGTTTCAATTAGTTGTACATTCCCTTGAATAGAATATAAGTAACTATTTTACTCTTTACAAATAGCCATGTTTCAAATGTAAAATTTTATTACAATGAAGCAACTGGATGTTTTCTACATTGCTATGGGGAGGATAAAGCTCAGTAGTTCCATCTCTTGGTAAATACCCAAGAGAAATGAGCGTATTTGACCACCAAAAGATATGCACAAGAATATTTGTAGCAGTTTTATTTCTAAAGTTAGAATAAAACTAAATATCTATCAGTAGTAGAATGGACAAACTATGGCATAGCCATACAATAGAATACAGTAACAATAAATTTTAAAAAGAAGGACAGCTGCTGCCACATTCAACAGAAAAGATAAATCTCATAGACATTGTATTGAGAGTAAATGTCCAAACCCAAGGAGTATGTATTCTATTATTTCATTTATATAAAACTCAAGATCAGGAAAAACTAATCTATGGCAATAGAAATCAGAATAGTGGCTACTTCAGAGGGAAAAGGAGGGGGCACTGGGTAAGTACTGATTTAAAAGTACACCAGGGAGCTTCTGAGATGATGGAAATGTTCTATGTCTGTAATGTCCAAAATGGTAGCGACTACCTCAGTAAATAAATTTCAAATTCAGTTTTTCAATCACACTAGCCACATATCTACTACTCAGGAGCCACATGTGACTTGCGGCTGCTAAAATGGACAGCACAGACATAGAACATTTCCACCATCACAGAAAGCTCTTTTGTGCAGCATTGGTCTATATCTGCAGTTGGGTGGTATTTATGAATGGGTACATAGGTAAAAATTCGTCAAACTGTGCCCATAAAGCTCGCCCTTTTAGGAGTCATTATATGAAAAAGACACATGCATATGCATATTTATAGCAGCAAAATTCACAACTGCAAAAATTATGGAACCAACCTAAATGTCCATCAACCAACAAGTAGATAAAGAAAATGTTGTACATATACACCATGGAATACTACTCACCGTAAAACGGAATGAAAGAAGTAACTCAGGAATGGAAAACTATTACATGTTTTCACTTTTACGTGGGAGTTAAGCTGTGAGGATGCAAAGGCATAAAAATGATATAATGAGCTTTGGGGACTCTGGAGGAAGGGTAGGAGTTGGGGTAAGGGACCAAAGACTACATATTGGGTATCGCGTATACTGCTCGGGTGACAGGAGCACCAGCATCTCAGAAATCACCACTAAAGGACTTATCCACGTAACCAAAAACCACCTTTTCCTCAAAAACTACCCAAATTAAAATGTAAAAATTAAAAAAATTTTGCCTCATATGTATGCCTCATAAACAAAATATGCTTCACAATAAATATGCCTCATAAAATGGGAAGGAAACTAAGACAAGAAAGATAAAAAAGGAAAGGAATAAAACAAAATATTTCAGTGCCTTTTAAATTTGAAGTTTGAATGTAATATATTTCATGACCTCAGGAGAAAAATGTACAAGAGCTCTGTACAAAAGTATCAATTATTAAGACTTTTAAAATGGAGATTATTTCTCATTAACTTTAATTAGACTCCTTCTAGGTTTGCAGATTTGGCAAATTATTAAAACAAAATGAAAACATTAGGCTCATCTCTCAGGCAAGTTTCTTCAAATTCTGAAGCATCCATAGACGCTCTTCTGGCATCTTTGCCTTCATTACATTTCTATGTAACTAATTTCTGTTGCTAATTTGATTCCATCATGAGGTATCATTTCAATCATTTTCTCTCCGACACCAGCATATTTGCCTGTGTAGAGATGGGTGACCCCAACTGTGATCAAACGCATACAGAGTAATGAGTTAGGTTAGAGTGGCCTGATTTCTGGTTTATGAAAGTTAATTGGAAGTATGCTTAATCTTTGTCACAGAACTCTGATTAACCCATTGCCTAGTTTACATTTGCAAGAAATAATGCATTTCAGCATATAGTCTCTAGATTATCAGGGAGCATAAGAGAAAAGCCATCGACTATTGTAGGTCAAAATAGTCTTGCACTGGAAATAGACACACACCCTCCATCACAACTGAACAGAGCAGAATGTGTCGGAGGAGCTCGGTGACCCTTGGCAACTTCTTACCCTCTCTGAACCTCAGTCTCCTCACTTCCTGCCTTCTCTGACTGCCTGACAGAGTATTATCTCCCTTATATTTGTTTCCACCATAAGACATTACAACCACAGGAAAAGTACAGAGTACACATGTCCTGTCATTTAGTACCAGGTGCAGCATTCCCTCTATGAGTTTATGAGAGTGCAAGGTGCATGTTTATTTCCTTAGGCCATTGCCTGGCCTGCAGGAAATTGCAAAAGAGGTTTGTTGAATAAGTGAATCAGTGAATAAGTGCATGAATGCTATATTGTCTCTTGTCGTGTAACTTTCCCTTGAAACATAGTGGTTTGAAACAACACATGTTTCTTATCTTACAATTTTTGAGGGTCAGGAATCTGGGCGCAGCTTAGCTGAGTCCACTTCTTCAGGGTCTCTCACAGGCTGCAACGAAGGTGTTGGCTGGAGTCACTGTCCTCCCAACTAGGGCTGGATCTATAGCCAAGCTCTCTCAGTGGTTGTTGGAAGGATTCAGTTCCTTGTGGGCTGTTGGACTGAGGTCTTCACTTCCTTGCCATGTGACACTTTCCAGCTTGACAGCTTGTACCAGCAAGAGAGAGTCTGTTTGCAGTACAGCAGTCACAGGCTTTTCTAACCTAATCACTGAAGTGACATTCCACGGCTTTTGCTGTATCTGATTTGTTAGGAGCAAGTCACTAGGTCCAGACCTCATGCAAGAAGAAGAGGTTACACAAGGGCATGAATACCAAGGCAGAGAAAATTAGGAGCCTGTTAGAAGCTACCTACCACAAATGCCTACTTCACAAGACTATGAGGAAGTTCAAAATGAGACAATGTTTGTGAAAGTTCTGATAGGTCTGCCGTTTGCTCTTTCTAGATTGTTCTTTCCCCCTTGAATGCACTGCCCCTACATCCTTCTCATCTGTTATGTTTCAGCTTACATGGCTCCACCTCTAAGGGGCCTTCATGATCCCGGAGCCATGCTTTTAGCCCAGCGCCCTTTTGTTTTCAGCACGAATTACCCTTTCTTTCCTTTCTTTCCTTTCTTCCTTCTTTACTTTTTTTTTTTTTTTTTTTTTTTTTGCATATGATCAGTTTCTTTCACCAGGAAGTCAGCTCCATGAGGGCAGGAGCTAGCCTGTCTGATTCACTCCTCATTCACCAGTGCCTTACATATAATACACCTCAAGAAATATGTGTTGGCAAATTGTATTCCTACCTCACATTGCAATTTATTTGCTTTGTAAAATTATTGCCAGTTGGAGAGCTAGTACTTGTGATGGCTTTTCAGAAGTTTAGAACCAGAGCTGCACCAGTATAGGGGACTCTTTCTTGTTCTGGGATTAGAGAGTATACATGCCAACAAAGCAAACTAATTTGGGGTACAAGTTATTAACCACAATGACAAATGTGGACTACCTCAGTTTGGAAGGTGAGACACCATTCACACACATGATACTGAATTTGAGATTTTTGCCATCTCCTTACCTTGCCTTCTCCAGACTTCTTTATACCTCCAAAGTAGGCAGCAGCCTTACACCTCTATGCCATCCCTCTCAGCTCCACCCTCCACTGCAGAAGTAAGGACTAAATTTCACAATGCTGTAATAGCCACCATTTAGTGAGTGACAGCTACATGCCAGGCATTGACTAAAGATTTTATACATGTCCTTCACAATTCTCATCACAACTTTTATACAGGAGACTGAAATACAGATAAAGTAAAATCAAAACTTCAGGGCCATCAGAATTGGAAGGCCAAACTAATTCCTCTATGCACTGTATTTAACACCCACTCACCAAGACCTCTCTCCTCTCCAACATAGATTTACAAAGACTAAAGATGAGGGAATGAGCATGTCTTGTTTCTGGTCATAGTTATATCTCTAATCATGTCACCTTGGACATGTCATTTTTAAACCTGTGCTAATCAATGTCTTTGAAAGAGGTCTATTAGAATTTCAACTCAAACTGCTAACAGTTATTGGACTGTCAGAAGCCTGGGCCCAAATGGCCATCTCATACATATGCCAAATTCCTCTTCCATTCCAAGCCTTCACACTAAAATGTTTCATGATCTAGAATATGGTCTTTGTGCAATTTTGCCAGAAGACGTCAGGAAAGTATGCAACTCATTGGCAAAAGTAACAGCTTTGCAATGGAAGAACAGAAAGAGACTTCTGCAGGAGAAAGCAGTTTTATTTCTCCTGCAGTGTCTGGTCTCCCAGTCTGGTGCAACCCTGAAGGTACCCTTTGAAGGAGTGGCCTGCAGAATATTCATGGCAGAATGTTTATTGGCCCCATCTTAGCTCACAGTGACCCAAGTCACCAAGCTTAGAAGCTTAGTAAGAAATGAGCATGTCCCTGCAGTGTACCTGCCACTCCAGCTATATTATCCAAACATAGGAAGTGAGATAGGGTGAGGAGTATGAGGGGCTGAGAGGAGCTCAGTATTTGACTAGAATACTACCCAAATCTTTCAGCTGGATAATTCGATGTTTTAGGGGCTGTGCTGTGCATTGTAGGATGTTTGGCAGCATCCCTAACTTCTACTCACTAGATACCAGTAGCATAACCTTCTATTGGTGACAACCAAAATGTCCCCAGGCATTGTCACACATCCCCAGGAGATGTGGGAGGGGCTAAATCACCACCAGTTGGGAAGCACTGGACCGGGGTAGGAATGTGACGTCAGTCAGGATAGGCCAGATATGCCATAGCAACAACCCCATCATCTCAATGGCTACAAAGAAGACCGTCATGAAGTGACAGAAGGACTCTACTTCACGGATACTTCACAGATTCACAGTCTACTTCAGAGACTCTGGCTGATAGAGCAGCCAATGTATCCAATATCATGAATTGCCATGCCAGAGGGAATAGAGTGCTCTGAAAGGTCTCAAACCAGAAATTAAATGCTTTATGCCAAAAGTTTGGTATCACTTGCTCTCACAACCCACTGGCCAGAACTAGACTCACTCAATACAAGGAGAGCTGAGAGTATAGCCTTACCACATGCCCAGCAGAGACGAGAACCAGAAATACTTGGCAGGCAGCACTAATGGCCACCACAGATGCAAAGAAGGTCTCCCTTCCTTGTTGATGTAGAATGAGAAAGTGTTAAAGGCAGGATATACAAGGTTACCCAGCACTTGGCAGAAAACAACAACAATAATAACATTGAGGTGATAGTGACTACAATTTGGATTATGCTTATTATGTATCAGACAACTTAATTCTCACTCAACAACCCAATAAGGTAAATACTTTTATTCTTTTCATTTTAAAGATTGTGAAATTGAGATGCAAAATGCTTAAGTAACTTGCCTAAAACCACTCTAGTGAGTAGCAGACCTGAGATTTCATCCAAGGTCTCTCTGATATTAAAGACTGAGCTCTTAGACCCCACTTTATAAATCAGTTTGGCTGGTGTGCAAACCACCTTCTCTCATTATGGGGCTGAATTAGCAAGTCATCTCCCCTCTAACCTGCTCTGCACCTTTGTGGTTTCAGTTAAGGGCATTTGCAAATGCCTTCTATCCTTCCACTCCCTGACAATTTTTCTTAATGGATTCCACCATTCCTGGAGCATTTGGAAGAAGCCCTTAGTCATTCCATTATGAGGGTGATCATGCTCAGAGAAACAAGTAAAATCTGTCTGCAAACATTGAGAGAGAGCAATGGCTCCGCATCAATTTGGGTCCTAAGAAAACTGACACACTAAATCAGGTAGTGGAGTCAGCAATGTGAACCTTTTGGATGCTGTCACCACCCCACTTGAAGTAGATCCAGATGCTAAGGCCAAGGGGTTAAATACAAAAGCATGTAATGATAGAAAGGATTAGCATTTATGCCAGGTATTAGTATAAGTGTGCATAATCTTAAGTAGATAGTGTTAATACCACCATTTTATAGATGAGAAAAGTTGTGAAAAGTGAACTAATGAAGGTCACCCAGCAGGTTTTTTGAGGGATTCCGGATTTCATTCCAAATTGCAAGCAGTTATCCACCCTAGTGGACACAAGAAGCTGCTTAAGGTTTTAAACACACTTGCTCATCTCTTTCTAGTTTTCCGCCGCCCCCAAGTCAAGCTTACAATATTTATTTTAAAGATAATAGAGAATAAAACACAGATATGTTTCACTTTCTTCTTCCTTTGGTTGAAGGGGTTATCTGAGAATATTAAACACAAGCAGTCAGGCTTTGCCAAGAAGCCTCCAGAATGAGATAACTCAGTCACTTATGTTATTATCATTAAGAGAACATTTACATTTGGAAATGAAACAACAATGAATCCAAAATCTCCCTCAAGCTCCAGCTCTAGTTTTCAATGCCATATTTGAGGTGGGTGCTGAAGACCTTTGGTAACAATTATTTGTGAAGGGGAAAGTTAAGGAAATGAAGATATAGTCAGAAAAAGGAAAACTGAGATTTGGCTCAGTATCTTCCAGAAAAATTAAATGAATTTATTTTAGGAAAAAGTGAGGTGAGTGTTAGATATAGAAAAAATTTTCCTAATTAGGTTGTAAACAGATTGTTAAAGGTAGTAAGGAACATATAACATCCACCTCCCTGCAGATGTTCGAGAGGAGGACAATCTTTGCTGGGAGAAACAGCCCAGATGGTAGAAAGAACATGGACTTTGCAAACAGACCCTTTTGGATTTGAGTTTCAGCTCTGTCATTTATTAGATTGGTGCAAAAGTAATTGCGGTTTTGCCCTTATAATTGCAAAAACCGCAATTACTTTTGCAGCAGCCTAAATATTAGCTGTTTGACCTGGGACAGCGACTTCGTGTTGATAAGCCTCAATTTCCCCACTTGAAAAATAACAGTACCATATGCTCTATTGGCCTTGTAGAGTTATAAACATAATCAAAGGGTGCAATGTATATATGGCCATTTCTAATCTGATAAGAGCTAAGCAAACACAAGTAGAACCAAAATTGAGTTTGTGTCATTTCTTAAAACCTACTCTTGCTCCTGAACTTACAGAAAAAGAACAAGACTATCAGCCAGAACATTTTCATTTTAGTGTCACTCTGGGTATAAGTGAGCTAAGTATTTGAGGGGAAGCTTCATCAGAATTTCCATTTCCTTTATCCAATTCCCATCAGATGAATCACAAACTCTCAGAATGGAAATGTTAGCTTCTAAGTGAATGGTAGTTCTGTCCCTCAAGACAATGGTTATAAGAGGCCTCCCATGGTTTTCTCATCTAGTGTTGTATTAGTATTATTGTTTGCAAAATAATTCCTCTAAATGAGGAAAAGCCCTACATCTCCGCAGGTGCCTCCTTAAAAGGGCATTGCACACTTTCACAGACAGCTGTTGAGAATGACAGTTTTTTTTGTTGAAGAGGCTACCCATTTTAGAGTCTGTGACTATTGCTATGGAGACAACTGCAAAATCAGAGAAAAGGTGGGTATTGGGCCTGTAAAATCAACAATGCTCCACAGATTTCTCACCAACTAAACCTGTTCTTACAAATTAGTTTTGCCTATTTTGAACTTCATATAAATGAAATTGTAAAATATCTACCCTCTTGTGTCTGCCTTCTCTTGATTGACTTCACATCTATGAGCTTTATTTATATTGTTGCAGGTAACAGTAGTTTGTTCTCCTTCACTGCTGTGCAGTATTCTGGTTTGTAGTTTGAAGCTTCTAGTTTGAAGCTACTATGAATAAAGTTGTTCTGAAATACTCCTATACATGCTCTTCGGTGTATGCTAGCACTCAATTCTCTTTCTTTTGGGTAGAAGCACAGGAATGGAATTCTGGAGATAGATATCTAGATATCTATAAATAGATACTCAGCTTTAGTAAATAGTGCCAAGAAGTTTTCCAAGGTGTTTTTACTAATAAGCACAGCTACCAGCAATCTAAGACAGTCTAGGTGCTTCCTGTTTTCACTTCCAAAATACACCTTACCCGTGTGATCTTAAAGCAATGACTTCTTTTTAAAGAGATGCGTGCAAAAACCTGTACAAGTCCATGTAACTCCCAAATGCCTACCAATACCAGATGGAAACTTGAATAGAGCAAGAACTTGACTCTGTTGTGGAAAGTTTTACTAGTCTTACTGTGCCATTAAGAAAGAAGAATTTTTGTCTGAGGGTTTATTGGTTGGTAGGAAGCAGAAGGGTTAATTACTTTTGGTAAATAGTGTTTTTGCTTCCTTTGGCTGGAATCCTTTATTATTATTAGCAATTGATCAATACACTTAATGGGTCACTCAAAGCTATCGCATATCCCCTGCATAACCAGACACTGAGCAATCTTGGATTCCTGTAATTAAAGATAAAGCAAATTAGGTTTCCTAGTAGAGATAATTCCATGTCTCCTCTAGTGAGGACTGAGTCCATGGCCCCTGACAGAAGGAGGTAGATACTCAATCCACCTGATATTTGTGGCTAAGGCCTGATCTACTGAGGAACTCAGGGTTGTTTTCATTCAGTCCAAGGGGTATGACTCTTTAGTCTGGAACCAAAGTTTTATTACAAATTTGAATATAGGAAAGTCAAGGAGGTACAAATCCATTACTTATGCTATGAGGAGAAATGAAGGAAATTCTTCCAACCAGATGAATTCAAAAGCTCTTCCATGGACCTAAAGTGGACATCTTTGTGCCTGTCATCCTTCCCAAGGTGGATTTATGCCAGGCCAGAGTTACCAACAATAGCTGCAGACAGTGACTGCCCAGAGGCTACTCATCCCTCCATCCTTCAATTACCCAAGGATGGAGCTTCAAAAATATCTACTGTGTTCCTCCTTCACCCTGTTGATCCCCTCATCTTTTCCTTCTATGCTCTGCCTTTGGTCAGAGTAGCATTCTTAACCATAGGCCGTCAGCCTCCTCCCTTCTCAGTGGTCAGGGAGCAGGCGGTTTGCCACCATGTGATGAGCCTAGTGTCCAAAGCCAGACTCTGGCAGGTTCTAGCAATGTGACCTTGGGCAAACTGCTTATGACTCAATGCCTCAGTTACCCTGTGTTTGAAATGGAGAGTGGTGATAATGCCTGCTAGTAAGGCACTGAGTGTCAACTGTGATCCTGTAGAATGCCATGATAAATGTTTCCCTTGGCCACTGCTGCCATGAGTTAGGGTGACTCCTCTAAAACATTGATTTAGGAGCAAGACCTAACATATTTTTCTTCAGCGGTTAGTACAGACTTGCTTGTGAGCTTCCCATATAGTATGAACTAAGTAAATAATAATAATAGCAAATGTACCGGTGTTTCCTGTATACCAGCAATGTCTAAATATTTTGCACATAATAATTCATTTTATCATCATACGACCCCATGAGGTGGGTGCTATTATCATTCTTGCTTCAATGGTTGAGGAAACTGAGTTGTTAAATAAACTGTTCACAATCACAGAGCTAATTCGTGCAAGAGCCAGGGTTCAAACCCAGAGGGTCTAGCCCTGCTATACTAACTTTTCCTTTGAACATTTATGGGATAATTGATCCGGGCTGAAGACTATTGTTAGGATTTAAATGTACAGAGAAATGTCTAAACCTGCACTGTCCAGTACCATAATCATTAGTCATGTGTCACTAATCCAACTTTAATTAAAATTTACTCAAAATAGAAAGTAATTCCTCTATCACACTGGCCACATTTCAGATGCTCACTAGCTGCTTAGGGCTGTTAACTACCATCTTGGACAGTGCAGGTGTGGACTATTCCCATCATTCGAGACAGTTCTACTAGATTTTAGATTTTTGATAAAGGAAGCAAGAGAGAGAAGTTGAGGTTGGGTTTTGAGGAGAAGATTGGGAATTCCGAGGCTGGTAGTCCAGAAGTATGGGAAAGAAGCAAAGGCAGAAAACTGGAAGTCTTCCAACAGGCAGACAGGCTGGCCAGGCCACCTGGGGAGCCTGGGGCTCACTGGCACAGAGCACTCTCACTACAGTCAGACATGCCTGGGGTTCAAACCCAGGCTCTGTCAAGAATTAGCCGTGAAATTCAAGCAGATCATTTTGCATCTATTTCCCCAAGTGTGTTTAAGCTTATCCTGAGAATAGCTGAGGGGCCATTGGAGGGTTTTCAGCAGTGGAGAGGTATGATCAGATTTGTCTTTTTCGGAAGCTATCTTTTGAAGGTTTCGTGGAGAGCAACAGAGAAATATGAGTTGGGGAAATGAGGATGCTGGTTCTCATGTGTGGGCCCTTGGGCTGGTGACAGTTCTTGGCAGAGTTTTCACTGATGCATTGCTAAATGAGGAAGGTAAAGACTGTGTGTGTGTGACGCATAACACCACATATATGAGAATACCAACAGTCCCAGTTGTACTTTCTTGAGAATGCTTTATTATTTGGAAACTACCGCTTTTCTACTTTTTTTTGGCACTAAAATTCCTTTTGTTTATGAAATAATGTTCACAGTAGGATAGTAAATAGTAGGAATTTTTTTATGTCATTACCAGACAAAATTAAATGTATGTCTGTGCCTTGATTCATTTGTTTTTAAACTGTTATTGTTTCTTAGTCCATGAAATCCCCAAACCTGGGAACTTCTGAGCTGCATGCCATTGCAATTGTGCTCAGGTGAGAGCTGATGAGTTCATCAGTAAAAGGGAGGCAGGTTTGAGAGTGACTGAGATAAAAGCTCGTAGACATGTGGATGAGGAAAAAATCAGGGAGGAGGGAATACAGGAAAGGTGGTGGTCTCCAAAGAGCCCATGGTGAATGAAAGTGCAGCAGAGGCAGTCAGTGAGGACCTTGAGCCCTGCTGCAGCATCATCCCTGTTTCTATTTTGCACCTGTTTTGGAGGAGCTCCTGAGCATTCTTCCTGAGTGCAGATACATCAAGGTTAAGTGCTTGCAGGGAAACAGCTGGCGCCCATCTCACTGCACCAGCAAGCCACAAGTGCAGCTCCCTTGGACACAGAAGTGCCCACATAAGGCCACCTGAACTGTGACACCCTCCACCCAGTGCTCTTCCTCCACCCTGCCTTGGGCATGTGGCCCTGAGACAAAGCCTCTCCAAGGCCTCCCACTGAATTCTGACCTCTCTGAGAACGTGGCTACCTCAGTGCCTCTCCAGACAGAGCCCGCAGAGGCAGGAGAGGAAGCCAGCAAAGTGTCAGCGTGCAGGGAGCTGCCAGGCTCAGAGCAGCAGGCTTCTCGCATTTTAAGCAGCATATGCAAATTAAATTAGCAAGGGTTCCACTTCATCTCCTGAGCGGCTCAGACACACTCCCCAATAATTCCCAAGCCAAACTGACCCAGTTTGAAATTAAAATCAGGTTTATTTTTAGAGGGATATATTTCCCCTTGCCTCAGTCTCAGTGGATTTTTTTTTCCTATTTAGCCTGATAAACATCTGAGTACATTATTCCCAGACCTGTGTAGTCCTCTGACAGCTACTTGATAGATCAAATGCATAGTAGAGTCTAGCTCATGTATATTCAGACAGCAGAGGTGAGCCCCACATGCCCTCTTACGTGAAAGGAAGGCTGTCTACACTGTGTCCATTTTCCTCTACCCGTCTGCAACCTTAAGGCTGGCATCAGGGTCCGCTGAACTGGAAAAGCTTTAGAGTTTAAGATGATTTAGAGCCTGGTCACACTCGGGTTCAGCAGTATCTACTGGCGTTCATCGGAGACCTACAACATCTTCTCTTGACAAAAATCTAGTCGATTTGAATTACCTCCTCGCAGCTGGGTTTAAGAATGTTTTTCATCTTAGCTAAAGGCACTGTACTTTTCCCTTGTAGCACTTTCTACAAGAAGTTATTCCCATAATTGTGTGGTTAACATCTGCTCCTTTTTCTTAAAACTGGGAGCTTTCTGATGGCCCCAGCTTGCACCCTTTACCATCCTCAAAGCCTAGTACTATATTAAGTCCTCAACTAATGAATAAAATTAGCTGCTAGATCAGTGGTTCTCAACTGGGGGCAATTTTGACACCACCACCTTCCTCTCCCAGACATGTGTGAGTTTTTTATTCAGCTGGGGGTAAGGGGGTTTTTCTACTGGCATCTAGTAGAGGCCAAAGGCCAGCATGCTGCAAAATGTCTCACAGAGCACAGGACCCTCACGGCCCCCACCACGCACACAGACACACCCCCACAAAAAACAATTACCCAACCTCAAATGTCAGTAGTGATGAGGTCGAGAAACTATACGCTGGATCAATCTGTTCATGTGTGGTTATGCCTAAGCAGGGCAGGTTTGCTCTTTCAATTATGGAAACTATTGGGTCATACTTTTTTGGTCATGGTTGGAGAGACAATTGCCAGAAAAGAAGCTGTTTATCTTAGATTTTCCTCAGTGGAGCAAAGATAGAAGTTGATTTACTCAAAGGCAAATGAGCCTGTGAAAGCATTGCAGCAACTCACTTTCTGGCTCCAGCCTCCACCTGTGTGACACAGGATCTCAGCCAGTCCCTGAGTCTCCCTTAGTTACTTCTGAGATGTTCATGAGATGTTCATGAGATGTTCACTTGGGCTTATATCCTTGTTTATGAAGCCACTTGAGGGTGGTCTTCACCACACCACTGTGGCCACTGTCCTCCATAAAGGTTCTGGCTCCCTTCCGGGATCCTGTCTGAAGGGACTTCCAAAGCTGCAAAGCCTTGAGGTGCCCTGCAGCCTTTGCCTCACCAAGTCGGCATGGCCGTCTTCCACAGAGAGGTAGGAAGAAGCCCCTCTCCCTAATTCTGTGTGAAATCTTTGCTCAACACAGGCCACAGTGAGCATTCTAGAGCCAGACAACCTAAGTGAAAATTCAGAGGCTGCCCCTTGCTGCTTCTGTGATTTTGCACAAGATACTTAACTCTTCCAAGCCTGCATTTCCTCAACTATAATGACAGTGCCAACCCCATCAGGTGGTTATGAGCACTGAATGAGGAGATGCATGCATCCTTAGTGGAGTTTCTAGCACCTGACAGCTAATATTTGTTGCGTGCTTTCTATTACTGTGGTGATGTTCTTATGTGGTTGTCATTAGCATCATGTTTTGAACCCAGACTGGGATTCACAACCAGGATCTGACACTAGTGGCTGCATGACTTGGGCGATTACTTAAACTTCCCCTACCTCTGTTTCCTCATTTGCAAAATGCGGATTTAAAATAGTACCTACTTCACAAGGTTGATGTGAACATTAAATAAATTAAATTAAATAATGTGCATAAAGCCTTTAGCATAGTGCCTGGCAATAGTAATAATAATTATTGTCATATAAATTATTTAAATGATTATTAACTGAAAATAGTTAATGTTTTGTTTGGCTTTTTTGTTGAATCTAAGTTGGAAAGATCTGTCAAACTAGATACTGACAATGTTGTAAAGCAGCAGAATAGTCTGGAAGTTGTCTGTTTCAGGAAGCGTCACAGCAGTCCAATTAAAGTGTTTTCTGAATCTCTTAGAAGGCGGTGATACGGTGGTCTCCAAATCTGTGTGCTTACCTACCCACAGCTTAGAGCACTGAACTTCAATTTTCCAACTTTCCTACTGTTGTCTGGGTTCAAGGACAAACTCTCCTCCACGGTAAAGTAATTTCCTCCATAAAATCTGCTCCTGAGTAAACCTGGCTAAAATGCCCCCCTGGTGAACAGTATTGTTAGGCACATGCAGTTAGGGGTCCTGGCGGTTTTCTCACCAACAAAAATCTCTTGTGGGAGAATGGTCCCACTATCCTGAGATCCCAGCCGCTCTGATGAGCAGAAGCACTTTATGCCTTCTTTCCTCACACAGAGACCTGAATGTCTATTTTTACTTTTTCTTTTTTCTTCTTTTTTTTTTTAAAAAAAAAAAAAAAACCTGCCGGGCACGGTGGCTCACACCTGTAATTTCAGCACTTTGGGAGGCCAAGGTAGGCAGATCACGAGGTCAGGAGATTGATACCATCCTGGCTAATGCAGTGAAACCCCGTCTCTACTAAAAATACAAAAAATTAGCCGGGCGTGGTGGTGGACACCTGTAGTCCCAGCTACTCAGGAGGCTGAGGCAGGAGAATGGGGTGAACCTGGGAGGCGGAGCTTGCAGTGAGCCAAGATCGCACCATGGCACTCCAGTCTGGGTGACAGAGCGAGACTCTGCCTCAAAAAGAAAAAAAAAAAAAAAAACTAACAATATAATGGACAATATGGAAAGAATGGTGATTAACAATATGTGGGCTTTGAAGTAAAGCAGAATCAGGCCCCATCTCTTACAAACAAGCTGATTTTGCATAATTTGCTTGGCTTCCTTGAGCCTAATTTCTCCATCTGTATACTGAAATTAAAAATGTTTTTCCCTAGGGCCAGGTGCAGTGGCTCATGCCTGTAATCCCAGCACTTTGGGAGGCTGAGGCAGGAGGGTCACTTGAGGCCAGGTGTTTGAGACCAGACTGGACAACATAACAAGACCCCATTTCTACAAAAAATAATTTTCTAAAAATTAGCTGAGTGTGGTACATGCATGTCTGTAGTCCTAGCTACTCAGGAGACTAAAGTGGGAGGATTGCTTGAGGCTAGAAGTCCCAGGAGTTCAATGTTATGATCTTACCACTGCACTGCAGTCTGAGTGACAGAGCGATACCGTGTTTCAAAAAAAAACAAACAAACAAACAAACAAAAGCAAAAATGCCCCCCTGATACCATTCCTGCATTCTTGTGAAGTTGAAATGAAATAGATAATTCCTATAAAGCCTATGTCTGACACATGTTAACTTTTCAACAAGTTTTTATGATTGTTATTATTGTTGTTGCTATCTATGGTTACTTTTTGATTAAGGAAGTTTGGATTCAGCTCTTCCATGAGTCAGGGTAAGCTACATTGTACTGTGGTTACAGTTCAAACTCTCAGTACCTTAAAAGAGAAGTGTTTATTTCTTTGTTGTGTTTTGTGTCCATCATCAGTTGACAGAGACTCTGTTATCCTATGTCCCAGGCTGATGGTGCAGCCCCGTTTTCAAATGATGCTCCCGCTGTGCCAGAGCAAAAGAAAGCTCTGGAGGGTCTTTCACCAGAAAATACAGCTTTCAGCCTAAAAGGGACACAGAGCACTTCTGTTCACAACTCATAGGCCAGAAGTAGTCGTGTAACCCCACCAAATCCCAAGGTTAAAAGTAGTCAAATCCTACCGTGCTCCCAGAAGGTGGAGAGCTGGAAATGTTTTCCTAACAACTGAATGATGAATGACCATCACGGCCATTTAGTTGGTGTAATGGTAGGATGAGCCTTTCCTTAGGCAATGGCTACATTTTTCAGGATGTATATTTTCCAGGGATGCATTACCCTTATTTGCAGATTACCCAATTATTTATATGTAACAAATCCTTGCTAAAGGTGGGCACTGTGCTTGGCACTGAGAATCTAATGGTAAGCAAACACAGGTAAAGTCCTTGCACTGCATACCATACAGATCATTGAGGAAGACACAAGTTAATTTAAATATCACACCAGGGAGTTTATAGTTGTACACTGAGATTAAAACTCTGAAGGAAAGAAACAGAGCTCTGTGACGGAATCTGATATAGTCTGTGGGGTCAGGGGTACTTTCTCCTAATTGGTGCTTGAGTATGGTATGTAAAGGATGAGTAGGTTTTCACTAAGTGAAGTAGGGAGGGCAGGAGAAACATTTAGGACAGAAGGAACAGCATGTGCCAAGGCCCTGGGCCAGGAGAGTGTCTAGATGTCACAGGGGTTGAAAGAAAGTCTGTATGGCTAGAACAGGGCCCAGGAGGGCTATGATAAAAGACAGTGCCAGAAAGGCAGGCAGGGGCTAGGCCATGCAGATCCCAGCTTAGGTCTCTTCAGGATCTGAGTCATTATCTCTACTGATCTGAAGCCTTTGAGGGACTCAGCTCATTTAAGGGATTGATATATAAACCCAGACGGCATCACCAGGACCTCTGAATGCACAAAGGAGTCCCTGTGTTTGGAAGGCCTTCTGATTCCTTCCCCTCACGAAAAATGTTCTATAGTCACAGGTCCATACTTTACCTGTGACATTTTAAAGCAAATATCTTCAGCCTGTCTCCAAACCCAAAGCCCGGAGCCAGCTTCTGTACAACAAATGTGTCCCTCTCTGTTTGCACTTCTCACATTCAAGGAGGCCTCCCACGGACTCTGGGAAGGAAATGTGATATCCACGCACAGCAGTGCCACTGCCTGCAGAGAGCAAAATGCTCCTGATGCGGCTGACAATATGTTCCCTCCTGGGAATGTGGGTTGCACTCTGTCTTTCAGAAATGTAGGATTAGAATGTGTCATCTCCTTAACCTTAGAGGACTGGAGTTTATAGATCTGCTGCCAAACTGACTCAACCTACTGAGCCCACCCCAGTCTCATGTCTACACATGAATGAGAATAACTGAGCAATAGTTACTCAACTAGGAAACATCTAGGATTCTCCAACTGGCATTCTAGGAATACCACCTGGCTATGCTACAGAAGACAAGAAGCTTAGATTTTGCCCTTTGGACCTGTACAGAAAAACAGCAAGTTCTCTGGTCATTTCTCTTTGAGTTCAAAGATAACAGTCTAGAAACTCTTTACAGGTAGAAATTGTTTGACCTACGTAGCTTCAGAAGAAAGTTCCTGGTTCATAGTGGTCTCTCAAACATTTACATGAGTAGATTTTTTTAAAAAAATGTATTCATTCATTCATTCATTCACCAAGACATCATGTACTGAGCACCTACAATGAGTCAGACATGGTGCTGGAAAGGTGATAAATGGGTTCTTGGCACTAGGGAGCTTTCATTCTGCTAAGAAAGCACAGATAATAAACATGTGACTAATGAAATAAGATTGCAGATGGTAGTAAGGGCTATGAAATAAGTAAAAGAAGACAATAGATAGAATGTCAAGAAAAGGGAGGAGTGATTTCTTTAGCTAGAGTGGTCAAGAGAAAAAAAAAATTACTCTAAGATGTGACTTATGGCCCAAGAAATAAACATTGAGAAGGAGGCAGCCGTGAGCTAGATGGGAAATAAGTTTCCAGGTAGAGGGAACAGCAAGAAGAAACTGAGTGTGATGTGTTGTGGGAACACATGCGACAGGGAGGATGGTGGTAAATGATGAAGTCAGAAAGGTGAGTAGGATCTAATGGGGTCAATCAGGTAGTTAATGATGGTGAGTTTGGATGCAACAGGACACCATTGGTGAATTTTAGGCAGAATGGTAATAGGATTTCATTTATGCCTTGAGAAGATCACCCTGGCTATTTTAAGGAAACTGGTCTGAAATGTGGATGTAGGGAGACCAGGTAGGAATCTGATGCAGTGAGAGATGATGGTGTCTTGTGATATTGAGAAGCTGTCAAATTCAGCAGAACAATATGGAAACAAGGCCAATAAGAATGCTCAACTAGATATGGAATGTGAGGGGAAAAAGGAAATAAGCATGATTCCCAGGTTTTTAAATATAAGCAATGGGTTGAATGTAGGTGTTATTTTCGAAGATGAGAAAGGAACCGGTTTGGAGGAGGGCGGAGTCAAAATTTCTCTTTTGTGCAAGTTATCTTTGATATTTTGATTAGATATCTAAGTGGACAATTAAATATACACGGAGCTCAGGACCAAAGATATGATTGGGTTATTGGGTTGTGTAATAAATGCTAAACACCACAGGACTCATTTGTGTTGTTACCAGACCATTTGGCATTTATCTTTCATTCAACAAAGATGTGTTTAATACAACAGCATGTGATTCTGTACTGAGCCCTAGCAGATGTGATTTCATCTTGGCTGGTGATGAGCTAGTAATCCAACTCTTTGTTGGTTGTTTTATCTGTCTAGTCTTCAATGTAGTGGGTGTAGTGAGTGAGAGGTGAATGATATGGAGATATTTGCATATAGAGGAAAATTACAAAATCAATCTATTCCAGTATGTAGATTTTCTGTGGCTGTTGCTGACAGAGAAAACTGCCCTGCCACCAAGAAGTTATGAAATAACCAAAAATTAAAAGGGTGGCTTGAATGGTCTACATCGTGAGCTTCACTAGTCTTTTAATTATCTCTGCCTTCCTAACGTTGATCTTATGAACCATTAACATTTGGAGAATCTGCAGGTGTACCACCAGGAAAGTAGAAAAACTGTTCCATTTGGGATAGGAACACTAGCTTTTCAAGATCTTGTGATGTCTCCAAAGTATCTACTAATTCAACCAAAAAAAATCAGTCAAACTACATGATAGGCGTTAGTCACAATGAGCAGATGATGGAGGACCGATATACTCTTCAGTTAATTGGTCTGATACCCCATAAATGTGATGTAAGGACAAAGATCATGTCATTGCTCTGTCCCAATTCTGTCATTTTTTTAAAGGTTTGGTTTTGATATAGACAGTAAAGTCATCTTGTTTGGGTGACAGTATCTAATGTAATGCCACCTTCAGAAAAGGGCAAAGTGCTTTGATCTGTCAGACCATGTAGCAAGCAAATGATATGGAACATTCTGAGTTTGCATAAAGGTCTGACTTTACATTTTTAAAAACAAAACCAAGCCAAAACTATCATTTAGGTCTGAACCCTAAGCTTTCTAGATTTTTCCAGAAACTTTTCTACCATTCTCTACTAAATCTAGATTTATTATCATAGGCCAGGCACAATGGCTCACACGTGTAATCTCAGCACTTTGGGAGGCCGAGATGGACGGATCACTTGAGGCCAGGAGTTTGAGACCAACCTGGCCAACGTGGCGAAACCTTGTGTCTACCAAAAATACAGAAATTAGCTGGTGGCAAGTGCCTGTAGTCCCAGCTACTTGGGAGGCTGATGCACGAGAATCACTTGAACCCAAGAGGCAAAGGTTGCAATGAGCCAAGATCATGCCACTACATTCCAGCCTGGACGACAGAGCAAAACTCTGTCTCAAAAAAAAAGTGTTTTTTAAAAAATAGATTTATGGTCGGATGCAGTGGCTCACTCCTGTGATCCCAGCACTTTGGGAGGCTGAGGCGGGTGGATCATGAGGTCAGGAGATCGAGACCATCCTGGCTAACATGATGAAACCCCGTCTCTTCTAAAAATACAAAAAATTAGCCAGGTGTGGTGGCGGGTGCCTGTAGTTCCAGCTACTCAGGAGGCTGAGGCATGAACCCGGGAGGCGGAGCTTGCAGTGAGCTGAGATCGCGCCACTGCACTCCAGCCTGGGCGACACAGCAAGACTCCATCTCAAAAAAAAAAAAAAAAAAAAAGATTTATAATCATTATAAATTGAAATGTGGTACCACATATTACAATCTATTATTTTCTTGTCCACAAGCAAGGGATAAACGTGAATTAGCATAGTCTGATGGTATTCCAAATGTCATATGTGGTATTTTAAATAACTAAGGGAAATGTCTTAAATATTATTTAAGGACTTTATCTGCAAGTATTATAGTATTTATGATATTTAATGTGCATATGTTAATATGTGGCAATGTTTTCTAAGGTTCATGTAAAACATTTTTTACCAAAATATGGTATCTTTTGTGACTCAAGCAAATGTAATATAATGTTTAATTCCCCAGCAAAAATATATATAAATATATATTTATATATAATACAGATAGATAGATAGATAGATAGATAGGTAGATAGATAGATAGATAGGGCTGGCCAACATGGCAAAACCTCATCTCTACCGGAAATATAAAATTAGCTGGGAGTGGTGGTGGGCACCTCTAGTCCTGGCTAAATACCTCACATGTGCTAAAATAAAGAGAATAGTATAATAAGCCCCATGTAGGTATCATCCAGCTTTTATCACCTAACAAGTCATGGTCATTCTTGTTTCATCTTTGCACCCCCCATTCTTCCATCCTCAGATGATTTTGAAGCAGATTTCAAACATCATGTCATCTGTATTTATTTCAGCATGTATCTTGAAAAGACAGCACTTTTACAAGAACAACCACCCATAGTCATAGGCAGGAAACCGTTATGATGCCTATAACAAATTTACAAACATTTCTTATCATCTGCTATCAAATATGGTCACATTTCCATGTTTTTGTATATATCTGGAAATTTTTTGAAACTTTGTTTAAATTTAAATTGTTCTCTGAATGAGCTTCATACATAGTGAATTGGGTACTATCTCTCTCGAGCCTCTTTTAGTCTATAGGTAGAAACTTAATTTTTTTTAAATAAAACTTTTACTGACCCCAGAAAAAATTTGTGTCATATGTGGCAGGAGATCATCATCAATAATATTAAAATGACAGTAATATTTTGCTCCTAGGCATCTTTTCTTTAGGAGTCTAACCCAATCATATTTTGTTTATATCTGTGAATTTTGCCAAATAGTGTTTCTTGTTTAGCTAACTTTTTCTGCCCTTCTAAGTGAGTACCTTATGTTTTGAACCACCTGATACTTTGCAGGCAGGCTTCTTTCTATGTCTTGCTTTACACCAAATGACCTTCCTCCCTTCACCCACACTGCTCCCCACCCTCATGTCTTCCCTTTGCCTTTGGAATCACAGCCGTGTGGTAATTGGCTTTCCCATGATCTTTCTGGCCTCCATTTACCAAAGCTAAACAGCAGTTCCAAAACAGTAAGTGGAAGGGAAGAGTATTCTTCTAATGTGATCTCTCCACATTAGAAACATGTACAGTACCCAGTCACAAAAATGAAGAAAATGAGCAATGAATTAACCATGATGCAAAGTTATGTAATGTATATATAATTCCTTTATTATGAAAATGACTTTTTAATTCAACTGCTTTGTAACAGAGAAATTAATAGAAACTACCAACATGTTTTGCTTGCTTGTCTGCTTGCTTGCTTTTCTTTTGTACCAACTAGCTGTGACCTTGTTTACATTACCTGCATTTAAGAGTTTCTTGGTATTGAACAGATGTTTTGTAGTTCCCAGCTCCTTAATTTATAAGTTGGATGAGCCTCAATGGCCTCATCTATAAAATGGGGCTAATAATACTATATAAATACTGAGGTTGATTGAACCAAAGGTCGAGGTATTGGAATAATATAAAGAATATAGAGAAATTTTTTTAAAAAGCTGCATATGAGGTTCAGAAAAGGCAGAAATTCAGGTGGCTATAAGGCTATAAGTAGCAGGAATGAATGATCTCAGGGCACAACCCCTGAGAAACATCAGCTCCAACAGGAAAGATTCCAAGTCCCTGGAGAGTGACACTGACCAGGGCTGGGTTACAGTATCACTCCTTGACAAGGCTCCTTAATGGACAGGTCCCACTGATGCAGGGCAGGCGAGCCCCAAAACTGAGGCTTAGCCCAGGAGGGGTCTTGGCTTCACCCAGAAAAGAATTCAATGGCAAGCCAGTGGTGTTAAACAGCAACTTTAATGGAAGCGGCAGGGTACAGCAGCAGCAGAGCAGGGCTAACGCACAGGCAGTATGCCCAGAATAGCAGCCCAGGGGCAGTTCTGCAGTCATATTTACACCTACTTTTAATTACGTGCCAAATAAGGTGTGGATCATGCAGAGATTTCTAGAAAAAGTTGGCCACTTCCAGGTCATTGCCCTGAAAAGGGGTGATAACTGCCAGGTGTTGTCATGGCAATGGTAAATTGACAAGGCCTTGGTGGGCATGTCTTATGGAGAGGTGGTTTTGTCTCTTCCTTGTTTCAGCCAGTCTTCAATCTGGTCTGGACCCTGAGCCCCACCTCCTACCTCACCGACACAAATAAATACAGTGAGGAAGAGGTCATCCCCCTGAAAGAAATGGTAGTCCTTTACCAGGAGAAGGAGAAATGGTCTGGGCAACAAAAAAACCAAACCAAAACAAACTCCCATCACATTATCTCACAGAGTTTTAATGAGGATTAAAGAAGTTAATACATAATGTTCACAATATCTGGCATTTGGTAAAAGCTCAGCAAATTGTAGTCAGTATTATTATTACAGTATAAAAGAGAAAATGAGCAACAATTCAGCCATGCTGCAAGGCTATATAATCATTAGCAATTCCTTCACCATGAGAAAGTCCTGATGTGGTTACTCTAGAATTCTCAGAATTGGCCAGGTTTGAGGCTGGCTCATTTGCATCCATTAACTATATGGCCTTCAGTCTTAACCTTTCTGGCCTGTTCCTCCTCTCACAAAAGGTGGTAATAATACCAAGCTAAGTCAGAGGACTGCCCTAGAGCACAATTTATGACCAGTTGTCAAAGTCTCAGGGAAATCCACAGATTTTAGTGCCAAACATCTCCAGTGGAATCAAAGGGAAGAACTGAGGCAAGTTACACACAACCATGTTTCACATATTTTTAAAAGTGCATTTTATTTATAACCCTGCCTCATTCCAAAAGGATTTTTGGCTGCTCATATTTTATATAAATAGCAAATGTTTCAACTCTTAGCTAATTAAATTAAGGATGCAAGCTGGAGAAACGACATTAAGAGGTGAACAACAAGGCTTCATTTTTAATTCATCATTTAAGAAACGCATCTATAACCTAAATAGAAAATGAGCAAAGGGCATAAACATTGAATAAGTACAAACATGCAACAAGCATATGAAAAAAGTTTCAACATTGTGAGTACACAAAGAAATGAATATTTGACAGCAGTATCAGATTTTTCGCCTTATTGGAAGGATTTAAAATAAAGACTACCAATATCCGTGTTAGCAAGGGTGCAGGGGACTTGTACCCTCACACCTTGCTGGGGGGAATAGAAACAGGCAGTCTTTCTGGAGAACAAATAAGATGGGATCTATCAAAATTAAATTAAAAAATACCATTTGACCCAAGAATTTCACTTCTAGTAGTCTTCTTTAAAGAAATATTCATATGTGTGATCAAAGAAATATATACACAAATATACATTATTTTTAATAGCAAAAAAATTTAAAACAATTAAAATGCCATCAATTAAGTTGTTTAAAATTTTCATACAATACCGTTGAAATTTTGTGTAGTCATTAAAGAAGTGTATATATCTCCTGAAATAGAAAGATGTCAAAATATATATTTTAAAGTGTAAATACTAAGTTGCAGAAAATTGGCAGTATGATCCCATTTTATAAATATGTATTTCTAGATGTTTTAGAAGGACTGAAAAGCTTTTACTCAGGATTGTGTTGGTTTTTTAAGTTGCTGTTGAGTAGCCACGATGGGATTAGTGAGGTAACAGAAGGATACTAAATTGTTCAGTCATGCATATAGCTCTTAGAATATAAAGCAATACCATAGATGAATGAATCAATAAACAAACAAATGAAATGAGCAAACCTGCTACAACCCAAAAGATCAGATCATAACCAAGCTGCTAGGAGTGTTGACCTGAGGGGAGACTTGGGATTCAGTTTTACCTACCAGTTTCAGCTACCAGTGGACAATCACTTCAGCCTTCCTATCTCAGCTCCCTTGCAGGGAAAATCACCAAGCTGGCCAAGCTAATCACTCTCACTAGCTAAGGCTCATAATCCAGAAAAATAGCAATTAGACAAGAACTTGAAACTATCTTACACAAAGAATTCAGGGGTATTTTGGAGGAGTCTATGAATTATATTTAGGAGGTCCATGAATTCAACTGAAAATCAAATTGCATCTTTATTTTTACTAACCTTTACCTGAAATGTAACATTTCATTCAGTTATGAATGTAGGCAACAAACCAAAATAATACTAGCAGAAACATTTATATCGTGTTAACAATTGCTGCTGATACCTTGAAACACTGTTTACACTTATCACTATACCAGATTACCATAGATATTAGGTTTGTTGCTAGATCTTGTAATTTAATGAATAAATAAATACCTATTATTAAAAATGATGTTTAAAATTATTCTGATATATGTATATCAATAGAATTGGATGCCTTTATAATATCATATATTTTATGCATTTTAAAACCTTACACTGAAAAGAGGTCTATAAGCTAAATAGGACTGTACTGAGGAATTCTTGGCCCCAAAGAAATTACAAATCCCAATGCTTTGCTTTTTATTGTTTGCTTTCCTGTTACAGAAGCAACAGTGACTGGCTTCTGGGGGAGGGGCACAAACCTCACAAAGGTAGCAATTCACTGGGGGATCCTGAAGGAATAGGCACAGAGGAAGTCATAAGACAGGAATTAAAAGAAATGATAAGCACGGGGAGGAGGCAGCGATAATAAGCTCCGGTTAGCCTGAGTGTTTAATTTCCTCTTTGCTCTGATAATTAATTTAATTAAGATTAATCTTACTATTTCCTATTCTTTATCACCTCATGAAGAAATTGCCCAAAGACAAGTTCACAAATGTGGTGGGAGGTGGCAGAGGTGGGAAGTCCAATGTTCTAGAATCTAAATTGGTGACTCGGAGCCCTAGCTGTGCATCAGAATCACCTGGGGAGTTTTTAAAACTCTCTCAGTGGGAGGGAATAGGGATAATGTATATTACTGACTGAGAGAGGCATGAGGGGGCCTTCTAGAAGGCTGAACATATTACACATCTTGATCTGGCCTGTGGTTAAATGTGTGGATCCATATATAAAAATTCATTGACCTATATATTTAAGATTTGAGCTTATGAGGAACGTGAAGCATGGAGAGGTTCGGTAACTTTCCCAAGGTTTATCTCAGATTTTTTTTTTAATTATATCTCAACTTTTTAAAAAAATAGCAGTTTTCTGGCCCCACCTCTGAAGAGTCTAATTTAATTGTCTGGGCCAGGGCCCAGGAATCAGTATTTGTTTAAAAACACCTGCCCCTCCCCCACCCCAGTTGAGGCCAGCGTGCATCCAGGATTGAGAACCACCTAGACGCTTCATGAGATGGAATCATTCACTCAGTCAACAAGTTCACGGAGATTTCAGTGCTAAGTAGTGAGGACAGAGAGAAAAATAATCTCTGTTCTCAAGACTTTTAATTAACGGAATAAAGTAATAATTACTTTATTAGATATTAACATAGATATTAACATAGAACCTGGCCAGGCACGGTGACTCATGCCTGTAATCCCAGCAATTTGGGAGGCCGAGGTGGGCAGATCACTTGAGTTCAAGTGATCCAGTCTGGCCAACATGGTGAAACCCTGTCTCTACTAAAATACAAAAAAAATTAGCCAGGTGTGGTGGCAGGCACCTGTAATCCCAGCCACTCGGGAGGCTGAGGGATGAGAATTGCTTGAACCCAGGAGGTGGAGGTTGCAGTGAGCCGAGATTACACCACTGCACTCCAGCCTGGGTGACAGAATGAGACTCTGTCTCAAAAAAAATAATAAATACATAAATAAAATAAAAATAAAACCCAGTGGTCCTCCATCTTCAGTGTCCATCCTCAGAATCACTTGGGGAGCGTGTTGAAATTATGGCTTCCAGGCTCCACCCAGAGATTCTGATTCAATAGGTCTGGACTGAGGCCTCAGGAATCTGCTTAAGGGAACAGTAAATAAGCTAGGTCGGGCATATGCCTAACGCATAGTAGGAGAGCAACAAATAGCTACTGAAGGTAGGAGTTGCTGGGCCAAGTGCTTTGTATACAGTATCTAAGTGAATGATAAACAACAACCCAATAAGGGTATGTACTAAAGAAAACTCACAGGAGGAAACTGTAGATTGGAGACATTAAACAAAACAAAACAAAAATATTGTCCAAGGTCCAACAGTTAATAAAATCAGGGAGTGGAGATTTAAGCACATGTCTCTTTAATTCTCCAAAAGTAAAGCCCTGCACCCTGAACCAGAGCTTTGCCACACATTTTCTACAATTCTAAGAGTCTACATAAACTTTTCAAAGTCTGATCACGCATGAAGAAACGTGGTTTTGTTCTGCTTGACCCTGAGGAAAGTTAGTGTTAGGGGAAGAGAAGAGGGAGTGACCCAATTTGTCAGATTATTGCTTGCCACACCCTTTGTTTGAGCCAGAGCTGGAGGTACCCTAAATGAAGCCAGTATTAACTGTCAGATGTTGGGACAGGGAATCTAGAAGCTGTTGTTAGAATTAGGCTCTTATAAGTACCTTCAAATGCCTTTGCAGTGAAAAGGAAGGTGTTCCAGCATGGGAGCTCATTTTTTCACATTGCACAGAGCCTCCTCCCAGGGTGGAGCCCTTGCAAAGAGAGAGGCTCCAGTAGCTAATTGTGTTCTGTGTCTGCACTTGCTTTCTGCTTGACTTCCAGTCCCAAGGCTTCCCTGAAAGTCGAAATGCTCTTACTCCGCCCCTACCCCTTTCTTTATCCTGTTCAGCTACTGCAGATGTCACAGCTGCTCAGCATTTGGCTTCCTCATTGATCCCACAGTGGAGGCAATTATAGCAGGGTCACAAGCGACTTGGCTCAGCTTCTTTGTTATGTCTGCTTTGGCTCTCTCCTAATAAAGACTGGGAAGGAGATAGGATTCTCCTACAGATTTCTACATTCCCCAACTCAGCCCATCTTCGTGTTTTACCCTCTCCACAGAGATAGCTCTCTCATGAAAATGAAGCAGGGCGTGTAGGAGAGGGCTCAGGGGACAGGATGCCTGAGTTTTCATCTCTACATATAGTAACCTTGGGCAAGTTACCCAACCTCTTGGTGTTTCACTTTTCTCATCTGTGAAATGAGGATAAGAATAATAATATTAACACATCAGATCATAAAAATTAAGGGTTTGCATATACTTAGCACAATGTTGGATATGTACTAAAATATATATCCACACATATATATACATCAACAGTACTATATACACGTGCATACTGTTACACACACAAATACATATAATACATATACAAATAACATCATTGTTATTTCCTGGCTTTTTTTTCTCTCCACTTTAACACTTCCTTGTGCTAGACCAGGCACAGTGGCTCATGCCTGTCATCCCAGCACTTTGAGAGGCTGAGGCAAGCAGATCACTTGAGCTCAGGAGTTCAAGACCAGCCTGGGTAACAGGTGAGACTTCACCTCTAGAGACAATTTAGAAATTAGCTGGCCATGGTGTTAGTGCCTATGGTCCCAGATACTCAGAAGGCTGAGGTGGGAGGATTACTTGAGCCCAGGGGGCAGAGGTTGAAGTGAGCCAAGATCATGCCACTGCACTCCAGTCTGGACAATAGAGTAGAGACTCTGTCTCCAAACAAAAACAAAAACAAAAACAGTACTGTGTCTGTGCTCCAAACTCTCCTTATACCAACACTGTTCAATACAAATATAATGCAAGCCATACATGTCATTTTAAATTTCCTAGTAGCTCCATTAGAGAAAAAAATAAGCAGGTAAAATTAATTTTAGTAACATATTTAACATATCTAAAATATTACTTCAAATGGTCAGTAGAAAAATTAAGAAATTTTATATTGTGTTTTCTTATGTTGATGTTTTTTAAAGTCTAAACTCTGGTATATATTTTGCAATAACAACTCAACTTAGATTAGCCATATTTCAAGTGCTCAGTAGCTACAGTGAACCATTGACTACATAATGGAAAACACAACCTTATTCTATCACCCAACTTTATGAAAACTTGCCAATCCAGTATTTTCCCTTCAGGTCCCACTATCAGCTTTTGATTCATTCATTCAGAAAGGGTTTATTCAGTACTTACTATGTGTTAGGCATCGTGTTGAGTGTTATGGATATAATGGTGATGTAGTCCTATGAATTTTGTCCCCCTAAAACAGTGCTCCCCAACCTTTTTGGGATCACGGACTGGTTTTGTGGAAGACAATGTTTTCACAGACCCGGGGTTGCAGGGGATGGCTTTGGGATGAAACTGCTTCACCCCAGATCATCAGGCATTAGTTAGATTCTCATAAGGAGCATACAATGGAGATCCCTCACATGTGCAGTTCACAATAGGGTTCGCGCTCCTATAAGAATGTAATGTCACCACTGATCTGTTGGGAGGTGGAGCTCAGGAGGTAATGCTCAGTCACTGCTGCAGCCCGGTTTCTAACAGGCCAAGGACCGGTAGTGGGTCCGTGGCCAGAGGGTTGGGGACCTCTGCTCTAAAATTCATATGTTGAAGTCCTAACTTCCGGTAATAGAATATAACTTTACTTGGAGATAGAATCCTTTTTTTGTATAAATGTAAGGGGTAGAAATGCAGTTTTGTTACATGGATATATTACATAGTGAGGAAGTCTGGGCTTTTAGTGTAGCCATTTCCTGAGTGGTGTACATTGTACCCATTAAGTAGTTTCTCATCCCTCACCCCGCTTCCACCCTTCTGAGTCCCCAGTAATTATTCCACTCTTGGATATTGTCTTTTCAGAGGTAAACAAGTTAAATGAGGCCAGTAGGGTCAGCCCTAATCCATTATGATGATATTCTTATAAAAAGGGGAAATCTGGATACAGACACACAGAGAAATCACCATATGAAGACAGAGGCAAAGATGAGGGTGTTAATTCTGCAAGCCAAGTAACACCAAGGGTGGCTGCCAAAGCATCAGAAGCTAGGGAGAGGCCCAGAACAGACTCTCCCTTGTGGCCTCAGAGGCAACCCTGCCAACACCTTGATCTTGGACTTCCAGCCCAGTATTGGGAGACAATACATTTCTGCTGTTTAAGCCACCCGGTCAGTGGTACTTGTGACAGCAGTTTCAGCAAACCCATATAGTTCTTTTCTCTCCTATTTCAAGATAGGGAGGCCTCCACCTTCACGAGTGGTAAAGGGCCCTACTGCAAAGTCCGTGATCAAATTAATGAGGAAAGTAAAGGTAATTGCAAGCTAATAGGGACAAAGGCAATACATGTGTAAAGAAAGAAATATACAATCACAAATTATGTTAATAAGGTGTAGTGACTGAGAATAATATTGGGGTGGCAGAAAATTTACTATGATGAGGACATCATGGTAGGCTTCATTAGAGAGGTGCCATTCAAGTCTTTATCTAAAGGAAGCAATGTTCTGGGGAATCCCAAGCAAAAGGAATGCCTACCAAAGTCCCTAAAGTGGAAAAGCAGCTGCCACACTCTGGAAGCTGTCAGAAGCCATGTAACCCCGAGGGTGGCAGCCCAGATAGTGACAACATTACTTGAGGGTGGGTGAGAAGCCAGGAGCCACAAAGCAGGGCCTTGGACGCCATCACTAACCATGTGGGTTTTATTAAGTGCAGCAGAATAGCTTTAAAGGAGGCAAATGACATGATGTGATATATGTTTTCAAAAGACCACCATGGCTGCTGAGAGCAGAAAGGAATGGAGGAGAATCCCAGTGTATTAGTCAGTGTTCTCTAGAGGGACAGAACTAATAGGATAGATGTATATATAAAAGGGAGTTTATTAAGGAGTATTGACTCACACAATCACAAAGGTGAGGTCCCACAATAGGCCATCTGCAAGCTGAGGAAGAAGGAAGCCAGTCTGAGTCCCAAAGCTGAAGAACTTAGGGTCCAAAGTTTGAGGCCAGGAAGCATTCAGCACAGGAGAAAGATGTAGGCTTGGAGATTAAGCCAGTCTAGTTTTTCTATGTTCTTCTGCCTGCTTTTATTCTGGCTGCACTGGCAGCTGATTCTATTGTGCCCACCCAGATTGCATGTGGGTCTGCCTTTCCCAGCCCACTGACTCAAATGTTAATCTCCTTTGGCAACACCCTCACAGACACACCCAGGAACAATACTTTGCATCCTTCAGTCCAATCAAGTTGACACTCAATATTAACCATCGCACCTGGGATATCCCTTGTTATGCCTGTCTGCTAGGAAATGAGGAGCAACTGAGGAAAGATGCTGGAAGAGATGGATATCTGTGGGCAAAGGAGGATTCCTCAGTTTGTCTTTTGTGGGAGCTACCTATAGGATAAGGACACTTACTGCCTCGAAAGGGAGAGAAGAATCTCAAATGACCTCACCCCAGACACTGTTTGGTTTCTTCAATTAGAGCACAGGACACAAATGGTGAGAGAGTTACTCAAAGTCTATCATCAAGTGAGGGCACAGCAAATGAAACCAGTTCCATTAGTGTCTCCCAGAGCCCCTCCTCTGTCTTACTTGAAGGAATGTTACTTTTAACCCAGGTTACTTTTAAGGCTAAGCTGGAATCCCAAGCATCATCAAGGTGCAGGTATGGTGGGCTTGGTTCACTGATGAGGGGTGTTCCTGTGCACTTGATCTTTCCACTTTGTTGACTCCATTGGGGGCATTCTCCCATATGGTGCTTTCCAGGTGTGATACAACAAAGAGAGGGAAAGAGATCTTTCCATGCTGTGATTCGTTAATTGATTTGGAAAGTTGTCAGAAAATAGTCTACACAATGCCTACGAATTCTGAAAAAGCAGAAATTATCAGGTGCTGTTTGATACTGGATCCTTCCATACCTGATAAAATTTGATGGCACCTTTTTATACTTCCAGTAATGCTATGGCTGACTGATGTTATTTACCTTATACAAGAGGAATAAACCATCCCAAATAATCCCTAGCATTTGTCAGTGATGATAACTTCAACTTCAGTGTAGCAAATCCATCATCATGACAAAGTCCAATGCAGAGTGGGCAGAAGAAAGGAAGCCAGCCAGGTAAAAGGTAGACCAAATTAGGGATTCTAGTTGGGGGCACAAAAAGTAAATAAATAAAATGGTAGTTGAAGTAAATAGAGCCCCATTGGATACCACCAAATTTCCTTAGATATCATTAAATCGTATGTGAGCAACAGGGTGAATCAAATCAAAGTCAAATTTATACTCACATGATTATAGCACAGACAAGCATCTCACAGCTATAATTTACCAGGAGTGATTGGTGGAACAGATTCAGAGAGCAGGGAAGGAATATTCTGTGAGGGTAATGAAGAATGAAGTTACCTTCTGTCATTCAGGCCAGGAGAAATGCCCCTGTGCAATTAAACTACTGTCTCAAACCCTATTTTATTTTCTGCAACACAAGTGTAATTATCTGAAATTTTCTTCTTGGTCTAATGTTCTTGTTTATTGCCTTTTTCCCCCTACTAGAATGTAAGCTCCAAGTAAGCACAGACCTTGTTTGACGCATTCATTGCTATGTCCCCAGTACCTAAAATCTTGCCTGACATGGAGTACTTAATATCCCTGGTGGTAGGAAGGAATGAAGTCAGAGTTAAGTCCTGCAGCATGGTGAGTTGACATTGCTTGACTAAAAATTCCCTACATTCCAGGAATTCATTTGTGGACACCCTATTACAGATGAGGGAACTTTCAGAGGAACATGCTTTGCTATGAAGATAAGTCAACTGGATTGAACATTGTTTTTTATGTGCCGACTGCTGCATTGGGGATCTTTACTCTTCTTTCAAAATTACACCTTTTTCAACTAAAGGAAAATACAACCAGGCATTTCATCTCAGCATGATTTGCCTTCTTTTCATCCTGAAGTAACACATCATGTGACCTTTGCTGGTCTCCTGTAGCTGTGCCACATTACCCTAGGAGCCACTGGTTCAAATCTATTTTAGAGCTCATGATTCATTCTAACTCCCTCCTCAGGGCATGTCACTTCTAAGATTTTTCTCTTCAACTTGCCACTAATCCCACTGAAGAAAAAACTGGCGTTAGAATTCAATTTTAGCTTCCTGGCAGGACAGGCCAAATGTCAGCAATATTTGAGGACTGTAGACAGACGTTCCCAGAAGCATTCTCAAATCCACACAACAGAGTCCCTGGCTGTGAGCTCTAATGCCAATTCCCTACACTAGAAGTCAAAAAATACCCACTGATTTTCCTTAAATTAACTAAGGACCATTCTCCATTCCTACCAAGAGCTCCCTCCCTGGATTAAGTGACTTCTGGTAGAAAAGCATCTGGAGTTCCCAGAATTTATTCATTCATTGGGTCGTTCAGCTAGAGATGTGAATTGTCTCAAGTAAATGTTCATAGATTTCTCAAAGAGTTGAAGGGCGTACACACATGAATTTATTTAAAGAGTAAACTGCATTAATAGCTTGTAAATAATTCTAGTTCCAAAATCTCACAAGTTTTTAATAATATATTTGTTTTATAATGGTGCTTATATCTGTAAAAAGATGCTTATGAACAGAATTCTGACATAATTATGAAACAGTCGAGAACATGGGCTCCGGCACCAGGATATCTCAGCTAAAATCCCACTTACTGGCTATGTCATCCTGGGCAAGAGACTTCACCTCTCTGTGCCTCAGCTTCCTCTTCCATGAAATGGGGCTAATGGTGATACCTAACTGCATGGGATCATTGTGAGGATTAAATGAAGTAATTCATGTAAAGTGCTTAACTATAGAACTCTGCTGTCCAACATGGTAGCCCCTACCCATACAGAACTGATTTAAACTTAAATTAATTAAAATTATATGCAAGTTTAATTCCTCAGTTGCACTAGCCACATTTCAACTGTTCCATAGTCATGTGTGACTAGTAGCTGTCATAATGAAGAAGGCAGATAAAACATGTCTACCATTGCAGAAAGTTCTACTGGACAGAGATTGCCAGAACAGACTTAAAACCATCCCAGTAACTCCAACATTTCCTTTGTTTCCATGCAGTCAGTGACCCGGTACTATCGAGTCCTTAACATTTCACGTTTGTTCCCTTGTCTGTGTTCCCATCATCACCAATCTATTTATTCCTTGATGATACTGCTCAACTGGTCTTCTGACATCTCTCCTCCTCTGTGGCACCCTGCAGAGTCTCCCAGGCCTGAACTCCACTATCATTCTTCCCCCGACAGGCTCAGTTCCTAGAATTGGAACTGGCAGCTTAAGCCTTGGTCTTCATGCTCCTTGAAGGCAGAGGCCACATTTTATTTATATCTGTATCTCCCACAATCTTTGGCTTATAATAAGCATTCAAATGTTTGCATGCATCAATGAATCTGTAAAGCAAAAGTATCTGAGACAGGCCTGAATTTATTTAGAAGTTTATTTGGCCAAGGTTAAGGACATGCCCTGGAAGAGGTTTGTGACTTTCTCCAAAGATGATTTTGAGGGCTTCAGTATTTAAAAGGGAAAAGCAGACTAGAGGGGAAAAGGCGAGGATATGGTAGCATTACTGAATCCTCATGTTGCAGGATAAAAGAAGCAGGTAGGGAAATAGTCAATTAGGTATACATCTGGCACTCGGTAAATAAGCATTTTACATAAGGTAAGCTGAACATAGAGTAGCTACCTGTGGAGATATTTAACTTTTAATCTATAGCTATCTGCTTAGGAATAAAAGGAAAAGCAGTTTCTTGCATGACTCAACATTCAGCTTAACCTTTTCCTTTTGACATAGTGAGTTGGGGTCCTGAGTTTTTGTTTTCCTTTCACAGATCTATGGATAAATGAGCAAACCATGCTCTTCCAGGGAATAGAAGGCTCTACCTGGTTCATAGTCATTCTACAAGGCATCTTTCTCTGAACCACATCTGTGCCCTGAGGCAGTGCCTACAGGTGTGAGCCTGCAGGTGCTTTGAAATCAGAGGGCAAACAGGGCATCTTTTCTTTTCTTTTCCTTTCTTTCTTTCTTTTTTTTTTTTTTTTAGACTGAGTCTTGTTCTGTCACCAGGCTGGAGTGCAGTTGTGCAATCTCGGCTCACTGCAACCTCTGCCTCCCGTGTTCAAACAATTCTCCTGCCTCAGCCTCCCGAGTAGCTGGGACTACAGGGCATCTTTTCTAAGCATCACTTTGCCCTTGGGCTTTGGAAAGAGACTCCTCAGTGGTCACAGAGTTCCCTGTCATAGTCCAGAAGCAGTGCTCTTATCCACATTCCATTCATACCTGTACCTTAAGTGGGGTGGCTTTCAGCCCATGTATTGGGATCTTCAGTCCTGCAGCCCCAATCCCCACAACCACTGACATCAGCAGTAATGATGGTTCCCCAAAATTGCTTCCCTCTTTTTCTTGTCCTAAAAGAGTAATGTGGGTGTAACGGCAGTTTCTGGGATCCAACTAAGGGTTTCTGTTTTAGACTGAATGTTTGTGTCCCTCCCCCCAAATTCATATGTTGAAATCGTAACGTTCAGCGTGATAGTATTATGAGGTGGGGCCTTTGGGAGATAATTAGGTCATAAGAATAGAGCCCTCATGAATGGGATTGGTGCCCTTCTGAGAGACCCCAGAGAGCAGAGAGCTCTCTTGCTCTTTCCACCATCTTGTGAAGATAAAAGAACTTGGCCATCTGCAAGCCTGAAGGGGGCACTCACCAGATCCTGACCATGCTGGCAGCCTGGGCTGAGACTTCCAGCCTCCACAACTGTGAGAAATAAATTTCTGTTGTTTATAAGCCACCCAGGCTATGGTATTTTGTGATAGCAGCCCAAACTGACTGAGACAGTTCCCATGCTGCTTCTACTACTAACTGTGCAGCCTTGAGTTCAGTTAAAAATCCTGTGCTCAGTTTTCCCAGCCCTAAACTGAGCATAAGAATGGGATGTCCTTCATAGAGTCGCTGTGACAATTAAGGGAGACAAAGCACGTGAAGTGCAAGTGCATTTCTTGAGGTATGGCAAGAGGTAAACAGAGGTTAGGGTGTCAGCTCTAGAGTTCTCACTTTAATGTCACCAATGAGTCATAAGATTAGGTCCCCAATTCCTCCCTATAAAATGTACATATCATCTCTAGTAGGATGACTCACTATTAGGGATTTTGTTAAGACCATTGTAATAATGAGAACTAAGATTTTACTTAAGGAACACTTACTATTACCAAACACAATGCTAAATGTCCGACCTGCATTATCTAACTTAATAACCTGAGTAATCCAAGAGATAGCTACCAAGATGAAAACCAAAATGCCTCTTTATGACCAAGTTTTCAGTGTCACAAACCATCACTTCTGCTGAAGAATTACAATCCTTAGAAGCATGTCGCCAGGTCCAGCCCATACTAAGAAGAATTAAGCTCCACCTCTTGAAGGGAAGACCATCAAAGACTTTGTAGACATGTGTTTTAAACCACTACAGATGTAAGATATATTTCTTACCATAGGTCTTAGCCTAAAAAGTTTGAAAGCCACTCCTCTGGGTGGTTTATATTATTTAATTTATCAGATAGGAATCTTAGATCCATAGCATGGTAGAGATAGAGGACCCATAGAGTTCATACAGACTTGTAGAATAGGGGTTGGCAAACATTTTCTGTAAAGGAGCAATTAGTGAATATTTGAGGCTTTGCAGGCCACGTGGTCTGTGTTGCAACTACTCAGCTCTGCTTTTATAGCACAAAAGCAGCCATAGACAATATGTAAACAAATAGGTGTGTCTGTGTTCCGATACAACTTTACAAAAACAGGCCAGGCACGGTGTACTCCCAGCACTTTGGGAGGCCGACGTGGGTGAATCACTTGAGGCCAGGAGTTTGAGATCAGCCTGGTCAACGTAGCAAAACCCCATTTCTACTAAAAATACAAAAATTAGCCGGGTGTGGTGGCAGATGCCTGTAATCCCAGCTACTCAGGAAGCTGAGGCAGGAAAATCACTAGAACCTGGAAGGCGGAGGATGTAGTAAGCCAAGATGGCACCACTGCACTCCAGCCTGGGCAACAAAGCAAATCTCTGTCTCAGAACAAAACAACTTTACAAAAACAGGTCATCAGCCAGATTTGACCCAGGGGCACATTGATGAACAATGTTTATTAATTCTGACTTTACAGTAGACTCCAAGGGTTTTTTACTTAATGACCACGTCTAGGTCACACCTCAGTTCACTTAGATTAGAATCTCTGGGGGTGAGAACCCAAATATCAATATTTGTTTTAAAGAAAGTTCCTTAGTGATACTAAAGTGCAGCCAGAGCTAAGAAGAACCACGGACACCAGGCACAGTGGCTCACGCCGGTAATCCCAGCACTTTGGGAGACTGAGGCAGGAGGATCAATTGAGCCCAGGGGTTCAAGATCAGCCTGGGCAACATAGTGAGACCCTGACTCTACAAAACAGATTTTTAAAAAGTTAGCTGGGGAAGCTAAGCTATGAGGATGCAAAGGCATGAGAATGATACGATGGACTTTGGGGACTCGGGATAGGGTGGGAGAGGGGTGAGGGATAAAAGACTACACATCCGGTACAGTGTACAATGCTTGGGTGATGGGTGTGCCAAAATTTCAGAAATCCCCATGAAAGAACTTGTTATTCATGTAACCAAACACCACCTGTTCCCCAAAAACCTACTGAAGTAAAAATAAAGTGCTTGAGCCGTAGTGACAAAAAACAAAATTATTATCAGTCAGAAATTTTAAAAAAAATAGCTGGGCATGGTGGTATGTGACTGTAGTCCCAGCTACATGGGAGGCTGAGGCAGGAGGATTGCTTGAGCCCAGAAGGCCAAGGCTGCAGTGAGCAATGATCATACTACTGCACTCCAGCCTGGGTGACAAAGCAAGACCCTGTCTGAAAAAAAAAAAAAAAAAAAAAAAAAAGGAAGTGGGGAGGAAAGGAAAGGAGAGGAAGAAGGAGAAGAAGGTGAAGGAGAAGGAGGAGGAGGAAAAGAATAAGAAAGAGAAGAAGGAGAAGGAGAAGAACAAGAACAAGAATAAGAACCACCACTAATGTGGGAGATGATGACTCTACTTAAGGAAATTGAGGTCCCACAGGGCAAAAGACGAGCCCTGAGTCACACCCACATTGGTGTGCCTGGACCAGCTGATGTTTACCAGAAAGATGCACCTGAGCAGGTATTTGCAGACAGAAACTAAGTGTAAAGTGTTGCCTACACAAAACATCGTACCTGGGCAGGCCAGGGTCCTGCACCCCTCATAGAGGGGCTTCCAGAAGAACTGTGTCACACATGAAACAGTGGGAAGTAACTTGAGTGCAAAGAGACAAGTGCAAGTCCTGGATGCCTCATGTAGTAACTTTGGGCAAGTATATTCAGCTCTTCAGTTCCCTCTTTTCTCATTCATGAAACAGTAGCAAACATTTTAGAGCATTTATTGCATGAGGCAATATGCTAAGTGCTTTATGATCTCTCTCTGAATGATACTTTCTGTCTCTCAACCATTACAAGAGACCTAAGGTGGGTGATGCTACAGCATCCATTTTAAAGAAGAGGAAAGTAAGGATCAAAATATTTAAGTAAAAGGAATAGTCAGCAGAGTAAACAGACAGCCCACAGAGAGGGAGAAAATCTTTACCATCTATACATCTGACAAAGGACTAATATCCAGAATCTACAAGGAACTCAAATTAGCAAGAAAGAAACAACCCCATCAAAAAGTGGGCTAAGGATATGAATAGACATTTCTCAAAAGAAGATATACAAATGGCCAACAAACATGAAAAAATACTCGACATCACTAATGATTAGAGAAATGCAAATCAAAACCACAATGTGATACCACCTTATTGCTGCAAGAATGGCCATAATTTAAAAATTAAAAAAATAGATGTTGGCATGGATGTGGTGAAAAGAGAAGACTTCTACACTACTGGTAGGAATGTAAACTAGTGCAACCACTACGGAAGCCAGTGTGCAGATTCCTTAAAGAACTAAAAGTAGATTTAGCATTTGATCCAGCAATCCCATTCCTGGATATCTATCCAGAGGAAAAGAAACCATTATACAAAAAAGACGCTTGCACACGTATGTTTATAGCAGCATGATCCACAACTGCAAAAATATGGAACCAGCCCAAAAGTCCATCAATCAACAAGTGGATAAATAAATTGTGGTATATATACGATAGAATGCTACTCAGCCATAAAAAAGAATGAATTAATGGCATTCTCAGTAACCAGGATGGAACTGGAGACTAAGTTACTGAAGTAACTTAGGAATGGAAAACCAAACATCATATGCTCTCACTCATAAGTGGGAGCTAAGCTGTGAGGATGCAAAGGCATAAGAATTACACAATGGATTTTGGGGACTCAGGGGAAAGGATGGGGAGGGGGTGAGGGATAAAAGATTATGAATTGGGTTCAGAGTATACTACTCGGCTGAAGGGTACACCAAAATTTTACAAATCACCACTAAAGAACTTACTCATGTAAACAAACACCACGTGTTCCCCAAAACCTATGGAAATAGGAAATGTAAAAACTATATTTAAGTAATTTGCCCAAGATCCCATGAGTGGGTTGATTGAGGCAAGATTTGCACTCAAGTCTTTGTGTCTCCAAAGCGGATATATTTGACTGCCTTGCTACATCTCTCAGGGTTCTTCTAAGGATTGATTCAGATAATTTGTGAATATGTGTTATAAATATTAGGGTACTGTACATATGTCAGCCTTTATCACAGAAGGTCAATTTTCACATTCCAGGATATCAAGGAGGGGTGCTCTAGATATGCTATTGATCAGAACATCCTCATGTGCAAATGATCCTATTCTGGTCAGCCAATCCTGTGTCCCCTAATTGATGAGGATGCCTTACTGGATCAGTAAGGGCCAGTCAAGAAACAGAAGCCAGTCTGTTATGTGAACAGAGGATCGAACATCAAGAATTGTTAGCAATATATAAAGTAGTTAACTGGGTAACTACAAAGGTAAAAGGATAACTTTAAGATATCATATAGGCAGCAATGACGGGCAGCAGCCCCCATCCCCTAGAGTTGAGGAAACAAAGGGAATAGGTTGGAATTATTTAAACTTAGTTTAAGGGAGGGTAGAGGCACACAAAGAAAAACCAGCCCTCAGAGGAGAGATGCTGGGCACTGATGCTGGTGCCTCTGAGCTCAGAGGCAGGGCCCTATGGGTCTAATATGCAGACTTCTGAGGCAGGGATGCAATGAGGTGCAAAGAGGGTGTATCTGCAAGTATTGACAGTGTGGCAAACTGGAGTTCACTGCTGCTGGGGAAGGCACTGTGGCTGCCAGTGGCAGGGGGTTTGCAGGAATGTAAAAGAAGAAACCAGGAAGGAGCAAGTACCTGTTCCCTCTCCCACCCTGCAGCTTTCCCCATAGCATCACTAATTGGCAGAACCCAGCAAGGAGCAGCTGGCAGAGCAGAAGCCTGGTTTGCAGAGTCCTGGCCCCAATGTCACCCAGCCAAATACAGGGTTTGTAGCTGAGGGAGAGTAACTTAATTAGTGGCCCAGGTCACCTCTTTGACTACTGGGCATCCAGACCTACACTTTTATATGTAGGGGTCAAGGCCCTTGGCCCCCTGAAGTTTCCCTGATAACTGACAAAAGGCAGATTAATCGAAGAAAAGACATACAAATTTATTTAACGTGTATACGTGGGAGCGTTCAGAATAAAGACCCAACCCCCTAAAAGAGGTTCAGAAGCTTATATACTAACTTGAAGTTGCAGAAATAATATGGGCTCAGAGCATGGCCAAAAACAGGTTTGGGGGCCAGGCTGGTGGCTCATGCCTATAGTCACAGTGGCTCATGCCTATAGTCCCAGCTACTGGAGAGGTTGAGGCAGGATCATTGGAGCCCAGGAGGTCAAGGATGTGGTGAGCCATGATCATGCCACTGCATTCCAGCCTGGGTGATAGAGTGAGACCCTGTCTCAAAAACAAAACAAAACAAAAAAGCAACCAAAACAGTTATGGTGGCAAATTAGGTTTTAGTGACAAGACAACTTACAGGAAGGAGAAAGGAGGAGGCTTGGCTAGCAAAGGTATTCTTGTTATGTATCATAGCTGAAATTTCACAGGTACCAACCCTTAGAGAGGATAGTCAGGTAAATGTTTCTTTCAGATCTTTAAGGTGTCAGACTCAGTTTATCTTTCCTAGATATGGATAAAGCCTGGCCGTATTAATGCAGATTCTCTATAGATGCAAATTTCCCCTACAACAGACAGCTTTGCAGGGCCACTTCTGTTTGCTGGCTCTCTGTCAGCGATCTCAAAATATGTCAAATAAATATATTTGGGGGTAAAATATTTTTATTTCCTTCATATGCATATTTGAATTTCCATACAACAGCAAAACAACTGTCTTCTCCTTGTAAGATGCAACTATCCTTTGTACAATTGAGAAAACATTCTTTCCCTAATCCCAAAATCAGGTCAAAAAATCTCAGCAATCATCACATCTATCTTTGTGTTCTGTTAATTCCTTAAAAGCTGAGTTTTCTGTTATCTAAAGACTAAACTGTAAATTTAATCTCCAATAAAACTCATATAATATAATGAGTGGAAGGAAAAACTAAGATGTGGAAACCAGCAGAGCTCAAAGTTGCAGGATGGGAAGACAATATTCTGTGAATGTCTTAACAGTGAGAGCAGACCTTCCCACTTCCACCCTTGATTGCTGGGCCCGTGAATTCTGTGGTGCTGGAGAAAACAGCACCATATAATTATCTGATTGATGGCATCTACTTCATTCTGTAAGACAGAGTCCCATTTTTTTAGGGTGGTGTCTCCTAACCAGCAATATAACTGAGTCTTCAGTAAACCATTCTACCTTTAAGTTGGGCCATTTCCTTTCAGATACTGGGGTATGGGTAAGGACCTGTTAATTCTATGGGCAGAAGCCTGTTGCTGCACTTACTTTGCTGTGAAATAAGTTCCTGGATCAGACATAATGCTGTCAAAATGCTTTGTCAGTGGATCAGGCATTCTGTGAGTCCATAAGGTAGTGCTGGTAGAAGCATTGTACACCAAGAAGGCAAATTCATTTCCAGAATATTACAATGAGGACTGATTTCTGTCCCTTCTATGATGGAAGGGGTCTAATGTAATTGATCTTCCCCCAGGTAACTGGCTACTCCTCCAGGGTATGGTGCCATATTAAGGACTCAGTGTTGGTCTCTGGGTTTGCCTAACTGTGCTAACTGAAGTACAAAGACAATTAAAAAGTTTAAAGTAAACAACATTGACAGTGATAGAATTAGTTAGGACACCCTTAAATAAATGCACCAATAAGATAAATACCTTAGAGCATGATCAAACCAATTATGGCACAGAATTCAGTTAAACATAGATTTATCTATGACCTGATCCAATGGACTTTGATAATCAAAATAATGTTATTTTCACCAGGTTATTGTTATCTTAATATTATTGCCATAGAGATTTTCTAAGAGTGTCACTAGGCAGTCAGCAGTGGCCTTAGCTAGGCCAGCCTTCGTGAGAGGAAGTCTGGGTTAAGCCCATGTGTAGCTTCTATCCCTGCCACCATGGCCACTGAGTACCTAGGCCCATTGAGCGAGCACTGGGGTGACCAGATAAAGAGGCTTATTGACATCAACAGAACATGTCACTTTGTCCTCCTATCTTGTGATATCCTTTGTGACTGTGGTTGTCCTTTGGTGAGCCTTCATGCAGAACACAAATGAAATGGGTTAGAACTGATGAACATAAACTTAGCAGATAGGATCATGAAACAGAAAGTGAAGAAACTCAGAGTTTTTATTGTTAGCTCATCCTGGTGATAGACATGAAGGAAAATAGAATTTTTTTTTTTTTTTTAAGATGGAGTCCCATTCTGTCACCCAGGCTGTAGTGCAGTGATGCAATCTCGGCTCACTACAACCTCTGCCTCCTGGGTTCAAGTGATCCTCCTGCCTCAGCCTCCTGAGTAGCTGGGACTACGGGCATGCGCCAGCATGCTTGGCTAATTTTTTTTGTATTTTTGGTACAGACAGAGTTTCACCATATTGCCCAGGTTGGTCTCGAACTCCTGACCTCAAGTGATCCGCCTGTCTCAGCCTCCCAAATTACAGATGTGAGCCACTGCTGGGATTACAGATGTGAGCCACTGCACCTGGCAAAAACAAAATTTAAAATATGTTCCCATCAATTTATTCATCAAATATGTATCGAGAACCTGCTCTGTGTCTGGCTTGAGGCTGGGTTCTGTATACACAATTGATAAGCATGACAGATGCTGTCCCTGTCCTTGTCATGTGTAGCTTACAATCCAGGGTGAGAAGCAGGCCATTTAAAAGTGAAAAAGTGAATACACAAAATAATCGTGGCTCATCAGAAGGACTGTGAAGGAAATGAACAGAGGGAGTTACAAAGAGCAATGAGGTGGGGGTGATGAGCACTTCTGGGGATGAAATGGTCAGGGAGGACCCCTCTAAGAAAGTGGACTGAAGCAGAGGCCTGAAGGGAGGGGCAGGAACTTGAGTGGAAATTGGGAGGGACCGAATGTTCCTGAGAGAGGGACGAGAAATTGTAAGCAGGGCTCTGGGATGGGGAAAAACTTGATGGCCAAGAAATTGGTAAACGATTGAAGAAAAAACAACCAGTGAAGGAGAGAGTGCCTCAAGATGAGAGGTGATATTAGCGAGCTTTGTAGAGGTCACATCATCTACTAAGAGGCCATGATCATTCTAGATACAGATGAGAAGAGACCTGGATGGTTTTGAAGTATGGGCATGACATGACCTTCTTTACATAACAAAGATGTCAGCTGTCCCTAAATTAATCTAAAATTCAAACTGATCCTAATTTAAAAGCACCAGCAGTTTCTATTTCATTGCTTTAAAAACCTAATTTGGGCTGTGTATTACAGGAGTGAAGCATCAAAGCAGAGAGACCAGGTAGATGGTATTGTTACCATCTTGGCAGGTAATGATGGTAGCTTGGACTAGGTTGATGGCAGTGAGAGTTGAAAGGAATGGCATCTTTCTAAAATATGGCTATAGCGGCAGATTTATGTTTGTGATAGGCCAGTGAGATGTAGGTTTATGGATTTCCAAAAGACTGGAATAATATATGCATAAGTTTTATCTCCTGGGCCAACAAATAGGTTTACCTCCTAAGCCAAATGTCTTCAAATGGTAGTTGTGGTGAGCAATTCTGAGGTTCATGGGAAAGAATGCAGATGAATTAGTGATGTCTGCTGCTATTCAGGAAAAAACCGTACTCATAAGTGTGCAAGGCATTTGCTTTCTCTGGACTAAATGGTTCCTTTCACCTCAGTGATTCTTATCCTTTGTTGAGCAGAAGAATTACCTTGGAAGTGGGGTTAAAATGCAGGGACTGGCACTTCATCCTTTTGAAATTTTAATCAAAAGCTTTGGGGTGAGTTCTGGGTAGCTATATATATCTATATATATGTATATAGATATATTTTTTTAAACAAACTCCAAGGCAGTTCAGATGTTGACCAGTTTGAGGACTGATCTAAAATACCATCATCCATATTTCAAGAGTTTTTGTAAAGACAGTGGTGTTGAAAATTTCAGATGATGGATGCTAAGTGACAATGTTTCTGTAAGAAAATCACATGCATCTGGAGTTATAAATTTATTTCATAAGATAAGACCATATTATTATCAAAAAATCCTATCTTTTTTTTCTTCAACTTTTATTTTTAGTTCAGGGGTACATGTGCAGGATGTGCAGGTTTGTTCCACAGGTAAATGTGTGCCATGGTAATTTGCTGCACATCAACCCATCACCAAGGTATTAAGCCCAGCATCTTTTAGCTATTCTTTCTGGTACTCTTCCTCCCCTGACCATACACCGACAGGCCCCAGTGTGTGTTGCCCTGCTATGTGTCCATGTGTTCTCATCATTCAGCTCCTGCTTATGAGTAAGAACATGCAATGTTTGGTTTTCTGTTCCTGCTTTAGTTTGCTGAGGATAATGGCTTCCAACTCCATCCATGTCCCTGCAAATGACATGATCTAGTTCCTTTTTATGGCTGCCTACTATCTCTTTATTCACTATTTTAACTCAGGAACCTCCAGGAAAGGAAGCACCATTACTGACTGCTGTTGAAAGAATTTTTTTTTAAGTAAACCTTATTTTTCAGAGAAGTTTTAGGCTACAGCAAAATTGAGCAGAAAGTAGAGATCTTCTATATTCCTCCTTCCCCTACACAGACACAGCCTCCCCTACTACCAACATCCCCCAACAGAATGATGCATTTGTAACAGTTGATGAGCCTACACTGATATATCATTATCCCCCAAAGTCCATGGTTTACATTAGGGTTCGCTCTTGGTTTACATTAGGGTTCTGTAGGTTTTGGCAAATACATAATGACATGTCTCTACCATCATGACATGATATAGAGCAGTTTCGCTGTCCTAAAAAATCCTCTGTTCTCTGCCTTTTCATCACTCCCTCCCCCTCAACCACTGACAACCACCGATCTTTTCAGTCTCCATAGGTGCACTTTCCAGAGTGTCATATAGTTGAAATTACACAGTGTGTAGCCTTTTCAGATTGGCTTTCCTCACTCAGCAACATGTAACTAAGCTTCCTCGACATCTTTTCAAGGTTTGATAGCTCACTTCTTTTTCATGCTGAATAATATTCTATTGTCTAAATGTACCACAGTTTGTCCATTCTCCTACTAAGGAATGTCTTGTTTGCTTCTAAGTTTTAGCAATTACAAATAAAGCTGCTATGAATATCTGTGTACAGGTTTGTGTGTGGACATAAGCTTTGACTCCTTTGGGTAAATACCAAGGAGTAAAAGGAAACATTGTTGACATGTGTTTTCCTTTGTGTACAGGTGGATGGACCTTTAAGAAATTCTGTGAGTAGGCAGGTGGGTTCTCTCCCTCACCCCTCTGTTAGACTCATACAGTAATCCAGCTTAAGCATTAATTTAGGTTTCTGGACAGCAATCTTAAGATCCAGGACCCAGCAAGGTTGGTGGGTACCAAGCAGAATTTGGTGGGCAGGAGTGTGCTTCCTACCATGCCGCATGGACACAGGGACAGTCCGGGTTCTCTTTTTAACTTAACACAGATGAGAATGGACCTGCTGCATTGTATTGACAAGTCAGGCACTGACTTCCCTGTGGCCTTGGAAAGTTACTTAGCCTTTCCCTATCTAGAGCAGGGCTCATGATCTCTAATGCTGAAAAAGTTCACACAAACGAGTGAAGTGAACTTGATATAAGAAAAGTCAACTGTATTTTCCGTGACCTACAGCATAAGAACAAAACAATATGACCATGCATCATCTTGGAGATTATGATACTCTGTCATAAGAAAAACTTGACAATAAGTCACAACTTTTGTTCTCCCTCTCAGTATATTGGGAATGGTGGGGACTATGGCCAACTGGACAGTTAACATCCCACTTAACAGGGGCAGCTGCCAATCAGCTCCAGCTCCAGCATTGTTGACAGATCTTCCAGAAAGGGAAGAGAAGCCAAAAATTTCCATTAAAAAAAATGTAGATTGCCCAGTACAGTCAAACACACCTTTACTCCAAACATGGTTGACATGGTAGCTGCTTGGGACTCTAGTCCAGAGAAGAATCAGTACCTCTCCTAGCTAAAATGCTTATTACTCCTTTCCAGCTTTGCCCAGTGTCCAACCCAAACTAGTAATCATTCTGCTGAACTTGCCATGGGATCTCCTCGAACATACTTTGCTTTTCCTGTTTTCTCCTGCTAGAACGCCGCCCCCCCTCATCTCTCATTGTCACCTTTTGAAATCTTACCCATCCTCCCATCTCAGGAGCTACTTCTTTCTAGAAGCTTTTCCACTTGCCTCAAGGAGCTATTAACACATTGTGTGAATTGATTTAACAACCAGAAGGAAAACCTAAGGCTTTGAAAGATTAGGACAAGGGTCTGATAAATTTCGGTTACTTGGCAGGAAGAAATTCTATAATGTCAGGTACATTTGCGTCCAAAGGGTTATACAAACATGTCATCCAAATACAATCTAATTTTTTATGCCCTACAACCCCCCTCCAGAGAATGGTATAAAAAAAGACTACATTTTATAAAGCAGTGATTCAGTTATCATTCGGGGAGCCCCAGGACACTGGCATTCAAGTGAAAGTCTTGGCTAACACCCAGCCTGTATTTCTAGACATCAGTTTGCTTCTCCTTGCACACTTTTACAGCAGTTGGAGGTCATAACCTCAAGATGGCATCCTATTCTCTTGGCATTATCTCTTGATTATGTTTACATTACAATTTTAAAGTTCATTGTGTATGGTCTCTTTAGATTCACATTTCCTCTTATAAGGAAAATGTTTATAAGCCACCTAAGGTCATAACAGGAAAATAAATGGAATGGAGGAATGCATTTTTTTTTTCAGCTCAGGTACAGCATGGAAAAATTAATTGTGCTGTTCTGCCTAGAGAAAAACACTTTAGTGCTTGAAGGAAATCAAATGTCAGCCATTCCTTATTCAACATGTGTTCACTGTTAGAACTAAGAAATTTTTCTACGAATAAATATCACTAAAACTCTTGAAAGCTGTCAAATCACAGCCTAGTAACAAAGGAAGTGAAAAGAAACATCATTTATCACACTGTTATTCCTATTCACACGCTGGAAAGATTTTTTTTCTGGGACTCATCTGGAGAAAATTGCTGTCAATGTCAACTTGAATTGTCCTCTTCCTCCCTTCCCACATTACCCATTGCTGTACCATGGATGCCCTGTGGAAAGTGGGTTACAGTCTTCTGAATCCCTTCTGCCACCCAGACACTCTGAGGGCTTTATGATCCATTGTGAGGGTTATTAGTGAGAAGGGAGAGCAAGGTGACACTGAGTGTCTGAGGATGGCAAGTTCTTAGAGGTCAGCCTGAGAAAAGCCTTTTCAAAACTTGAACATTTCCTTATAACTTTGGCAACAAGAGATGATGACAGACTAGGACAGGAAGGTATTTAAAGATGGCAAGAGCAAGAATAAAATGAGGCTCTTAACTAGCTGGGTGCCTTAGAAGAGTTGGCAACTGGCAGAGCAGATGGAACACTCTATGTGGAAGTTAAGACCTGAGTTTAAAGCCTGAGTCTTCCTCCACCTTCCTGTTTGCAGTGGCACATAGTAGGCACCTTAAAAATATCTGATGACCTGGGTAGTAATAGCAAAACAGTAACAACATCTCCTACTTATTGACCACTTCCAGACAATTCACTAGCTATAACAATGCTATTAGAGACTGCTATTCCCATCTTAGAGATGAGTAACAAAGGCTCACAAAACTCACTTAGCTCCATGGTTCTCAATAGAGAATATTTTGCCCCTAGGGGACATTTGCCAATGTCTAGGAATATTTTTGGTTTTTTTGGTTAGCATGACAGGGGAAAGAAAGCTACTGGTTTACATTGGGTAGTGGCCAAGTAGGCTGCTAAACATCCTACAATGAATAGGACAGGCCCTGCAACGCAGAACTATTCATTCCAAAATGCTAGTAGTGCTGCAATGGAAAAAGCTTGATTCTCGATTAACTGATGGAAGCATATTCTTCTAACCACAGTGCCTTACCACCTGACCAGTATAATATGATTGAGCACCTAGCAAAGCACATGCTCAATAAATACTTGTTGAATAAATGATGAAAGGGATTTGAAGAATTGTTTTACTTTAGGAATTTTTCTTTACCTTTCTGGGTCTCAATTTCCTCAGCTGTAAAATGGGTTAGTGACTTTTTTCACTTGCACCTGCTTCACAGTATTATTACGCAGTTTAGGTGGTCTAATATATTTGAAAGTTCTTTATTAGTTGTAGAAAAAGACTGCATAATAAGAGCTTTTTACCATAGAAGCAAGCGTTAAGATAGAAGCAAAAAAAAAAAAAAAAAATGCGAAGGGAACCCCGGAAGTAGCAATGAAAACTCAATACACAATGTTGAAATTTAAGGATAAGATTTCAGTATACACAATAGATAATATTAGCAGAAAGAAAAAGTACTCATGATAATCACCCCTGAAAACTGAAAATCTTCAAGCCAATTCATCCTGGCCCTAAGTCCCTGGTACCCTGGGGTCTCACAACCTTCCCTTTCTGATTATTTACTTCCTAGTCATTTAATTAAAAACAACAAAGTCCTTTCATTGGCAGCAGTTAAGTGCTTTTTCTTAGGTCTTATTAACGTTCACTCAATAAAATGCCCCTGGCTGTTGATAGAAATTATTTCTACTTGAATCAAATGGCATTTTGCAGTATTTCTTGCCCCATTTGGGACTGTTTCACAAATTCCCTGAGGTGGTCATCGTGAACTTACAAACCTATGATCTGATGTTGAAGGCAGTTTTCTTTCCTTGATTCGAGTGGTGAATTTTAGCCATTTTAAATTGCTGAGTGACATCAGCCCTCCAGAAAAACAAGAACAGATGGGAGGGATTTGCCACCCCCGTGTTGGGCCCCCTCAACCCTGATCTAAGCAAACAAGACTGTTGATCCCTCTTGTCTTCCATAACAAATCTCCTTTCGGTGTTTTGCCCTTGGCCATAAAGGAAGAAACCCATGCTTGTGGCTGTTCCCAGGCTGTTGCTACAGCTGCTGCAGATGTGCTACTTGGTGGCAGCCCACAGCTGTCACCATCATTGCAATCATTTTAGTAAGAACTAGCATGAGGCCAGCACCTTTTGAGCATTACTATGTGGGGAGGAACAAAGGATACATGTAATAATGACAAATTCTCTAGTCCCTGATGGCTTAAAATACATTTCTGCCTAACTACCCAATGCATTCTGGGAAGGCTCTGTAAGCAAAAGATGCTATCAAAATGCATAATGTTAAATAAAAGGTCATTTTAAAATCCTACTGAAATAAAAATGAGTTGGGCTTTACTTATTATGAGTCACCAATACAAGACAGACAAGGTACATTACGAAATATATTCCATAAACAGGACATTCAAAAAGGCAAAATCAGAAAGAATGGGAATGACACACCCTTAAGTACATGCTATTATGAAATATGGGGATTATGTTAGCCTTTGCTTGTCTGCAGATCTGCAGATTGACAATATTTTTATCTTATATCATCACTTGTAGTGTACATTAGCTCCATTTCTCCCCTCTAGCCACAGGACAAAAAAGAGAAAAACTTCAGAAATTCAAGGAAAATAACTTTCTAGTTCACATTTAGCATTTAAATGTATTTCTATTATTTGGGGGCCAAAGACGCCTTTCTGTCCACTGATGTCAGCTGACCCATTGACTTCCTCCCCTACCTGACTTTCTGAAAGAACTTTAAATAGATGGGGTTTTTAAATTGTTGTTTTCCCTCTGCAGGAAGACATAGATATTTTATGCCTCTGAAGTGTTATAATACATAGAGAAAACGAAAATGTTCTTCTGTTTGCTAAAACATGCAGGGTTTTTTGTTTGTTTGTTTGCTCACTGGAATATAGTTAACTTATTTTCTTAGCCTCATTCTTCGTAATTGTCTTGCTTAAAAATTTGTTTAATTGACACATAATAATCGTACATATTTATGGGTTACATAGTGATGTTTTGATATATGCAATGTATGGTGGTCAGATCAAGGTAATTAGTATGTCCATCATCTCAGATTTTATTTCTTTGTGTTGGGAAACATTTAATATCCTCCTCCTAGCTATTTGAAACTATATAATATATTGTTAATTATAGCCATCCTATAGTGCTATAAAACAGGGGTCCCTAACCCCCAGGCCACAGTCAGGTACCAGGCATTACTGCCTGAGCTCCACCTCCTGTCAGATCAGTGGCAGAATTAGATTCTCATAGGAGCGCAAACCCTACTGTGAACCGCACATGCGAGGGATCTAGGTTGTGTGTTCCTTATGAGAATCTAATGCCTGATGATGTGAGGTGAAAAGAGTTTCATCCCGAAACCATCCCCCCAACCAATCCCCCCACCCCCCCGATGAAAAAATTATCTTCCACGAAGTTTGGTCCCTGGTGCCAAAAATGTTGGGGACCGCTGCTATAAAACACTAGAAGTTATTTCTCCTATCTAGCTGTAATTTTGTATCCTTTTTTTCTTGACTCCACCACTTTCTAGCTATATAAATAAGTCACTTCACATTCTGGACTTCAGTTTATTAAACTCCAAACTGAAACGTTAGGATTAGTCTGTTTTTAAGGTCCCTCTCTCTTCTAAACATTAACATTATTATCACCAGTTTTTTTATTTATATGGCACGTTTATACTTCACCAAACACTTCCATATAAACTCTACGCATTGTTTCTTTGATTATAGATTCCTTAATCTTGATCACTTGTGTCAGGAATGTCTACCTGTTTGTGTGCCTTAGTGGGTGTTACCAGGCCAGCTAGGAACTCAAAATTTTGTTTTTGCTCAATTTCAGTAAGTTTCCTTAGTTGAAGTTTTTGAGTGAAATCACCACTCCGTTTTCATCTAATTCAGAGATCTGTTGCACTGTGCCTTGTTTGCTTTTGTGGAAGCAAAGTAGGTGTGTTGTGAATTACAAAAGTTATCAAATGGGTGAATCCCTTACTATCTTTCATTGATAGCGACTTTTCAACTCTATGAAATCAAAGTAGTAAAATCAGTCTACTTTGATTGTGAGCTATAAGTTCAGGGACAGAGTTTCCCTCAAAATGAGCTGCATAATCTTAACCTGCCATAGGGTTTTCTTACAGTTCCTTTCACTTCTATCAAGAAGAGAGAATTCTCCTCCAGCATCTTTCTCAGAAGAGTCTGAAAGCCCCTTTCCCAGAAACTGTCTAGTAAATGTCGTCTTGCATCTGATTGGTGCATGTACTTTGTACTAAAGTATCCTGTCCCTAATTCCATTACTCTGACCAGGTGCATAGAATCTGCTGAATGTCTTAAACCAGGGAAGACACTCACCTAGAACTGAGGATGGGTTGAGCTTTCCCCAAAGTGTGTAGACCACTGAGGAAATGGTGGATGTGGATTGAAATTTAGGATATTTTTACAAAGGAAAATGAAGAGAAGGATGTTTAGTTGAATCTTGGGTATGCCCTTTACTCGGGCAAGTCACTTAAACTCCCTAACCATTAATGTTCTCATCTGAATTGAGGATAAAAATCTTTCTTTCCCCAGTAACAGTGAGTACATCCAGTGTCCACATCTTAGTTTGCAATATCCTTCTCCCATAAAAAGAGCCAGGGCTCCTTGTTTGAAATGGCTGATTCTACGGCTGGGGTAGGCAATACACAAGCTGAGCCTGGATCATCATTAGAGCCAAAAAGTTGAAAAGTGCTCCAAAAAATCCCCCCAAATGATGGACATATGTCAAGGGGAACTGGGAGCCAACAGAAAGAATTTTCAATGCCCAAATTTGAGCAAGAAATTAAATAATATACTGAGTTATAACTCAAAATATAAAATAAACTTTCCTAAGTCCATACTGTAATAAATAATTGGATGAATTAATAAATTAGGAAGGAGACAGAAATGGAAAACATATTTCCCATCCAAAAGAATTCCAAATAACTTAAATAGATACACCCCAAAGACGTGGAGCAAAACTTGCCCTGTAAGTTTGGACTCCATGTAGTAACTTACTTCAAAGAAAGCAGTATAGAGTGGGAGGAGAGAAAAAGTAACTGTACAGTAAAGAAATCTGGAAACCTTTGCCTTAGCCAGGTGATCAGGTTTGCTATCAGTGAGAAGTCATGTTGACAGCATATACCTTTGATATGACATATTGAGAATGGCTCTTCGCTTCTGTAGTCTTCATCCCCCAAACCCATAAATAAACCTATCCATGAGAAAAACTCTAGACAAACCCAAATCAAGGGACATTCCACAAAATACCTGACCAGTACTCAAAACTGTCAAGGTCATCAAATGCAAAGAAAGTCTGAGAAAATGTCACAGCCCAAGGAGTCTGAGACCTGATAGCAAAATGTAATGTAGTGTCCTTAATGGGATACTGGAACAGAGAAAGGATGCTGGGAAAAAATCTAATGAGGTCCAAATAAATTAAGAACTTTAGTTAATAATGAAGTATCAATGTTTGTTCATATGTTTTGACAAATGTGCCATGGTAACATGAGATGTTAACAAGAAGGGTTGCTGGGTGTGGGATAGACAGGAACATTCTGTACTATCTTTGCTACTTTTCTGTAAATCTAAAATGATTCCAAAACAGCTGATTTAATACAAAAAAGAACCTTTCTTACAGAATTGTAATCACAAACGAGCCTTTGTATGCTATAAAGTGCCTAGCCTATGCATGGTAGGCACTTGGTATATTTAGTCGGTTTGGCCACCATTGGCAATAGCTGTATTCACCCTTAACCCTTCCAATCCATCCTCTGTGTGAGCCAGAATGATGTTTATGTAATGCTCATCTGAACTTCTCATCCCTCCTCCCAATATGTCTCACCCTAATCTCTAGCTTTAAATTTTTCAATGACGTCTTATTGCTTCTAGCATGTTCATAGAGACGCTTAGCTTTCCCATGATCTACAAGACCCCACACACAACTTGGCCCTGCCTGCCTTCCCAGACCATCCCCATTTTACTCTCCTCCTCACCCTTACTCCAGCCACACTGACCTGCTTCCAACATTTCCTCTGGCCACAGGCCATTGAGACATGCTATTTCTGTCTGAAATGCTCTTCACTTCTCTTTGCCTGGTTAACTTCTACTTATCTTTAGTTCCTAATTCAAGAGCTGCTAGGCCAGAGTTCTTTCACATAATCTTGTTTTCATCCTTTGCAGCAGTTATCTCTTGGTAAGTTTACATTAATGTACATGGTTATTTGATTAATGTTTGCATTCCTCCCTAGATTATCAGTTCCATGAGGAAAAAACAGTTTCTTTATACTCTTCATTGTATTCTTAGGACCTGTACCTTTTCTGGAGCAGTCTATGCTTAATAAACATTTGGAGAAAAAAGGGAAAGGAGAAGGAAGGAAAGAAGAAACTGCCTCTGGTACCATCCTTTTTAGAAACTGGTTATTTTCCAGAGATCCAGATCTCTTAAATAAGGATTTTGCAATGTTAAACTAGTTTCCTAACCTCTCAGCTTTCAATTCTGTTCAGTAGCAAAGTGAGAGAAAGTATTCAAATGGACTAGTTTGAAAATCCTGTCACTCACTGAACACTAGCGATTTCACAGATGATTTCTGAAGCACTCAAATTTAGAGTGGGAAGAAAGTCCTTGCAGAAGGTGTACACAAGGCAGTCATGAGTAGTTAGCATCTCTAGTGCTTTTTGGGCTTCCTTGCAAGAACTCCCAATTAAGCTCCAGTCCATTCTGGCATTTTCTGGTCATTTAGTGATTCACTGCTTCCTAGGGGTGTAGATTCCCTGTGCTAAAGTAGAATAAACAGTGAAAAAAATAGCTCCTGCACTTATCCTTAATTTCCAAAAAAAGTGGAGTTCTTTCTTTGATTCCAGAAATACTTGTATTGTGGTACAGCCACAAAATCTGTGAACTGTGAAGTAGGATTCCAATTACTTAAGAAGGAAGGCTCTACCTTTCCAAATTGTCTCTGTCCCTTGTGCTGCCAAAAATTGCTCACTAGCATTTCCTCTGATTATTTTCTTACTGCCTTTGAATTTCTTAGTTAATAAGACAGCCCGACAATAAATACTTCGTAATGCATCAACAGATACAGACACAATGTCTCTTCTGCCATGATTTTCCTCCAAATGAGGTCCTCTGGAGAACAAAAGGCCTGAATTGCCATTTTTCTCCCTCAGTTTTCATCCACACCCAGCACCCTTTATTTTCCCCTACCTGTTACAGAAGTCAGTCTGAAATGAAATGTAGAATAAAGTGGAGGAATCTTGGGGATGATGTAGATGTGTTATAGTCATCGAGTCAGTGACTGGAGAACCTGAGCTTTTCAAAATGACACTCTGTAACAAGGCCCCTGAGGGACTGCATTACATGGGAATCCAGTGTAGGTTTTTGTTCATGTAGACGTGTCAAACAACAAAAATCTTGCCCACCATTTATTTCATTCTTCAGGGCCTATGAAGATCAGGAGAGAAGCCAGCTATAGTTTCTGCCCTCAGAAGTTTCTAGTCTTGTAGGAGGATTAGATGTGTACGCAAATAATAACATCAAGATAGAACAAAGTGAGGGCCAGTGGAAGGGCAATAGAAGGAAGATCCATTTTCTTCTTTCTTTCCACTAATACTGTTTATTGAAACTTTAACACAGGCCAGGCCCTGTGCCAGTCTCTAAGGTTATGATGTTGAGCAAAAGCCATGGAACTCATACCCTAATGGAGAAACAGAGGTCAGTCAGGTGACCACACCAACAGATATACAATTACAAACTAACCTGGGTTCTGTGATGGAGAGGGCATAGTTTTTTCAAAGTCTTTGAGAAGAGTCTTTGAGAGACAGGCTGTGGTGAAAAACCTGCCCTAGGGCAGAAGGATGGCAGGTGCTAACTTAGGGAAGAGTAGGGGAGGAGTCTGTTAGACAGGGCAACAGCACATCTGAGGTGGGTTCTGAAGCCAGGAGATCCTAGTCATGCACAGATGTGTTCCCAGCCAAGAAAACTGTGTCAGCAAAGACAGGGAAGGGAAATGCATGGAGCAGGGTCGGGGAATCACCAAATGGTCAATTCAGCAGGATCACAGGGAACATGGCGGGAGTGGAGGCTGGAAAGGTGGGCACTGAGCCCAGACCATGAAGAACCAGGATATGTCCTCATCATTTCTAAAGATTGCCTCATGGAATCCACATGGTTTCAGAACCTCTCAGGGCTGTAGTGTAGGAATGAGCCTCTAAACTCCCAGCACAAGCACCACCAATATTGTCACTATTTCTCACAGAGAAATTCTTGGTTTCATAGTTTTGTATTATGAGCATCTGGGTGGTACTTTCATTTTTAAAAGAGCTACACTGATTTTTTAAAAATTGAAAATCATCTTCATGGACAGTGGGAGACAGGACCAGATGTGTGCTTTAGATCAATCTGCGGCAGCGGAAGATAGAGAGGAGGGAGGGAGACAAGTTGAGCCACTATCACAGCAGTCCAGGGGAGACATGTCAAGGTGCTGAAGTAAGGAAGAAATAGGTAATGAAGAGAAAGACACAAACGTATGGAGAGCTGCCAGACAGAGGAGGACAGGAGAGCATTTGGCAAATGATTAGATGTGTGTGACAATGAGAGAATAAAGTCAAGGAGATGCTGAGGTTTCAGGCCTAAATGCCTGGAAGAGCCAAAGCCATTTATAACAATAGATAATTCTGCTTGAGGACAGCTTGGGGTAGGGTGGGCCAATGTGTTCACTTCATCTGTATGGTTTCACTGATTCCTCATACCAGCCCAAAGAGGAAGACGCTGTGCTTATCCCCATTTTTCAGAAAAGGAAATTAGGCTTATAGACATGAAGCCACTCTTTCAATCTCAGAATTTCCAAATGGCTGACTCAACTTGGCTCTTAGCCACTGTGCATTATGTCTCACCTGGACAATTTCTGCAGCTGCTCCACCTTTTTTTCCTTGCCTACTCTCCGTCTTCCACTGCCCCAAGAGTAATCCAGAACACAAACCTGATTACGGTGCTCCCTTCCTAAGTAACCTTTAGTGGCTCCCCATAGCCTGTAGAGGTAGTTTTCTTTTTTAAAAGTTGTGTAACAGTTTTTTTAGAAGGAAAGTTTATGGAAGGATCTTTATATAAATTATAATTAATTTATCAATGATTCTGCATCCAGTGGAGGACAAATATGACACAGCTTTATTTTTTTCCAGTTTTTACCTTCAGCATTGCTGTGCCAGAACTCCCTCTTCCATCTAATGACTCCTTGTATAGACTTCTTAGCTTTCCAGTCGCTTTCAAAAACCCAGTCTCATTTACAATGTCAATTTTATATCCAACTTAAAGCTCATAACCTCCCTGCCTCTTCTGTGACTAGCTTTTCCAGGGTCAATGCAGGGAGTTGAAAAGTCTTGGGCAGTGCTGACGGGGAAAGGCAAAGTTCATTTTACTTAGTTGGGCTGGTGAGTGCAATCTCCTCTCCAGTTATTTCACTATCTCTCCATTGGTCCCACTGTGTGGTGGCAGCTAAGTGCTGGTGCTCTCATGAGAGACATGGATGAGTTACTTGGGAGCCCATCAGTGGGAGCTGCTACTCTTAGGGAGATCTTCATCAGCTTCCTGTCTTCCAACCACACATAAGCTCCCATCTCTGGGACTTCATCCTAGAGCTTCCTATAGCCGGGACTATAGGAAGTATCTGGACCAGCATCTGGACCAGCATCTCTCTGGACCAGCATCCACCTCTAGGATGAAGCTCCAGTAAGATGGCCCTAGTTCACCTATAATACCTTCCTCAGTGTGCGTTTAACCTGTAAGAAACCCACACAACTTTGACACATCAAATAGTGGCAGTAGAAATATAGCCACAAGTACCCCACTCCAGCGGGCTGTCTCCCTCCAATTCTTTGTGTTTTAGATCTGCTCAACTAGACACAAGGCAGGTCAACCAGCTGGCTGCAAAGCAGACTTTCAACAGAACCATGAAAACAAGATGCTCACTTTTTTTCAGGAATTCCAATCTCTAAAGGTTATTTTCTTGGTGGAAAGCAGCAGGAAGCACCACAGGTGGGGTAAAGAAAAGCTACAGCAATCTCTTTTCTCAGGCTAATGCCTTGGGAACCCTGAGGGGTTTCTTTTTCTTTCTAACCAGTCCCTCGCCTCTCCTTTCGCTGTTTTCTTCTCATATACAACTGGTGAGGAAAGTCATTGGAATGATGACTGGGGATAGTAGGGCTAGGTTGGACACCTTTTAATAAGCCCTGGAGGGTATGAATGTTCCACCAATATTTATGTCTCCAATTCCTGAACACCAGGAAGAATCCCATTCAACACTCTGCTGCAGAAGTTTCCTTAGGTCAACATGGTTTCTCTTTTGCAGTTTTGTTCATGTAAAACTTGTATGTAATAATAGGCATGCATTTAGGCTTAAAACATTTTTAGCAGGGAAAGAATGCTATAAATCTGGGGCCCAGAAATCTCAACTTCTCCCTCACTTATCAGGGAAGAGAAACTGGCTTAAGATGTTCTTCTGTAAAATGAATTCATTGCAGTTTCTTCCTTCTGTACAAGATAAGTGTGGTTTCTCATTCCAGTGGAAAAAAAAAATTCCTGAGAAACACAGATGTTAGAATCAAGCATTAATTTTTTCTTCCTTATGAAATAGTGACATTAGCAAACCTAAAAACTTAACTAAAAATGGAATTTAGTGAGAAAGGAGGGCAATATATTTTGCCTTACTGGAAAAAGAATGGGGATTTTCTACTTTTATCTTAAAGTGAAGTAAATAATGAGATAGTATGATTGCCTTCTAGAAACCTCCTCATTGTGCCTATTTCTACCCCACCCCCAGATTTTCTGCATCTCTTATTCTGATTCGGCTCTGTGCAGCATCTCAGGCTTTTAAATCAAGGAGAGGGGATTGTGTGTTTGCATGACCCTTTCCCTGCAAGCAACAGGTTGAAGGTGTGGTTTGTGAGTGTGTCAGGATCAGCAGCCTTGTGACAGAGTGTTAGAAGATAGTGAATGCTTCCAGTCACTCTATTGCAGCTGTCTCCTGGAACAAGGAGGCTTGCAACATAAATATGCATACAACACAGGGGTCAGCAAGACCCCAGTTGTTTAACCCCTGTGTAAGATATTACACACCTCAGTGAGAAAAAACCCCAAAGCACTCCAAAGCAGAATTCCGGAAATACCTGTCTGGATTGTTCTTGCAAACCTGGTGCCTTCTTGAACAAATTTTTTCACCACATATGAACTGTCAAAATTCTCATTCTTATCTCTTTTCTTCCTCAAATTATTTTAGATCTTAGCCCAGCTGGTAATACTGGGAAGGGTTTAACAGTTAGAGGATTAACATTATGAAGTTAAGCCTCCATTGTCAGTTTAATAATATTCTCTTTGCCCCCATAATCAAATGTTGTCAGGGCAAACATCTTACTTTCCTGAGATCAGCATTTACAGCAGGGTTTCTCAGCCTCAGCACCAATGACATTTTAAGCTGGATAATTCCTTGTTGCAGGGGCTGTCTTGTGCATTGTATGGTGTTGAACAGCACCCCAGGCCTCTACCCACTATTGGCAGTGGCACCTCTCACCCTCCATTGTGACAACGAAAAATGTCTCTAGACTTTACCAAACATTTCCTAGGGACAAAATTGCTCCCCCTTCCCTATCCAAGTAATAACTACTGAGAACTTATAGAGATCATAGAATTTTGTCAGAAAAATCCCAATCTGAGCTAGTGTCAAATCTAAACCTTTGTGGGTTTTTCTGGTTTTTTGGTTTTTTTGCTGTTGTTGTTGTTTTGGTTTTTTGTTTTTGGTGCTAGTGGTGAGGAGGAAGGTGAAGAGACTGGTTGGGGGAGACTTGACCCTTTTGTCTTATAAATTGTGATGGCTAATGTCACAGTTTATGAAGACTATTTCCTGAATTTCTGCAGCTTTGCTTCTCTGATAATAAACTGAAGGTTGCCATGAAATTAATCACTCTAGAGGGGTTTGCAGAGGGAGGTATAGCTCCAACCCTTGGCTGTTCTCCCGTGTTGGCCAGTATAAATTGCCAGTGCCTGTTGGTTTAGAGATTAATTATTAATGATAAGGAAGCTTATGAATTTTTCAGAATTTTCTCCTCTTAGGGTGCATGTCTGACTTCCTATCAGGAGCATAAGATCCCTTCCATCCTTCCTGCATCAAAGCCCCAGGCTGTCACCCAGGGCGCTATCTTGTTCCATGCAGGCTGGCTGCATGTGTTGACTCTAAATTTTTTAATCAGCCATTTTCCAACACAACTGCACATGTCAGGCTGTAGAGACAGAATCTATTAAGCACGGTCAGAAACCAGCAGGGGCCTTGTGGCATCATGATTTGATATCTCTATGGCAGAATTTCACAATAAAAAATTCACAGGAGTACACAGTTTGCTGAAATGTCACCAAAACGCCTGCAGGACTTAAAAGGAGGTGAAACACCATCAACACCGACAATAATAATCTCTGAACAGTCCTTTCAACTTCTGGAAGAATTTTCACAACTATTTAGGTATCTGATTTTCCCCAAACCCTGTACTTTTAGATCACCCACTTATTTTTATGAAATAAAATGAATAGGTAGCTGATCCTGTCATCCTTAATCAACTGAGTCGATAATGATGACCATTACAGGTTGAATGATAAAAGCATAGATAATTTTTCAATTTTAAAAAATCGCATAGACCATGTTAGGATATTGACAGTTCCCTGTTACATGGAGGATGAAATATTTATAGACAATCACTCAACAAATATATATTGAACACCTCTTTTGTGTCAGGAACTTGCTGAGATATTAACCTGAAAATCATTTGGGTTTCACTTCATCTTAAAGCCATTTCTTAAAAATGTATTTTTCCACTCTCTTACCTTACAATACAACAAGCATCTTGTTGAAAGGCATCATTTTACAAATCAATTCTGTGTCTAGGAATGTTAGCATAAAAGGGCAGAGTATTGATCTGATATATATATTTGGTATTGCTTTTTAAAAACACAATTGCCATCATTGTACATTTACTTTTTTGTGAAAGTAAGTTCCTTTTGTAAAAGTGGTTACTTAAGGTTCCTGCATACGTTTTTGTTCCTTCTGAGATTTTACAGTAATTGGGGAGGATTTTACAGTAATTGGGGAGGAGAGGAGGGATTTGCCATAATCACTACAGAATGTTTTCTCTGAAGACCCTAAAAAGCATTTTCTTAGCTTTTGCAAATATGAAAGGGCAACATAAGCAGGTGAACTACCTAATCTTAAAAACAGTTTCACAGAGGATTAGCCTGGTGTCTGGATTACAAATACAATTTCAAGAGATAAGAAGTCATCTGTCTTCATGGTGGTTTACCATTTAAAGTGTTTCTCAGGCTGGGAACTTGTAGGTACATTAGAAGTAAATTAGATTACGAGACCCTAGGGCCATCTTAATTTGAACTTCCCAGTGCTGAATTTGTGTATTGCAGCCAATATTGTTTTAATTTATACTGGTTAAAATACTGCTTATTTGCAGGTTTCTCTCTCAGAGGAGATTACTACTTTCTTCTATTTCCCTCCTCTAAGCCAAGGTCATATTTGCCTTTCACAATGCAAATTAAATTATGTTACACCATGTTCACTTGAGTTAATTTAAACTCAAGCTAAGTTTAAATTAGTTGTAGAAGTGTCCACATAGGCCAGGTAAACTAGAGAATCAAGCAATTTCTAGATATTCAAATAGAGTCTATATTTTAAGCACTTTAACCAAAATCTACAATCTTTTTTGAGGCAGACACACTAATGCTTATAAAATATTTTATGTATTTTTTTTTTCATTTTCTAACTTTCTTTGCAGCTAGGTTAGGGCCACAAGATTAGTTTCAGCAAACTGGCTTTCAGTCCTCCATGTTCTATTTTCCCTGTCACACTGAGCCTGAAAGCTACATGTTGAGGTAGCAGAGTCACAAAATGGTGGTGCTTCCATGTGCTTGGATCCCTGAGTAATTCTGTGGAAGAGAGTCCCCCATAATTGGCACTGGGTAAGTAGAGTAAGCAAGAAATAAATGGTTATTGTGTTAAGCAACTGAGATTTCAAGGTTAACTTCTTACCATGGAATAAATTAACCTATCCTAATTAATTTTCCTTTTTAAATTTATTTTTCAATATTTATTTTGTTTTCAGTACAACACATGATTATCCTTGCTTATGATTGACATGGGATTATGGACCTCAGCTTCACCAAACATACAAAATCTACTTCCAACTTCTTGAATATAGTGAGAGTAGGCATCTATATAGTCCAACAAATAAGAACTGTCTCATGTGTTAAAGTAGATGATACCCCTGATACCTTTGTGCATTTGCACACAATGCAGTATATTATAAGCAGGACATACTTGATAAATGCCAATAATGTAATTTTGGGTTTTTTAGTTCGTTCTTTTTCTCCCATCTGTTGGAGAATTTGGCCGCTTACTCTTTTTAATACCACCTCCTCTTCTTAGGCACAGTTACTTTTAAAAGAACTAATAAAAAAAACTACTTGGTTATGGATTTGATACTGGGAACAAACTGTTTCTTTGACAGGTCTTAATCAAGATGAAACTCACCCTTTTAAAATATTTTTGACTTTGAACAATGGCAACCCCATGGTAGACAAACTCTTCAGAGCAGGCAAAATGAGATAATGATACATGTAGGTAGACTTATGAATAGACCCAGTTTCCACCAGGTACTGTTTAATGATCAGCCTGGGACTGGAAATTAAGCACATCTTATATTTGTGACATGTTGCTCAAAGGAAACAGTGGTGCATGTGACAGTTCTCAAGTACCCTGGAAAGGTTTTAATTTAATTAATTCACCTCAGTTTTAATTGACATGGGCAGCTCTGTGATTTACAGATCTGAATGTTTTTTACTACTTGAGCTTTCTTACACACGTGCACATATATACACACCACTCACATGCATGCACGTACACATTCACAAAAGCCACAATTGCAGAAGCTGGAAAACTCAATTTCCTTTTGACCTTGTGAATAATTTTATACCATGCTATCAGTGTTTGAAAATGAGGTTCACTTCTTCTTAAAATAAAGAGCAGGTATTTTTTAGCAAAAGCATTCGATTTGATTAGAGGTATTTTAAACATCACTGGATGTTTTTCTGGACTTCCTGTTGAGCTCATTATTTTGCCATTTATAAAATGCTTTTTACCATGACTTGATGCTGCTTAAAGAGCAAGATTATTTAACAGTACAAAAAGGCATTTCATTTCCCATAATGTTTATGTCAAAATCTCCAGAGAATATAATCACCTCTGGCTTGTTTTGAAAAAGTGACCATTTCCCATCAAATCAGCTGCCCAAACTAAATTTCAGAAATTAGTAAAAACTAAATTGAAAAACGAATGGCAATGAAAATAATTATTTAAATATATGCAATGTTTTACTAGTTTTGAAAAATATAACTCTTCTTTTTGTTGAAATAATTCTGAAAGTTATCAAGTTATGTATTTATCCTGCTCTCACAGTTCATAACATAATGCCTGAAACAAGGCAAGTGTTTAGTGAATATTTTTAAATGGTTAGTTGAATACTAATATTTCTAATTTCCAGATGAGGAAGCAGAGACTCCCAGAGTTTAATTGGTTCACACCTCTATTATTCCCACCACTTTAGTCAGTTATTCTCTGTCCTTTCTGCACTTAAATACTCACTTTCATTTACTCATTCAACAGAATTTAATAAGTTTAAACCATTTGCATTCAGATTTCTATTTAGGTCATGATTTGAGCACCTATTAAGTGTCAGACACCACACTAAGTGCCTGGAAAAACATCACCTTAACTCCTCAAAACATCCCTGCCACATAGATGTTATTATCTCTATCTCAAATTTAACTCTGCAAATATTTCTTACTCCCTTACCATACATCAGTCATTGGCTATTTTTATAATGAACAAGACAGACAAGGTCTTTGCCAAAGGCACTTACAGTCTTGCACAGAACATGCCAAGAAGCAAATCACACAAATGTGATGGGAGTGATAAAAGAGGAGGTTCAGGATGTTAGGGTGGCCTAGAAGAGGTGACCTTGGCTGAGACCAAGAAGGCCCCTAAGGTAGCAATATTGATACTAGGCTTTGGGTTAATGATTTACTGTTAACCAGACAAAGATGACAGAGGGCCAGGTGCAGTGGCTCACATCTGTAATCCCAGCCCTCTAGGAGGCCCCTGTGGGAGTTTGAGGCTAGGGGTTCAAGACCAGCCTGGGCAACGTAGCATGACCCCGTCTCTACGAAAAATACAAAAATCAGCTGGGCATGATGATGCCTGTAGTCCCAGCTAGTCAGGAGGCTGTGGTGGAAGAATCACTTCAGCCCAGGAGGTCAAGGCTGCAGTGAGCTATGATCTCAACATTGCATTCCAGCCTAGACAACAAAGAAAGACCCTGTCTCAGGGGGAAAAGAATGATGACAGAAGAGGAAAGAGAATTCACATTGACCAGGGGCCAAGCAAGAGTATGTCATGTTCGTGAACCTAGAAGTACAGAATGGTCTGAGCGTAGAGAACAAGACAGAGTGGTGGGAGATGAGGCTGGAAAGCTGTGCAGGAGCCAGATGGCAACAGCTCTCAACGCCTTGATAAGGGTCTCAGGCTCTTACTACCAAGGGAAGTGGAACGTTATTGACAGGTCTTAAGCAGGAGAGTAACATGAGCAAATGCACGTTCCAAAAAGATGAGCAGCCTGCCTTGCAAAGCCTGAGTTAAATTCGTACTTCATGGCGTGTGGTTTTGCAGCATCAGCACCACCCAGGAGATGTTTAGAAGGATGAATTCTTGGTTGTCACCTCAAGCCTGCTGAATCAAAACTGTCCCAGGGTGAGGCCCGGACTCTGTGTTTTAACAAGTTCTCTGGTTGATTTTTATGGGCACCAAAGTTTGAGAACCACTGGATTTTAATAGAGGTTTTCAATCCTGGCTGCACGTTGGAATCACTCGGAGGGTTTTAAAAAAATTGGCTGGGTGTGGTGGCTCACACCTGTAATCCCAGCACTTTGAGAGGCTGAGGTGGGTGGATCACGAGGTCAAGAGATCGAGACCATCCGGGCCAACATGGTGAAACCCCGTCTCTACTAAAAATAAAAAAAATTAAAATAAATTAAAAAATTAGTCAGGCGTGGTGGCATGCACCTGTAGTCCCAGCTTCTTGGGAGGCTGAGGCAGGATAATCACTTTAACTTGGGAGGTGGAGGTTGCAGTTAGCTGAGATCACGCCACTGGCACTCCAGCCTGGCGACAGAGCAAGACTCTGTCTCAAAAAACAAACAAACAGAAAATACTGCTGCCTGAGCCCCAACCCGGAATATCATATTTATTTGGTCCAGGTGCAGCCTCAACATTAGGATTGCCTTTTATCTCTCTCTGGGGATTCAAATATGCAGCCAGGAGGGAGAACTGCTTTGTATCAGAGGGAAGCAAGAGAGGATGAATATGAAATCGGTGGTTGAGGATGGAGATGATGGGAGCCTGGCTTAGGGAAGTGGATACACAGCATAGAAGGATTCAAGAGATATTTAGGAGGTGACTGCACAGCTAGCAAGGGATAGACCAGGCCTAGTCCCCTGTATTTTTCTTCACAAAACCGCCTGCTTCCTCTATACCCTTGGTTTTGGCTGCCACACTTACACAGAAAGACAACACCCACTCTCTTCTTTGAATGGCTTCAGTTCCTTGTGTCTTCAGGATAGTGCAGGTGAATTGGACAGTCTCCCAGCCCCAGATATAAAGATTATTAAGATAATCCATTAAAAAAAAAACACAGCTGTATCCTCTATGCTGGATAAAAAACATAGTCTCTGGCCTCAATAGTAATACATTATGGCCTTAACCTTGCAACCCCTCATATTTGGGACATGATGCTAAGTGCTTTATGAGTACCATCTTCTTTCGTTTTCATAACAAGCCTCTGCTGTTGGCATTGTTACTGTTAGGACTCCCACTTTGCAAATAAGGGCACAGACAGAGGCAGCTTAGTAGATTGTCCAATGTCAGGGAGCTGGAAAGTGGCAGAGCAAGGATGTGAAGCCAGATCTGACTGTTTCCAGCTCCTGGGTCTCTGACTACCATGCGCTATGACTGCTCTGGGGTGGAAGAGAGAGCTAAGGCACAGGGCACATAGAAAGCTTGCTAGCAATTCCTATAAAAGTGGGTTGATGCCTGGCTAAAGTAATCAAGGAGGGCTTCTTGAAGAAAGGCCTGAAGCCAAATTCTGAATGACACATCAGACTTGAAATGGTAGAAAGGAAAAGAAGAGGGGAGGTCATTTCAGGACTGCGGGGAAGATGGGGAAAGACTGGTTGAGCACTACAGGATCATAAAGAACTGGATTGGTTTTCTGTTTGGGTTTTTTTTTAATGTATTTATTGGCTGCTTGTTCAGAAAATTGCTGCATTTGGAGCTCTTGGGTTATATTTACTGCATTGCCAGAAGCCAGCAAAGACATAAAACTGGTGACTCAAATACAGCAGGGTTCTCATTGGCTGGCAAAACCTGGGAGCTAAACCCTGCATTTTGCAATCAAGAAGTACATCATTCAGAATGGAAACTTTGACCTACCCAAGGTCTTCTCTTGCAAAGGAAATAAGGCATGATAAAGAAAGACACAAATGATCTTATTTTAACTCTTCCACAGATTAGGTAGTATCATCTCCTTGGATGATTTTTTGTAACAACAGAATGTAATTGACTGCATGGGAGACCGAACTCCATGTTCTTTCTACAAATAACCCTGAAACAGAGCCCTTAGTGAAGACTCGGATGGATGGCAAGGCTGCAGATTTCATCAGAGTCTCTTCCAGTAATAATAGTAGAGTTATATACACCTACAATGTGTTGAACCCCTGCTGTCTGAGAATATTTATTGTCATCATTACAATAGTCCTTTGAGGTTATTTTAGTGCAGCAGCTGTAGATGCTCCGAGAGGTTAAGCATCTGGCCCTGATCATACAGTGAATATGTGTCACAGGCAGCATTAGATCTCAAGGTTTTCTGATTCCGAAATCCATGATTTTTTTCCTAAGGATTATTCCCTCTATCTCGAGCTAATTATCTCTGAAACTACAGGCAAACTACTTAACCTTTTAAAGCTTGGTTTCTTACCCAAAAGGGGAGGAAATCTGCTATACTACTTTAAGTGCTGCAGAATCAGAACTTCTGTAAGGGAGAATATATGCAGGCTATGGAATGCCAAGGACTAATGGCTGCTAAGATTTACTGAACGTGACTGCATGCCAAGCACTTTGCTAATTGTCATATGCATCCATCTTATTTAATCTCTTATCGATCCTATGAGGTAGGTATTATCATTATTGTTCCCAATTTAGAGTTAAAAGAGTTGAAAAAAATAAAAGCTAGGGCTCAGAGAGGTCCAATCACTTTCCTAGGATTGCTCAGCTTTAAAGTGGAAAGGCAAAGATTTGAACTTGGACAGTGGAGTGGGGGCACCTGCTGACCGTGTTCTACAGGCTCTACATTTAAGGTGGACACACAAGAGACAGGCTTTAGGAAATGAGAGGAAGGAATTTGGAGGCAGTAACCAGGTCTTGAATGCGGCAAAAACAGCCACAGTTCAAACCCCAGTGCAGTCTTGTGGCAGGAGCTTGGGCACCCCCATCTCCTGGTTGGGAACTGACACTGTCCCAGCTGTAACTTTCCAGACTGCAGTGCACCAGGAAGGCAGCATTTGCTGGAGCAGCTTGTCTCTGAAGGAGGATAAAAAAACATGGGGCTGTGGAGGAAAGGAGGGCCCTGCCAGCTGATGGGAGTGCTTTATGGGGAGGTGCCTCCACCCTCCTCTGCAGTGGCTCTTGGCAGCCTCCATCTCAGACACTAATCTCTGGGAACCCAGGGGGCACACTGGGAAGTAGAGAGAAAGCAAAGTAGCGAGAAAACAAGCTAAACCCAGGTCAGCAGGTGGCTTGCACTGCAGCTGCTTATAGAGACCCCTGTCTCCATCCCCAATTCCCAGAATAAGGAACGCTTTAATCAGGAAAGAGACTGATTATAGGCCAGCAAAGTTCAGTCTTTACCGATTTCTGCAGAGAATGGCACTTGCTGGAACACAGCCACTAGGCAGCAAGACAGAGCAAACTAGAAGTTAGCTGATTGGGAATTTGGTCCCAGCCCTCACTGATCGTTGTGCGACTGTGGGTAGGTCATTCCTTTTTGGGTCACAGCTGATTAACTCAGTCCTGTAGCTAGTCAGGCAGTCATTTTATTCATCTGCCAGGCATTTACCCAGAGCCCACTCTGTATTTGCCGCTGTAATGTACAAGTAGCACCTACGTAAGTAGGTGCCAGGGATCCAGAGATAAGCAAAATAACACACATCCCTGCCCTTATGGAGCTTACAGCCTAGTAGGCAAACACCAAATCACATAAGTACCTGTAAATTAATGGTGATATATGTTAGTAAGGGAAAGGAAAGGTGCATCATTATAAGGAGAGACAGGAGAAATTCACAAATCTGGAGAACAGAGCAGAGTTGCTGCAAAGCTGAAGGATGAAGGATAAGAAAGGGTTACCAGTCAAGGGAGAGATAAGGAAGAGTGCTCCAGGCATGAGGAACAGCCTGTGCAAAAACCTGGCAGCAGGAGAAAGCTAGCCCTCCCAAAAGCCTGAGTGAAGTATCCAGTGGAGCATACTGGGGGAGGATGTGGTGCCCGACAAGGCTGCAGAGCTCAGCAGGGGGCCACACCATTAGTCTGAGGTTACTACATTATCCCTGAAACTCCTTCCAGCCAGTCTGGATCACTATCACTTTAGTCCTGAGGCTGAAGTTGGTTCATTTACTCTGAAGCTCAGAACCATAGGTTTTTCCAGAAAGCAGAACAATTATTCAAATAATGCATAAAGTAATCTGCCTATTTCTGTTTACATTTTCTGTGTATTTGAATCACATCCTCTCTTTGGTTGACTGAAGGCTGCCTCTTGGCAGCGACACTGATGACTTTGGAAGAGTCTAGGGTTGAAGTTGCCTCCTTATCATCGTTAGTGCATGAGCACCAGAAAATTCAGGCATGCCCAGGGGTAGCTGGTACCCAAGGGTGTCTCCCAGGCGCACTGTCAAGGCCAATTCTCCAAGGCCTCTGAAGCTAATAAGGAGGCTCCAGGCCCAGGCCCTTTGACAATTTCTTCATCCCCCTAGAGGTCAGACAGGGCATTCCCAGGTGTGAATCATTTTGCTGATACGTAGACCTATTTGCATAGTGGGATTGCTTCCTCCCTGTCTCCCCCCACCCCCAAAATTCTGTCTGCAGACGTGAGAAAAATGAAGCACACAGGAAAATTGCCTAGGTGAGCACATCCCAGAATGTGTTCCTGGGAACACATGATCAGGTACATTTGGGAATGTGGGGCTGCATGAGGTTGCCTTGGTGTAGGATTTCTTGCTCATGTGTGTTGTGTGTCTCCAGAAATGGGATAGAGTGAGTTTCCAGACTTTATTTGATCACAGAATCCTTTCCCATCGAGGATCTAGAGAACCTGCAGGACTGATATTCCCTAGAATATAACTTTGGGAAATACCAGTCTAGGCTTTTCAGATAATCCTGAAACACAATAGCTGAAATCTTGTCATTTCTCTCAGATGAAGGGACTGTGCACCGAGAGGTCACGACTTTGGCTCAAGATCCCACAGCTAAAGGCAAACTAAGGATCAGAACACAGGTTCCTAACATTCATTCCAGGGTCCCAGGGTTCCCCACCCTGGTCTGATTTCTTTCATATATCCTAAAGGCAGGGAGGAGAATTAACATCTGGTGACTCCCCATTCTAAAATAGGGGATAACTCTATAAACTTTGCTAAACTATAGGACCTCTATGTGCCAACACCTACCTCACTGGGTGCTTTGAATGTATATCATCTGACTTAATCCTCATAACATGCCAGGGTAGGTATCTTATCCCAGTTTTACAGATAAGGAAACTGAGGTTCAGAAAGATTCGATTGCTTGTTCACTCTGTGTCAGTAAGGAAATGGCAAAAAAAAAAAAAAAAACAAGATTGGAACCAAGTCGGTCTGACTTCCCTTGGACAATGCAGCACATTTTGTCATTTTGTCCTTTCAAATAGCTATGCAAGATAAAATGATGTCCACTCTGCAGATGCAGAAACTGAGGCATGGTGAGGTTAAGAAACTTGACAAGGTTGCAAGGGTGCAACTCCACCCTGCTATATCTCAAGCCTGTGTTTAAATTGGCCCTACAGTAACAGGACAGAGTTTTCATCTCTGCATTGACGGAAAGAGTACCACCCATGAGCTAGAGACAATTGTCTCTGGTGGACTTGAACTGATGGCTCAGGCAATACCTGTCTACACTTACACAGTGCTGGGCTTAGTTCTCCATCACTTTAAAGGAAAAGCCCAAGGAATTATTTTCCTCTACTTGACTGACAAGTCAAAACAACCACACAGCCTCTGCTTGACCTCTTCTAGTAGGAAGATTATTTGTCTAATTAGGTAAAGAGCCTTTATGCGCATGTACATTTTTGAACCCTAATGATCTGCCAACGTGAAAGGCTTGCCCTTGGCTTGGTTCTCCAGCTGATCTTTCCTTTCCTCAGTGGAAAAGACCAGCGCAATAAACAGAACCTTGTTTCCATGGAAGCTCACTCTCTTGCTTTTTCTTTCCAGCCCTTGAAAAGGTAATTACTTGATTTCTCTTTATATTTTGGGATTTCATAGAGTGGAGCTGTCAAGCTCCTCACGCGAGGATGGCCTTCTCTATCATGCCAAGCTATTTTAGGGAGCTTCAGTTGCATTTCCCTTTTCATCCTCTCTTCAGATCATTAGCTGTCAGGCAGCAGTGGCCGCCTTCTGGTCACTCCCGCTAATTAAAGTCTAACAGAGCAAGGGGACTCGACCCCAGAGAAAGTGGGAGACAGAAAAGCCAGGGAAATTTGTCAAGAGATGGGAGCCTCTGATCACATCATTTCTGCTGCACAGACTGTCAGACCGACACCCTACATTCACGCCAGTGAGGGACACTGTCCCATCTGGTGCCTTCTCTTCTGAACCTTTGACGCCCCACTGTGGCCCATGTCAGAAATGCAGCCAACATGGACTGCTCTAAAATAACAACACAAGGAGCAGCAGCCACCATTCATGAGGGTTTGCTGCATGCCAAGCCATGGACTAAGCCCTTTATATCCGTTGTCTCCGTTGATTCTCATGACAACCTCAGGTCTCATTAACCTGATTATTTAGATGAGAAGAGCTGGAGCACAGAGAGGTTAAGTAACTTGCCCAAGGTCACACAGCTACTAAGTGGCACAACCAGGATAAGGACACACCCATTGCTATTATTTCTTAGGGAGGAATCCAGCACTGCTACAGCCTCCCCAAAAGAAATCAGTCATGACAAGTGACAGAGGGTTGACATTTCTCTGTCCCCAGTGGTGGCTCTATGGATCAAACTGGCCCGTGTCTACAAGGAACAAAGTGAGGTTGCTGAGCTAGTTAACTGTCAGGATCAATTAGAAAACCAAACAAGGCACTTAAGTATGAAGCCAACATAATGCAGAGCAAAAGAGTTCCAGTTTGAGGCAGAGCAGACTTGGTTTCAGGTGACTAGTACCACTTTACCAGAAGTGTGATTTGGGGCATGTTCCTCTACCTTACCAAGACTCAGTTTCCACATCCGTCAAATGGGGATAATGATACCAACCTTACAAAGTTGTTTCACATGTGGAATTTTCCAAACTGCTCTGTGATTTTTGGTGGAATAATTGTGTAAAAGACAAGGTTAAATGCAGTTAAAAACAATTATTTACTCTAGAATTTCTCCAAGTCTTGATTATGTTGACATATTACAAATTTTCAAGAGGAATCATCAATTCCTCACCCCAGAATCCTTTTTCCTGTGTGAATGCACATTAGCCTCTGTTTCTTGGGACCCTTTAGAAAAGGCTGTAAAACAGGTCATAGGGTATTTGGTGTTTGGTACAGGCATCAATAAATGCTAATCCTTTCTTCTTTATGCCCAAATCATGCCTGTTCTTGCTGGATTTAAGCTCCATGGAGTCAGGGACTTGTTCCTTTCTTATTCCAATATCTTGACATATCAAGATATTCCATAAAAATTTAATGAATGAATGAGTAAATTAGTGAAGTAATGAATAAAAGAATAAATTAAGCTTAATGTAGACCTTGCCTACTCATCTTCATTGCCAGCATTTTCTGCTGTTTCCAGTTGCCTTCTATGAAGCCAGTGGGAGAACCCAAATGCCTCTGGAAAATTTAGTAATGGAGCTGGTTCTGTTGGGCTGTATTTTCCCACTTCTGTTTTAACCTGTACGAGCACCATATCTTCCGACGAAATTCTCCTAACCAAATCATTTGGCTCTTAACCAACTTTAGACAATAACCAAATCATTTTGCTGCTTCCCAGTGAAGTAGTTGAATGTTTCATTTGCATATGTATTTTGAACAAGACATTTCTGAGTGTTCCCAGTGGATTTGCACTTAGAGCTGAAGAACTTTTGGGCTTCCCAAGGGAATAAAAAGAAAAGCAGCTCATTGGAACCTAAAAACAGCACTGAGGACACTGTATTTCCCACGTGTGTGTGCCTGTCAACAAGTGGTTATTGGGATGGACGACTGGTCAGTCATGTGACTGCTTTTGGGTGGTGTGCTTTACGTTTGTTTAGAAGAGAGTTTCCAACTCATGTTCTATGAGTATTATGCAAAAAATAAAAATTCTAGCTTCAGTTTAAAAATGGTTGTGTTGGGGCCAGGCATGGTGGCTCACGCCTGTAATCCTAGTACTTTGGGAGGCCAAGGCAGGCGTATCACGAGGTCAGGAGTTCGCAGACCAGTCTGGCCAACCTGGTGAAACCCCATCTCTACTAAAAATACAAAAATTAGCTGGGCACAATGGCATGCGCCTGTAATCCCAGCTACTCAGGAGGCTGAGGCAGGGGAATTGCTTAAATCCAGGGGCGGAGGTTGCAGTGAGCCGAGATCACACCACTGCACTCCGGCCTGGGCAAGACAGCAAGACCTCATCTCGGGGGAAAAAAAATAAATAGTTGAGTTGGTCAAAATCTAACAAATTTTCTTACTGCAGAGCTTCTCGAAGACTTTGTAACAGAACACCCTTTGGAAAATACTGCCTTAGAATACCTAGCCAAATGTTGCAATCCAGTTTTCATGATCTAAGGAAAAGTCCTTCTCCCAAACTGTGGAAAGGGGAAGATAAAGTGATGCTGGTTCCTGAATTGAACAGGGTGATTAAAATGTACAGCATAAAGCCAGATGGATTTTCAATGTGTTTTGTAAAATAAACCAAAGAAGGTTAATTGTGATGCTTCAAAAGTATGACCATATATTTTCCAGTGTTATTGTTTATATCATAATCCAAATAACTTATTTGCTATATCATTTCACAGCATAGGTGAGAATCTTTTTTTTTTTTTTTTTTTTGGAGGCAGGGAGCTTTAAACTTTCTTCTAAAATTGATTTTAGAAGAAAGGGACTTAGAAAACTCACATATTTCTTATGCTACTTTTTGTTTTGAATTAATATATACTAAAAAGAGGAATAAAAACCATTTTATTTAAATGCCACTGCTCCTTAGTAAACTTTTCTGTGAATAAAATATAACTTTCTGAATAAGCAGACTCAATACAGCTTGAAAGGAAATGCTGGGGTTGCTTGGAAATAATAGTTTCAACTCATAAAATGGAAATGAGCAACTATGGCCTGCCACCTGTTGTAAATAAAATTCTATTAGAATATAGTGGGTCTCATTCACCTACAGCCCTTACATTCACTTATATATTATCTATACTTACATATTGTTTAGTGCTGTCTTCACCTGCAAGGGAGGAGTGGATTTATTGCAACAGAGATCTTATGGCCCTCAAAGCCTAAAGTTTTGAATATAGGTCCCTTTACAGAAATGTCTGCTACTCCTTTCAAAGAGTCACAGAAATTTGTAAAAGGGATGAAGACTACATAACTGACCCCTTTTTCTTTAGATAGAAAAAACTGAAAACAGAGAAGTTAGGGAATTGTCCAGGCTTATTTATGCCTGGGTGCTCTGATCTTTATATCCAAATAGTTCTCTTTATCAGGGAAGACAGGGATAGATTTCAACTTAGATATCAACACCAGCTGATTGGAAGTAGCCATCTGGAGGGCTGGTACAGGTCTCAGCGTTCAAAGAGAAGGAACGCAATGACTTATTAATCCTCCATGGTCCAGAGGTGGAGAGCGGCTGGACCCGTGCCATGTGTGCACTGGGGATATGCACTATGTCTGCTCCTGACATTTCTAATAGTTATATTGCCGTCTCCTTCCTTGTACATCTGCCGTGTAAGCACTTTGGTCACTGGGCCAAAAAGAAGTGTGCATTGGTCCTCATTAGAAACACTGCTGCCCAACAGTTCAGAAGAGATTGATGATTCTTTTGCAAGGTCGTTCAAATGCCTGTCTTAGCAGCTGCCTACCATATCACGCTCTGTCTAGAAGAATTAACTTGGAATTTCACTCAGACTGGATTTGTCGGTTATAAGAATTTTTTTTTAACTGAAATATGTCCATGGAGCACAGTGCAAGGGGGTATAAAATGGAATGTCCTGAGTTTATTGGCACTTGTGACCCAAACTAAAAGTCTCAATGTCTGTGCTTTTGTGCAGCTGGACAATCCAGATGAGCAAGCAGCCCAGATCAGACGAGAGCTGGATGGACGTCTACAAATGGCAGACCAAATAGCCAGGGTAAGGAAACATTGTGGTTGTTTGCTGGGGTCCAGGCCAAAGTCCCACTCAGGAAGCACATTGATTATTGACAGCCTCTAAAGGATAAAGCTGAGAAGCAGAGAGGAGGGAAGATGAGGACAATCACCCTCATTGGGCCCTCAGCCCTCCTTTCTCAAGGCAAGCTCTCCCAGAGATACCTCATGCATTTCCTATGCTCCAGTGAATACCCAAGCTCAGACCTCCAACATTCCTTCTGAGTTCCAGACACATAGCTCCAACAGTCTACTGAACATTTCCACTTAAACATTTTCCTGGCATTTCAGGTTGAATGCCTTCAAAATCTAGCTCCTTGTCTTCCTCCCACCCCACACACATAACTATATTTACTCCTCTTCTCTTGTTCTATATCCAATCACTGTGGATGAAACCTCCTAGCCATTGTCAGTTTCTCCTTTCTCCCTGCAATGTTCCACACTCAGTCAGCCACCCTGCCTCCAGTGACTGCCTCTTAAATGTGGGTCAGATCTCTTGACTGTTTTCCAGCCCTACTACTGGTGCTTTGATCCAGGCCCTCATCTTCAGCACCTGGATGTTACAATAGCCTCCCAATGGGTATCCCTGGCTGCAGTTCCCCCATTTTCTATCCATCCTGCACACAGTTGCCCGGATAAAACTCATATACAAACATCTCAAAACAGAGCCTCAAAATCCTTCAATAGATTCCCTCATTGCTCCCAGGACAAAATCTAACCTCTTTAGAATGATAATCAAGACTCTTAACCAACAGACTCTACCCTTTCATTTTAGCCTCACCTTGCACAACTTTCCCACCGGAACTCCCGAGTCCAACTACAGAGAATGTCTCCCTCCAAATATACCAGGCCCTTTCCAGGCTTGGTGTCTTTATACCCACTGGTGTCTCAACCTGGAGTAACCATGTTTCTCCCCTCACTTAGCAAACTCACCTACTCAGCCTTCAGTACCTGACTTAAAACACCTTCTCTAAGAGCTTAGCAGTTAGTCCTTTCCACCTTTGTGTTCCCGTCAGATCGCATATCAACCTTTATTATAGCAGCTCATCGAATGGTGATCATTTATTTACATGTCTGAGTCTCCCAGTATATAGAACTCCTCAAGGGTTGAGGTTATGTCTTACTGTTGATGACTACAGCTAAGTGTTATCTACCATTATTGCTATCCCTGCCATCTCTGATATTATTAATAGTAGTCATGCCAGTCATATTAGTTGAGTGCTGATTCTGTGTCTAGCATGCTAAATGCTTCACATGTACCAACTCAGTCAATCCTCAAAACAGCCCTCCAAGGATATTTCAGTTATCATTCTTGGTTTAGAGATGGGGAAGTCCAGGTTGAACCTGCTGGGCACCAGCAAAGAGATTGTGGCACACCCTCAGCTCAGGTCTGTCTAAATATCAGGGCTGGCACCGGGCTTATGTCAGGCACAAAATTTAAACGGGCCTCCGTTAATCAAAATAAACTATTTTAGTAAAGTATTTTTCAATTACAATTAATACCAAAAAAATCCATGAAGAATAAAATATAAAAATTGTAAATAGCATCAGGCTCCTGATGATTCCTACTGTATTCACAGGCCCTGTGGGCATATGAGGGTGGGGGTTATTAGAAACAGCAGGGAGGGTGGGCACAGGGTAGAGCTTTTCACTTTATGGAAAGAGGTGTCTCCAGACTTGGAGGTATGGAAAAGAATCCTACTGGAGGAGAAGCCAGAGAGATTCCAAGAAGCATCAAAATCCCCCTGTGCTTAAGCAGTTTTACTGAAATGTTTTGCATCTTGTTTTTGGACACCTTTAAAGTTTATAATCAAGTCAGCCTGGTGGCTAAAAATAGTATGCGCTTATGGATTTGGCTAAAGGTATTATAAAAGGTTACGCTTTAAAATCCCACTTAATGTGACAGTAAACATTAATAAAGCTTTAGAATTTACTTCTCCTGTAAAAATGTTTCCTACTGGTGGATTATCCAGAAAATGGAGGTCATTTGGTCCATTCATCTGCATTTTAGACAACGAGTATATTCCCAACTAAAAAGTATTCATCCCATCTAAATAAAAATCACACACACCTCAAAAACAAGCTCATGGCACCTTTAATTTACTTGCTTTGTTTACTTTAAGGCTTAACATGATAATTTAAGAAACTGGTGTTAGGCTAATTTTAATTTTTAATAGAACCTGGATGAGCCAAGATGCTCATCTCTGAATAGTAAATCAAAGAACTCTCTCCCCCAACCCCCACCACTAAATATTCTGAAGCTAAATGAGATATTATTAACAACTTAGACCTAAGCATTCTTAGACAATGAAGTAGGCAATTAAAGTGGATCTTGATTATTATTTACAGAGCACGGAAAATGATTTCAGTATATATGGAGGGTCCCTGTCTAGGGTATTGAGGGTTTCTATGAGATAGAGTGCCCTCTACTGTCTCCTGTTCTTTCAGAAATTGACTGTCTTCTGCAATGTTCGTTCATGCCAGTGGCCCCCTTGCTATATAGCTAACTGGTCCTGGAGTGAGCTCTTCTTCACCCAGGTGGAAGCAGTCAGTTTCCAGCCTGCCCTGGCCACACGTGATTGGTCCAGAAATGGAAACTTGATGCAAACTAAACCAATGAATTCCTTCGTAGGGCCTGTGGACTGTGGGTCAGCAAGGCTGTTGTCTTCCAGTGGTAGAAAGATACCTGTAGCAATGTGCACTTCTTCCATATAGGGAAAAGATGATGAGAAAATAAAGCCAACACATAGAAACAGAGACAGAGTCTACACTGAGATGTCAAGGAGCCCACAATCCTGAGGACATCCGTTTAAGTCCCCGATTGTAATTATTCTTAAGCTTCAGCCATGTACCTGCTTTTCCCTCAGCTTAGTTGGATCCCAAGAAAAATAAATTCTCCCCTTGCCTAAACCAGCCTGGCTAATACTGATGAAAATTGTGAAATATCTCCTCCACTAAATATTAAATAAAATATCAAGATCTCGGATATTGGCTAGTTCATGAAGAGATATTAAGACAAATCACCTCTGCTTATCTTCTTTTTAGCATGCCCCGATTTTTCTATTTCCAGCATCACAGTGAATTTTCGTGAGGATGTGCAATTCAACCCATATGGCTGAATGTCAGCTCCTGTAAATATCATAACCAGAAATTCCTGGATATAGATGTCATCCATCATATGTAACTCACTCCGTTCTCTGAATTAAAAGATGGGTAGAGCACTTTTGATTGCAAATAAGAGGCACCAACTCAAGCAAGCTTATGTAAAAGAGGAGATCGGAGACGGAGGACTACTTCACAGAACCTGCAGAGAAACTGCAGCCAGAACCCAAGAAAGAACAACCAGGGCCTGCAGAGTGATCAGGACTCTCCCTGCATCTCCCATCTCCATGTGTCACATTCATTATCATTTCTTTCTTATCCCCTGCAAATTCACAATGCTAAGAATCAGAACTCTCACTGGCCCAACTTGGTTCAAGGGCCAACCCCTGGTGCAGTTAACCAATCTACAATGGAAAAAGGGGTGAAAGTCTCGTTGAATACATGGATGCTGGGGATATATCATTTAGGGTGAGGGTGGGAAGAAGTGGGGCTGTGGGTGGAGTGGACATTATGAATTGGGAAGCACTCCAGATGTACCCAATAGTAATAACTATCACTTACCTAGTGTTTTCCTATGTGCCAGATACTCTTTTAAGCATTTTACATCTGAGAATCTAACCCTCCAACAACCTAATGAGAAAGATGCTATTATTATCCCCATTTCACAGATGAGGAGGCTAAAGCAGAGACATTAGAGAATCTGACCAAGGTTCTCTAATGAGTCTGCACTCTTAACCAGTATGCATACTATCATTGCAAAATATATTCCCAGATATAGGCCCTCACTTTCCCCCTCATACCAATCCAAGGATCCATTATGCCCTTTACTCAGGCTTTTACCTTGCCTCATCCTGAACTCTCTCTCTGCTAATCAGTCCTTTATTAAATGTGTCAGTCAGACACTGGCTGTGCAATTCACATAAAATCTCATTTAGACCCGTGATGAACAATCTTTGGCGTTACATTAATTCTCCCAAGTATAGGCAAATCAAGAAGTGTACACATGTTCAAGTGCACACAACTACTATGCAGAAAACTGAGTTGTCTAATTCCACGTTTCATGCTATTTCTTTAGAATACTCAGAAGAAAGGCAGGAAGTTACTCCAGGACAGGACTCCCCCAATTCTTCACTCCCTGCTGGTTCCCCCTCCTGGAAACTGCTTTCTTTTCTCCACTAGAAGTTGCTGTGTGTTCCCTGCAGCTTATCCAGAAGCCCATATGAAGCAGCAGCATTAGGCAGATTTGGCTCCTAGAATTCAGAATCCTCTCTATTTTGATTTTTTTAGAATCTGGAAAAGATATTGTAGGGACCCTGGTTATTTTGCCAGCAGCATTCTCATCATCACATATTTCCACTGAAAGACATGTCTGTCCTCTCTTCCTAGGAGGGAAGGGAGGCAAAAGCAAGCTGACTTTTCCTTACCCACAACCTTGCAGTGTAATCTGTCAGTTCAATCGCACCAGCATCTCACGAATCATCAGACAGAGACGGCTGCACAAGAACATCAGACAGAGATGGTCTCACTGTGAACATCAGTCATGCTGCCTTAAAAGTTCCAGAAAGAAATATGAATGCATTTTTTAAAATCTGGTAGAAAAGACTTGGTAATCCCTGCTCAAACATTTTCCCAAATCCTCTCATGTTGATATTAAAGTGTTCCCAAATTTCACCCAGGAATTAAGTCTAAGTTATTTAAATTGTGTGATCAAAAGTTGACATTTGAGCTTAAGCAGACAGATTGTGGCATTAGTGCTGCTGTGATATTTGCCAGTTCTTTTGGCCGAATTTTAGTGTAAAATTCCAAAATTATTGAGCTAATTATTTAAGACAAATCATACAGCTTTTGTAGTGTCAGTGGCAGAGGTCTGGGAGTAAAACACCATTGGTTCTTCAAGCCGTCGTTTTAAATATGAAAATGCCACTTAGACCCGTATTCTACACAGAGCACAATTAGTAGCTCATATCCTGGCCCTATTGCAAATATCAGTAAGAAATAATATCCAAATATTTATCTGATGGAAAAGTTCTGTTCCACACATTGCCATAAACCAGATACAAATGGAATCCTCTCCTACCAGAGAAAGATACTAACCCCCAACTTTCAAACTAATGTTGGACATGGCACCCATGCTGTGTTATGAAGTAACATAAGTGTCCAGCACATAGTAGGAACTTCTTTCAACTTGTTGCCTGAACAGTTAAACAAAATGTGTGTGCAGGGATCCCCTCTCTGACTCTGGCCTTTGTCAATAGCTAAAAATCCTGGGAAATCTGAGCTCACGGAAAAATATAAATGCCAGGGGGGTCCTCTGAAGCTTGTTCAAGTGGAAGGAAGTCCATCTAGTTCATAAAAGCTGAGGAAGTAAGACCAATTGGGTAAATAAGCTGGCCTAGAAAACTATAATGCCTGAGCCCAAAGTGCCTTTTAATGTCTGCAATGCCTATTTTGACAAATTAATACCAAGACCTCTTTCTCTCATTTAACCTGCTGACCCCATCCTCATTACTCCCTGTGCTTAATCCTACAGAGTGCACATTGTCTGGGTAATGGTGGAATGGCCATTGCTGTGGAGGGCTCAGCCATCACCAGCCTTCTGCTGACCAGGATGAAAGGAGATGATGCATACAGGATGCACCATGCAGAGAGAACCCCCAGAGTTGCCTCAGCTCTATAGACATTTGGAGCCAGATAGTTCTGCCTTATCCTATCATAGCTAAGAACAAAAACTCTGCTAGGTTTCAAGTTTAACTCTAGTAACTATTGCTTAACACTTCTGCCTCATTTTCTTCCAAAAAATAGGGATAAATAGAAGCATGTGCATCAGTGGGTTGTTGGAAGGATTAGATAAGGTAAAATAAAGCATGTAAAGTTTTCACCTAGTGTCCAGCACATAGTTAGTACTCAGTAAGTGCCAACTAACATTATTATCTTTACTATAGGCACCATCATTATTAGTACTATTGTTGTTTGTAGTGGTGGTGGTAGGAGCATAGTGCTTGCAAGGGGTGTATGTGTGTAAAGAGAGGCTGTGTGTGTCAGTGATCAAAACATATTCATGTTATGATCTCTACTTTTCACAATAATTCTGTGAGGTTTATTATCCTCATTTCAAATGTGGGAACCAAAATTCAGATGGGTGAAGAAATCTGTCCAAACTTACAAAGCTAGTAAGCAGCAGACCCAGCATTCAGGGTCGAGTCCGTTTCACTGTCATGGACTGGATGAGTTCCTTGATGCCCTCTTTGTACTCTGCACGCCTCTGTTGCTTCATGTGTCACTAACTGGTCACTTTCTGGCATGTCCCCCCATACCATCACCTCTCGGCTGGTTTTCTCATCTCCAGTGACAGCCATACCAACCTGACACATGACAGAAGCCCAGGAAGTGTCTGAGAGATTGGATTAAATAGCTGCAGCACTGTCAGTGAGCTCCAGTGTCTAGCACCGGCCCTTCTGTCACATTCCTCCTTCTGATCACCCACCAACTTTGTCATTTGAGTCTTTGGGGTCTAGGGAACCTCACTCTGAAGGGGGGCAGCCTTGTCATCATTTATACATACCCCATTCATCCTCTCTGGGTAAAAATCCAAAACCAGAAAAGAAAAGCCAGCAGCCAAGGGAGGCATTAGAACTTTCAAATGCTATTTTTAAAGATGTTCCAAAATCCCTCAGAGCATAAATAACCCTAGTGGGAATTGTCCTTGGGAGGCTGTCTCCACTGAGGAATGTTATCAGCCCAAAACAAAAATAAATGGCCAACAGAGATTTTTTTGGAGGACTTTGCCCACCCATACGCTATGTTTCTCATAAAGCAATATGAATAAACAATTCTTCTGTCAAGGCTGATCTATTTTTGTGCTTGAAAAAGTAGCAATGGAGATGGACGACTGCATTTTCCTTATTTTGGCACAAGTTCAGCTTTGAAATGTGTTTGCAATGGGTCTGCCACTGAAAAACTCCACTCAAGAAACTCAGCCTGGATTGACAGTATGCTATTTCTTCCCAAGGCTTAAGTCCTTGCACCAGAAAAATGTCCTTGTTTTCCTTGCAGACTTCAGTTTTTATGAGCCTCTTTTTATGATGTCATTAGGAACTGTCCAAGTTCTGGGAGGAGTGATCATTCTTTGGATTTTCCCAATATTTTGCTAGATAGAATTTGGTGGAGCTAACCCTCAGTCAGCATGGTGGCATCTGTAACCACCGGGCCTCCTAAAAAAATCTCAGGACTGTGGAGTTAAAAGGCACTGAGTGAGTCCCTAAGATAAGTTGTGATAGAAGGAACCGCACTTGACAAGACAGTCTCTCAAAATTGATTAGCAAGAACCCACTTCACAAACGCTAGCTATTTTCTTCATCCTCCTGGCAACTACCAAGCCAGCAACTGGCATTAAAATCAGAAATTCCCCACTTACCAAGTTCCCCCACCCACACCAAATACCATGTAGTTCACTGAGGTTTTGGCCCCAGTATGAGGAGGCAAGATACAGGTCAGTGTAATGAGTTTCAGGCTCTTGGGATGTAACCTTTGTTCCGTGACAGCCTTTAATGGGGCCTAAGGACTACTCTCAGACCATGAGTTAACCTACCTCACTCTTCCCTTCACTCTCCAGAGAGGCCATATTCCAAGAAATATGAGGAAATATTGTGTGGCTATGTAAAGTTGTATACACCTTCTTGGATTCATGGTTGCCTACAGTATTTTCCATGGGAAGGAGAAAAGAGCAGTGGCCCTATCTCAGCCAACTCAACCTGGTGGCAAACTCTTCTTTATCCATCAGACCCTCATCCCAAAGGTCACCACCTCTGGGAAGCCACCCTTGATTCTCTCAGGAAGGATTTGCATCACATTATACTTCCATTACAGTACCTACCTTGATGTTCTGTTATAGATCTTTCTCCCCAGTAGCTGTAAGCTCAAGGAAGACAGTTTACATCCTCTCAACATGATCCCCCTAGTGCCTAACTCTGTACCATATACAGTGTTTGTGGCAGTAAATGTTTTCCAAGTGATGGGGACCCAGCAGCCAAGTCCTCGCATCTTGACGGTTTTTCATAAAAGAAATCCAAGTTCTGAGGTTCACACTTGTCCCTGATCAAGTCCAAGAATGACAAAATTTCAAGGCCACTGTGCAGGAAGTTTTAGAGAAATACAACGTTTGAGATTCTTTTGTGATGAATCATTAGTAGCTCTTGTCAAGATCATCAGCCTGTCATCTCATTTCAGAAGCATCCATCCTGCTCTTTCCCTCACATTCATGCACAGCGTGTTTAGAAAGCACCACACAGTGAGCTTAGCCCAGTCTTAAAAGCAGGACGTGATTATACTAAGAAGTTCCAGAAGGAACTGGTACTGTGACGTTGCGGAGTGGATTTCAGACCCCCATATTTTATTCACATGGAAAAGCAGAATCTCGGTGTTCTTTCAGAACTTAATTTATCATCTATCTACCTCCTCCTCACAGCTGAATTTTAGCTACATTGATATTTAATATGGGCATTTTTGACAAGTCATTGATCTATTCACTCAATTCATATGTATTGAATACTTATTATGTGCCAAACTTTATGCTAGACACAGAAAATTCAACAGGAGTATTAAGATAGATATGGTCCTGAATCATTGCCCAGCAGGAAAGACAGAAATTAAACAAATTCCACAATTGATTGATTAATTATAATTATAACAAGTGTCTTAGTCTATTCAGGCTGCTATAACAGAATGCCATAGTTGACATAAACAAGAGAAATTTGTTTCTCACAGTTCTGGAGGCTGGGAAGTTCAAAATCAAGCCACCATCAGATTCAGTGTCTGATGAGGGCCCACTTTCTGGTTCATAGGCAGCTGTCTTTTTACCAGGTCCTCACATGCTGGCAGGAACAAATGAGCAGCTCTCCGAGGCCTCCTTTATACAGGCACTAGTTCCATCATGAGGGCCCTCATGATCTAATCATCTTCCCAAGGCCCATCTTCAAATACCATAACATTGAGGGTTAGATTTCAACATATAAATTAGGCAAGGACACAAACATTCAATCCATTTCAATAAATGCTACCAAGAAGGTAAGTTAGCAAATACAACAGGAGGACCCAACCCAGGGAAGTGAAATTTTGAAGCTGAAATATGGAAGATGAAAACAAGGCTGTTAGTTATGCAGGGAGATAGGGAGAGAGGGGAACAAGACTTATGACAGCCTTCATGTAGGAAGGAGACTGGCACTGGACCAGCACAAAGACATCTCCAAGCTCTATGGAGAAGAAGCACTCTCCGTATTTGACTGAAGCTGTGAGATGGCAAGGAAGAAAAACCCTTTTAACTAACAGTGGGTGGGGGAATTACTGAAAGAAAAATAAATTCTTAAGGAACAAAATTACAGGAGAAATAACTAGTCCTGTGGAAATTAGAAAATGATAAAAGTCAGAGTTCCTTTCTGTAACTCTAGAAAGCATCTTTCTTTTCTTTTCTTTTCTTTTCTCTCCTCTCCCTTTTCCTCCCTCCTTCAGTCCCTGCCTCCCTTACTTCTTCTCTCTCTTTGTCTCTACCTCTTTCTCTCTCTTCTTTGTTAAGTGTCTTATTCTGCTTTGACCTGATCCAGTGTGGCAGCCAACCCTGAGTCTGTAAGATGTTACTGTTTCAGTTCTACCAGCCAATTGCAGTCTCAATGTCTCTCAGTCTAGTTCAACTGCTTGACAGAGTAAATCTGATTGATGACAGGGCACTAATAAAATTAGTTGGTTCATCTTGACTCAGATGCCCATATGTTACACAGCTTATTTTTTTTTTTTTTTTTTTTTTTTGGCCACACAGAATTGGCATACCAATTCATGTTCCATGGGATCTAGGTGGGGTTCTACTCCCAGCCACAAGGACAGAGGACATAAGCTATGCCTATGCACATCAGCACAGCATATTACTGGCCATAGAAATTGGCCAGTAATATGGCCAATTGGACATGTACTTAAGTTAGACTTTGGGTGAGAATTTGGGGATGAAAGACTGTCTCCATCTTCCTTGCATATTACAAGAGGAAATATTCACTTTTCCGTTAGATAGCATGATGTGATGTTGTGCAGTCCACATCTTTAGCAACATTTCTGTGAAGATAGGGGAGCCAAACTGAGCATGAAGCCACCCCAGAGGAACCAAAGCCAAGATTTTAACAAAAATCTCAGTTGTGGTGATATCACCTGAGCCCTGATTCCAGCCTTTCCTGAAGCTGGGTCTACCCCAGGATATTTTCTTTTGTTGTTTTAAGCCAGTTTGAGGTGGATTTTTCTGTCACTTGCAAAAAAAAATAAAAATGTCAAACTGACTTGGCTTGCTTCTCACTCCATCAGTTATGGAATAGGGCTTGGGGAGGGCAAGTTTATGTTTCAAGTGGTAAATGACTGTTTGGGAAGGTGATTGATCCAAAGCACATTCCAGGTGACTTAGAAGTATGAAGAAACAAATAGCATGGTTAGCACGTGTTGCAATTACAACTAAATGTATAAGCAAGAAAGGAAAAAATAGAGGTCAGTTATGATACCAAATTGCTCTATCTTCTAAAGAATTTTAATCACATTTTTCATCACTTCATTAATTTGGTTCAATTTTTCTTGAAAACAGTAACTATTATTCTTAGAAATAGACACAGACTATGTTTGAAACCTCTCAAATGAGCTCCTTTTGAATTATTCATGTGAGAAAATCTCTGTAGATATCCAGAAATAGGGTCTCTTTCTGTTTCCCTCACTTAAAAACAAATGACTGCATTTTACTAAAAAGAAAAACTAAACTGAAACCATATTTGAAAAATAACACCCCATTTTTCTTCCTACAAATCAAATTTGCTGAAGGAAACTGGGGAAAAATAGAACTGTAATAAAGCATTTCAATGTTTCTTACTATATGTTTATGTACGTGTTTCTTACCTGTTACAATGTATAAATAACTAGCAGGCAGGCAGCTGTCTACTCAAATAGGCTGAACATTTTTCTAGCACAAGGCCATGAGATCTGGGTGAATTTCACTAGTAGTAGATGTGATTCTAACTCTGGGCCATGGGACAAAGACCTTCTTTATAAATCAGCTTTCTATTTTCTCCTCTGCTCATACTTTTCTTTTTCTTCCCAAGGAACGCAAATTTCCCAAGTTTGTATCCAAAGAAATGGAAAACATGTACATTGAGGAGCTGAAGTCATCTGTCAACCTGCTCATGGCCAACTTGGAGAGCATGCCGGTATCCAAAGGCGGGGAGTTCAAGCTCCAGAAACTCAAACGCAGCCACAATGCTTCCATCATCGACATGGGCGAGGAGAGTGAGAACCAGCTCTCCAAGTCAGATGTCGTGCTGTCTTTCTCATTGGAGGTAAAAAGCCCTGAGCCCTTGAAAGTTTCTTGGCACAGCAAGTAGGACATGGGCGATTAGATGCGTCACAATCAGCTTGTTTTTTCTGTTGCACCCCAGGAGCAGTTATTAAAATAACAGCATGCTAAGCTTAGGTCAGCTAATCAGCAAGTGATTCCCCATCTCCAGGAGCCCACATTTTTCTTAAGGAAATGCAATCTGAAAACCACCTACTAAATTTAATCTTGCATTACTTTCTGTCTTAAAACAGTGCTCAAGGATTTTATAAAGACCTTATATAATTTAGAAAGTTAAAAATTTTGGCAGCCAGTTTTACAGTTATAAGAGAGGCAAGCTAGCATCATATTGTGGTGAGCTGTAAATTTTCTTTCCCATCATCCTTCCTGTTGGCTACAAGGTAGAGAGTCCCTTGTGGTGGAGGCTTTTTTAGTTTATCTCAGCTCCCAAAGTAAGTACCCATTCAGGCTAGTATTGTGGCAAAATGCTCAACATGTCAATAAGTTTCTCTATAATTTCTCTTCACACATTTTCTTTTCATATGTATATAATCTAAGGAGTAGTTCTGATCTACCTATGTCAGAATTACATGGGAAGGTAGTTCACTATGCAGATTCCTGGGTACCACCCAGATCTACTGAGCTAGGATCTCGAGGGGATGGGAATATAAAATTGTGCAGCCATTTTGGAAAATAGGTTAGCATTTTCTGAAAAAGTTAAACATAAAACTACCATATGATCTAGCAACTCCACTGTCAGATACCCAATAAAAATGAAAACACATGTCTGCACAAAGATTTGACTGTAAATATTTATGGCAGCATTATTTATAATAGCCCAAAATGGAAACAACGTAAATGTTAACCAACTGGTGAATGGATCGACAAAATGGGGTATACCCGTACAATGGAATATGATTCAGCAATTAAAAGGAACAACCCACTGATACATGCCATGACATGGATGAACCTCAAAAATACGCCTGGTGAAAAAAGCCAGGCTTGGCATGGCGGCTCATGTCTATAATCCCAGGACTTTGAGAGGCTGAGGTGGGAGGATTGCTTGAGCTCAGGAGTTTAAGACCAGCCTGGGCAACATAGTGAGACATCTCTACAAAAAAAAAATTTTTTTTAATTAGCTGAGTGTGATGGTGTGCAGCTCCTTGGGAGGCTGAGGTGGGAGGATCAATTTAGCTAGGGAGATCAAGGCTGCAGTGAGCCATAATCATGCCACTGCACTCCAGCCTGGGTGACAAAGAGAGACCCTGTCTTTAAAAAAAAAAAAAAAAAAAAAAAAAAAAAAAAAAGACCACATATTGTATGATTCCCTTGATATAAAAGGTCCGAAAGGCAAATCTACAGAAATAGGAAGTGGATTAATGTTCCCTGGGGCAAGGGGTGAAAAAGGGCATAAGAAATCTTGTTAGGAAAACTAAAAATATTCTAAAACTAATTTATGATGATGGTCATGCAACTTAGTAAATGTACCAAAATCACTGAATTGTGCATCTAAAATGGGTTTATTATATGATATGTAAAACATGCCACAATCAAGTTGTCAGAAAAAAAATTCTAGACAGGATGCAGCCCTGGACTGTATACTTTAACCAGCCCCTACATGCTTCTTATCCACTCCAAAATTTGAGAACCACTTGTAACTTACTAAAGTTCAAAACCCCACAAGGGTTTTATGATAACCCTAGATTTGGGGAGACCAAGAGAAGAGATCAAATTTCTGTGCAGTTGATTAGAATATGTAAAAACTAAATTAATTTTCTAAAACATCATTAAAGCCTGCTGTGAATTAACTGCAGGTAATTTGTTTTTCTGTGCTAAGTTTGGATGGAGATACTCACATTAGTGTTTTCAACATGTATTGTGCAGTTGGAAGAGGCAGTATTCAATTAAATATAGAGTACTTAGTGTGTGAAAAAATCATCCGTGTAATTTCACAGAAACTTTCTTTTTTAAAAAACAATACTGCCACCTGAGGTACTGAATGTATTTTCTTAGGTGTCTGAATTTGATTATTGCCAATTAAAGGTGTCAATTTATTCCCTACTGCCTCTTGTCTTCCTACAGAAACGGGGGGAAAGTGGTTTATTGATTTTCATGAGTATTTTAAATCTGTAATTTTCTTTCCTCTTTTTTTTTTTTTTGACACAACGTCTCACTCTGTTGCCCAGGCTAGAGTGCAGTGGTGCAGGTGCAGTCTTGGCTAACTGCAGCCTCAACTTCCTGGACTCAAGTGATCTTCCCACCTCAGCCAGCCTCCCAAGTAGCTGGGACTACAGGTGCACACCACCAAACCCAGCTAATCTTTGTATTTTTTGTAGAGATGGGGTTTTGCCATGTTGTTCAGGCTGGTCTTCAACTCCTGGACTCATGCCATCTATCCACCTAAGCCCCCCAAAATGCTGGGATTGTAGATGTGCACCACCATGCCCTGCTAAATCTGTAATTTTCTAATTCTTTGTCAGTACTCGATATTACACAGCTGATTATCTGAAATATAGATGTAGACAAGTCCGTACTCCTATGTGTACCTGATTCAGATGGTTTGACTTGTAATTGAAAGTACAGAAAGAAATGTCCTAGGATCCCCAAATACTTTTTAAATAGAACACTGAATTGCACATCATAGAAAACTGCCAGCAAAAACCATTGCACATCTGTTTGTGAATGTGTTTTGGTGGGCACAATGAGGGCAGGCAAGAAGAGGGAGAAAGGATTGTCATCTCATCAGGGCAGACTAGGATTTGAATTTGCAGCTTGGTGCAAGTCATATTTTACATAATTATACACTTGCATGGCTGGAGGGGCCACCAGGTAGTAAATAACTTTGCAGTGAGGGAAGGAAGGTCCAGGGTGCCCAGTAGCCAGGCCTTGGGCAAAGGACAAAGGGCAAAGGGCATGTGCTAACAGAAAGCAACAGGTGTTTGTAGAATGCCACTGTGGGCCAGGTGCTTTTTCATCATAACACAGTGAATCCTCACAATAGTCTTTTCAGGTATTTGCAGGTGTAGTAACTAAGCCTCAGAGAGGTTGAGAAACCTGCACGTGATTACACAGCTTGTGAAAATGCATAATCAGGATGTGAAGTCAGATATTTTAAATTCCAAAATTTGTGCTCTTTCACTGTGCCTTCCATTTCTTTCTATTTATATGGTTCTTCCCAATGTAAAAATGTTCACTTATGTGCATCGTCTCATTTGATCCTCACACAACAGCCACGGGATACATATTTTTATTCCCACTTTACAGATCAGGAAACAGGCCCTGGAGATTTGAAAGAAAAATGAAGTGACTTCAACATCAAATCATTTGCCCAACATCACGCGAGTAGTACAATGGTTTTGAAAGTATGGCTTCTGGGTCAGCAGCATCAGCATCACCAGGAAAATTGTTAGAAAAAGAAAGTCCTGGGCTCCAACCCAGGCCTACTGATTAGAAACTCTGGAGATCATAGAGCCTAGCAATCTCTAGTTTAACAAGCCCTATAAATGATTCTGATTCACATTAAGTTTGAGAACCAGTAGCAAAACTGTGACTTGTGGAATCCTGGTTCAATGCTAACCCTATTGTACTTTCTTGAATCTGATCCACTAAGGAAGTATTCATTTTTTGCGCACTCACATTCTTCTTCTTGTGTAATACCATTACCTGTTTTGGAGTACAACTGAATGATTTTTTCATGTATAAGGACTAATTGTATATCTCTGATGTGAGTCATTTGTTTCAGATTTTTAAATTGATCTCTTTCTTCTCTGCTTTCTGCATTCTTCTCCCTCCCCGGTCTCTTGTGACAAGCCATACTGTTAAATATCAGAATAGTAGGTGATTACGTGGAGTTTGGGGAGGTGGTAGGAAGTGCCAGAAACTGTAAATGATACATCTTGATCCATCATGACACCGGCTTTTTCTCTCAGTCTGGACCAAAGACTATGCAGCTGCAGACATGTTTTTGTTTTGACTCAATAATATTGGCCTGTACAGAGTTTGTGTATTTTATTTCTCCCTATTTGAATTATTGTCAGCATTTCAAAATCAGCTTTCTCACTGTGACTCTGATTCAGTTTTTCATTTTCTGGAAGGCAAAATTGGAGTATCTGGTAACTCTAAAGTGAGAAAAGACAAGGCAACAACGGGTTGTAACTGGCAGCTGCTCCCTTCAGAAGGAGCATGTGCTCTCCAGTTTGTCATAGTCCCTGCTAATCCCTGTTGCATCTCTGAATCTAATGCTGAATAGTACTTGCCCTTTATTTTAGTATTTGCACTATTACTTATCTTATTGTGAAGCAAAAAGTGAATTTATGAGCCTGTGGCTCTTTAAAGTGCTGAACCAAAAGCCAGACTATTTTTAAAGAAAATAAGAGCCTGGCCGCGCGTGGTGGCTCACGCCTGTAATCCCAGCACTTCAGGAGGCTGAGGCGGGCGTAGTGCCTGAGGTCAGGAGTTCGAGACCAGTCTAGACAGAGTGATAAAACTCTGTCTCTACTAAAAATACAAAAAAAAAAAATTAGCTGGGCATGGTGGCGTGCACCTGTAATCCCAGCTACTCAGGAGGCCGACGCAGGAGAATTGCTTGAACCAGGGAGGTGGAGGTTGCAGTGAGCCGAGATCACGCCATTGCACCACTCCAGCCTGGGTGACAGAGCGAGACTCCATCTCAAAAAAAAAAAAAAAAAAGAGCCAATTCCTTGGTAGAAATGAAAAACTGATCTTATTTGCTTAACACAGAAAGAGTAGCCCATTTTATATGCCTGTCTGGCCCCTGTGAGCATTTGAATTGGTGAGCCTTGTCTTTCTATCTGGCAGGCAATCAGCTACACTATGAGGAATTGCATCTTCGTGCTAGACTGGTCCCAGCATGACTGGTACAAACCTAACAGAAGCCATCAGATACCTGTTGGTTTTCTCTGTAGCTTCTCATTTGTGTATTTTCCTCTGGGCGATGCTGCCAGGGGCCTTGCCAATAACCTCCATTATGTGGAATTCTCTTTTCAGGTGGTAATTATGGAAGTCCAAGGCCTCAAATCTTTGGCTCCAAATCGCATCGTATATTGCACAATGGAGGTGGAAGGAGGAGAGAAACTACAGACTGATCAGGCCGAGGCTTCTAAACCAACGTAAGTTATGTTTCTCCAGGGTCCATCTTATAGAGGGTTGCTGCCATTAGTTCCATTTTGGCCAACTCCAAGGTAAAGATCTGGTTTCCCCAGAAGATACGAGAAGACATAAACCTTGTTTATTTTTCAAACAAGATGACTTGCCTACATTTTTATTTGGCAGCCACAGCAAAGATTCTAGTTCCTTCAAAGCAGAGAACTGAAGAAAATTAAAGAAACAGTGTCCTTTCTAGTGGTTTTAAGTATTCACCCTCGAGAGATTAGTCACAACTTCCATTCATCAATATAATGTGCAGGAAAGTTTGATATAAGTTTACTTTTATTAAATTTTCTAAATATTTGGTTTTCAGTATAAGACATAAAAATGTTTTCATTTCCATATATTTTTGGGGAACAGGTGGTAATTTGGTTATATTACTAAGTTCTTCAGTGGTGATTTGGGAGATCTTGGTGTCATCACCCGAGCAATATATACTGAACCCAGTTTGTAGTCTGTTATCCGTTACCCCCTTCCCACTCTTTCCCCTGAGTCCCCAAAGTCCATTGTATCATTCTTATTCCTTTGAATCCTTATAGCTTTGGTCCCACTTATTAGTGAGAACATATGATATTTGGGTTTTTGTCTAATTTTTTCCTGTATGTCATAGTTCTGAATGTATTAGCAAGGTAGTATGTTACATAATACATTAATTCATTGGGTCAATACAATTTAGTCAAATGTGTGTGTACAAGGTATTATTGTATGGTGGAAAGGAAAGTAGTCACTGCTGTAGCCCTCCACAGCTCACAGTTTCATGGGGACATCAGAAAGTAATGGCACAAATATATAATTATAAATAGTTATAAATGCTGACAAAGAATGCTTTGAGAGGAGATAGTGGGAGGCACCTGAACCAGTTTGTGAGGACAGATGCAGAATAGGCCTTCCTTAGGACATATGAGGCATTTGAACTAATATTATTAAAGTTGAGCAATGGGAGTGGGGATGGGTGGAGAGCATTCTAGGCAGAGTAAACAGCTTGTGCAAAGGTCCTGTGGTTAGCAAAGGCCCTGGGCAAGGAGAAATTCAAAAGAGGCCAGCAGGGCTGGAGTTTGGAGAATAAGGGGTGGATAAGCTGCCAGAGAGGCAGGCAGGGCCATACCATGAGGAAGTTGTTAGGCCTTGGTGAGGAAAGTATGCATTGGAGATGTATTTTGAAAAGATGACTCTCGCTGCAGTGGATGGGGAGTGGGTGGGCAGGGTTGTGCAGGAGGTCAGTTAGGGTACTGTTTCAGCGGTCCACAGGAGCAATAATGGGTTCATTCATTAGGGTCAGTAGACTCTCAGGCCTCAAAGATTCTTGAGAGATCATTGCTCCCTTCCCTCCCTACCCACTACTTTCCTCTCCCTTCCTTTTCTATCTCAGTTAAGCCCATCTAGACTAATGAGCATCTTTTTGTGTTGGTGTTAATTCATAAGAGAGTCATCAAAAGAGAAACCCTGAACAGCAGCTCACTGCCTCTCCTCCCCCAGAGCATTATGAGCTGTTTGGCAGAACATGAATAATTTGCCAGGATGTTCAAACAAAATAGTTCAAAGAAAGCACGGAATGTTTCCTGGACTAGAGAAAATCTCAGGGCATTGTATACCTTCAAGTGGCTCTTTGCATGAATAGGCAAAAGCCTCAGATGCTCAGAAGCTGGGAGAAATTAATGAGTGTGTACAAGAGGAAATGGAAACCAATGCACCTTGTCACACGTCACCCTTCCTCCCTTTTTTTACAACCAAGTTTCAAACTGACAATAAATGTGGTTTCTTTTTTACTGCCATTGATGAAATCCCAGTTATTCCTCAAATGGTCTGATCGTTTTCCATGCTCTTATGTTATACTGCACTATTTGTGCTTTTTTAAAATGTGTGATACATGGGGGAAGAACAACCTATTTCGTGTTTCTGGCAACCTTTTAAGATGCTGGGCCCAATATGGCGTTATAAGATTGAGAAGGAAGAAGAAAGTTCTGATTATTCTAACAGACTGTTGTTTCATATGAGCTATTATAATTCAAAACATAGTTTGTAACATTCGATCAGATGCAACGGTTTCAGTTACCAGGGTAAATCATGAGTTGATTTTCCTGTGTTTGTAAATGGTTAAAACAGAATTTCAGATTACAAATAATTACAGAATGATTGGGTCTACCTGCATGAAATATTCATGTTTTATACACATACTTACTCATAACTATACATGTGGCTTATGATGTCTATGTACAGAAACAGCTCACATTGAAACATTTTGCTTTTCCAGTAAGAAGTATACATTTTTGATTCCTCTTCAGTCAGTAGGTTGGTTGATTTGTAATACCTTAAGGATTCAGGTTTCATGACCAGGGTCAAGTGAAATCAGTCAGTGGTAGCTACCTGAAGTGCTGTATTGAGAAGGGTTCGAGGCCAAATCCATACTCAGAGGAAAATAGTGCCAAGGTCAACTTGTAACATCTGCCGTGGAAGAGGAAGGAGTACAAGTGCCCTGTATTTGCCATTTCTATAGTATCCCAAAGGGATATACGTGGAGCTTGAAATATACAACACTCGTGTGTCTTCCTCTCTTCCTTTATCCTTTACATGTAGACTCTCCTATATCCTTTACTTATTTTCCTTCTAAATCCACAATTCTGTACTCAATACTCTTTTTAACCATTTTTCTTTGTCACAGTTCACTTCTAGTAGTTTTTCTCTACCTCCAAGTGGTTTTGTTTTGTTTTGTTTTGAGGTTTGGGTTTTGTTTTGTTTTGTTTTGTTTTGTTTTGTTTTGTTTTGTTTTGTCTTTTGAGATAGGGTCTTACTCTGTCACCCAGGCTGGAGTACAGTGGTGCAATCACAGCTCACTGCAGCCTTGGCCAACCTGGGCTCAGGTGATCCTCCCACCTCAGTCTCCTGAGTAGCTGGGACTACAGGCATACACTACCACGCCCAGCTAATTTTTGTATGTTTTTGTAGAGATGGGGTTTCACCATGTTGCTGAGGCTGGTCTCGAACTCTTGGGCTCAAGTGACCTGCCCCCGCCTCATCCTCCCAAAGTACAAGGATTCAGGCATGGGCCACTGCACCTGGCTTGCCTCCAGTTTTATCTGGTAGCATGAACGAGCCTGTTTGTGCAGTTCCATTTTCTTCCTGCCTCCCTAGTTTTAACTTACTCAGAAGCCTCTTCATCATCTCTTTTCTTTGAAGCTTTATTTCTTCTCCTTTTCTCCACCCCTCCCACTTACACTTTCTCCTATTACTAATCTCCAACTGTCATCTCTGCTACTTGATTTTTATTATTCCAGAAATTTTCCTTTCGGGGATTATCTTTAATTTGTCCTAATAACTCCACTTCATCCTCTGACAAGCTTAGCCCTTTTCCTGCCCTATTCATCTTCTGAATCTTGTCTTTGACTATTTTTACAGCCAGCTGGTGCCCATGCTTTATTTATATATTCTAAAACCAAAACTCCATTCAAGCATGTTTTGTTTATTACTCAAATTCCATGGTTGCTGCTACCAAGTACTACACCCCATAACTGGAACCCTAACATTGTGCCATAGCACATGTCTACAAGGAATTTGGCTGTTGTCTTTTTTTTTTTTTCAAGTATAGCCAAAAATTTAGGAGTACATAACATAACCCAATTTGTCTAAGAGTATGTTATTTGGAATCCTCATGTATTGAATTGACATTACACATCCTTCACCTCCTTTTATCAGTGCCATCTCTTCACTTATGGCCAGGACCCTGCTCAGCATCGTCATATTGGATCAGTTGTATAATATAATAACACTGCGTTCATTAGTTAAATATATTAATACTTTGTGGTTGGAAAAAATGGTGTGTGTGGTGAAGGCCGGCAGCCTCTTATACTCTCAGCTAAATTGTGGCCCATACTTATCCTTCAGTTGATCAATCTGTTTGCTACCTGTGGGTTGTTTCCAAGCAGACTATATCCTCTCATTTCTGTTGTCCTCCTCTCCTGCGTTTTTAACATAGAAAGCCAGGAGAATATACGATCAAGTTTTCATGAGACGTACTTATTTTACAATATTGTCTCCATTTGCAATAGGTTGTTTTTGCTTCTGATGGGAAACCAATGGGGATACTTAGGCAGAAGTGCTTGAAATCCTGCCATTAGATCAGCAGCCTCAGGAAGGCAGGGAGATGGAGAAGGAAATGCTTTGGGGATTCCAAAGCATTTGGAATATATTTTCCCACTCTCTTTGAAATAGAGCAGAGGGCTGTTCTTGCTCTAAGGTGATATATTTCAAAGGGTGGCACTCTTACCTTTACTAAGAACAGAGATTATGTTAAGTAATACCAGAAAATGGCATTGAGTGAGATGAAATTATGTGAAAAAGAAGGCACTCCTTTACCATTTATTTTTCAATTCTTCTGATCAGGTCAAGGAGAACATTTTAATTCGATGCTAGTAGGTCATTAACACCTCCACAGGTCTCAGTCTCAGAGCCTTCTGCAGGCAACAGCATCCAGTTAAGATTTCATAGCCTTGTTTAGATCCCATTACGCTTACCTTCCATTCATGGCTGGTGGTGCTGTTTTGTCTTTTGTAGCAATGACATAAGATTTCCTTTTTAAAGAAATACATTAACATTTAAAAAGTGAATCAATTTAAATAAAATATATTAAGTAAATAATAGCACAGGTGGTACCTGGATACAATGAAAAGTAATCATGAAAGTATCTTGGTATACGGAAATGGCAGAGATTGGGAAGATGGTAGGCAAATAAAGTAAATTTGAAAAAAAAATGATGTAAAGAAACCTGACATATTCCCTGAGTAGAAAATATATTCCAAAATTATATTTATTGGTAGTTTTGTATAATGTAAGTTGTCCTCTGTAATAACCATGCCCCAAGGATTAAATACTGGAACACTTAAATAATTTTGCTGAAAAGAAAGGAAATTTGAATTAGCAACCCAGTATTGTGCTAATGTATCTGAAATTATATTCTACTGAATTGAAACCAAAGATGCCACTTGGCATTTGATTATTTAACAAGTTCATTACTCCCTGACAGGCCATGGGCTTCGTGACATATGAATTTCATTATTGCCAGGGATTAGAAAGCACAACCAAACTTGGAAAATTGGTATTTTCCAAGGGAATGAGAAAATAAAATGCCCTAACTGGGATCTTGCCACGGCCCTAGGGTTCTTCAATGACATCTCATCTGATGAGACAAAAGACAAAACCAAAATACAACAACTTCCTGTAACATTTTTCTTCTGTGAAATATATTACTCATCCTAATGGTAGAGTGTAGAATGGGCCAGGCTTATTATACCCAAATTATTCATAGAAATGGAGTTCTATTAAATTGTTCCCACATTAAGTCAGTTACAAAGTCAGAAAAGGAAGTTGTTCCCTCCAGTTGCTTGCCTCATGTATTATCTTCTTAATGGTGCTTCCTTTTTCAATTTAAGCAAAATGTTTTCTGTGTACTGGGCCTTGGAATGGTTTACATCAAGGCAGAATATCTTTCCTGAATGGCTTCTTTGATATTCAAATGTGATACGATGATATGAAAGGGTAGATACTTGCATTCCTTCAGCAAGTGTACACAGGATGCTTTCCTTATGTCCAACCAGTGCTGGGGCTACAGCTGTGAATAACATATCTCAAACCTTGGCCTGTGGATCAAACATTCAAGTAAGGGACATAGGCAATAAACAAATGAACAAATGAATATATAAGGGTAACAACAGATTATAATTTGTGTTCTGAAAGAAATGAGCAGGCTGCTGTGATAGAAAGTAGTGGGGGCATAGGGAAGAGGAAACAGCAAGTGCAAGGCTTTGAGGTAGGGAGGGGCTTGATGTGTCCTGGACCAGAAGGGGGAACAATGTGCCTAGAAATTAGTCATTGAGGGAGAGTGTTTACAGGGAGAGTGCAGAGAGCAGGGCAGGGCCGACAACTTACAGGTCTTAGGGGCCACGCAAAGGGTTTAAACTTTATTCCAAGACCCTGGAGAAGCTATTGGCGGAGTTTAAGCCAGGGAAAATATGATTGTATTTCCATCTTGAAACCTGAAATATCTTTAAGGACTGGAGTAAACTTGGAACCATATATTGGTAAACTAGTATTTATTGAGCACACACTATTTGCCAGGCTTTAGTATTAGAGTGGGGAATAACACAGATACGACCTTTGAAGTTGTGCACCCATGGAGGAGAGTTGATTGGAAAAATCTGAGCGCCTGAGCATGGTCTATATTCCAGGAGCCTCAGTAGCTTTTGAGAACTTCAAAGGCCACTGAATGGGAAAGGGAATGAGGCTTCCTGAGAATCAGCTCCTTTCCTGTCTTGACACTCCATGCTCAAGTTCACAGTCCAGGAGATATTTACGTAGAGACATTATGTAGCGAGAACGTGGAGCTTGGATACTATTTCTTCTGTTTTTTCCTTCCAGAAAAAGGTTTAATTTCTTTCTAAGTTAATTAAATCATAAATGGTAAAAGTCAACACTGACCCAGAAATTAAATTTTGCTAGGCTCCCAGAAGATACGTAGGTTGGGAGAAAGTAAAATTATAATCACACTTTGGGATGCTCAGACACTGTACTGCCTCTCAGACCAGAATGCTTGGTCCAGAATTCCCAATGTTTATTTAAGACCAGTTTGTGTGTGTTTGTGAGCTGGAGGGTGAAGGTGGGCAGACTGCTAGGACAACAGACAGTAGGATAGACAGTGGGAAGGAAGCAAGGTGCTAGGGAACAAGTTTTGGAGAGAGAGCTCCTAATTCTTCTCCAAGCTCCATCATAAATTTGCCAACCTGTGTTATGTAAGCCACCAAGCTTTCCAACTTCTCCAAGTCCTGAAAAGTGGAATCCAAGGTCCCTTCTACCTCAACAATTCTATAATTATTTCATCCAACTAACTGGTCCAGAGAAGAACCATAATGGCAGAACTTAAGACAGAGGTTTCAGGAATTGCAACTGACTCTGAGTTGGTGAAATTTCTGAAATTAGTTGGAATTTCAGAATGGGATGATCAAGTAGTGGCTGGAGTTTGTCAGTTAGACGTTGATACTCCATCTAAACGTGAAAAATCTATAAAAGTTCTGATTTCATGAGTAGTCTAATCTTGTGTAGCTATGAAACAAGGCTGTACTCTTTTTAAAAAAACCCTTAAGGACTAAGTGACTGTAGGTCATTTCCTTTCTGATTCAGCTTCTCTATTACCTTGCCAGAGAAGATTACTTGCCACTTACATCTGGAGTAAATCTAAGAACTGGACTGTTTTTCTATCACTGTTCAGTAGAAATCAAATTTAATACATTTCTCTCCAAATGTGAAAAGCCACTGTATTTTTTATTTAGTGATCAGGGAGAACATAGGAAAGAATGTCATAGAGTTATTTCCCTGTAATGATAGAATGAGGGGGAAATTCTAAATCCTCACTAATAAGAAAATAACAGATACTTGATTTAGATTCATCAGTGTTCACAAGCAGTATGGTGTCATGGACAAGAGTACAAAATTGAGAGCCAGAGCACTGCGTTCCTATTTCCGCTGTGTGAGTGGGCAGGCTGCTTAACTCTTTGTGCCTCCATTTCCATATTCTTATGAAAATTAATTGCTATATATATATACATATATATATATATATAATGCTTAAAACAATGCTTGGGCAGATAGTAGTCCTATTGACTATTGTAATCATGGCTTTATTCTTGTTTAGATGGACGAAGGGGACATGGGGGAAAACAAGGTGGCCTGAGTCTAAAACAGTGATCATTAACGTTGATTCAGTATTTTCTATGGACCAGGTGCCATGCTAGGTATTTCACAGTCATCATTTTATTTAATGCCCTACCATAACCTATGAGATAGGTACTATTGTTATTCTCATTTTACTAATGGAAATATTGAAATCCAGAGAGGTGAAGTTATTTAGTCAAGTTGCAGATACAATAGCTAAGCCAAAAGCCAAACCCAAAGCCTGTACTTTTCATCCATTCTGCCACCCTACCTTTCTAAAAGAAATTAGATCTCTAAAACAGAGTAACTTAATTAGCATTGAATATTCAACAAAACTATCTAAAAGCGTGCATTTCCTTTCCATAAATTCGGTTGTTTTGTGGATTAAAACCCAGCCTATATTTAAAGGGAGATGAACGTGCTGGCGCACACACCAGCACAGGTGTTCCACATTAGTGTACACACTCAGCAGGCATAATTCGACCCACATACATCAGCACTGTGAGGTGTAACACGTGAGTCTAAAAAGAGGCTCTCTGCCCTTGAGGCATTTACACAATCCCAGGAGAGACACTAATGATAATGATCATCATCCTCAAGGGAATCATTATCAATAACAACTGCCCCTACCATTTATTGAAATCTAAGTACCAGGCACTGAACTAGCTGGAACCATATGGCTAAGAGTCAGATGGAGCTGGGTTTAAATCACAGTTTCACCGTTCACCAGCTGGGTAACCTTGACCAAGTAGCTTCTCCCCATTAAGCCTCAGTTTCCCTAAATTTGAAAGAGAGACAAGACACAACTGCCCCATCGGGTTGTTGTTGAAAATCAATCTGATCTATGTTAAGGGCTGAGTTCAGTGACCAGCATATTGTAACCTCTCAGGAAATAGTATTAATAGCCTAAAACTCACTATAATGTCACTGAACTCCACATGGTACTGTTAAGAAATAGAAGGAAAAAAGAGAAGCTCAGAGAAATTAGGAAGCCTGCCCCCAAATCCTACAACTCCACACACCCAGGCTTCAAACACCTGGAAATCAATTGGCCAAGGGTGCCAAAGTAGAAGGGAGTACCATTGCCAAAATGCTTTCCAGAGCCAGAGGACATATTCTGAGGGTGGACTGCCTTCGATTTGATGATAAAAGAACTAGTTCTCAAAGGCAAGAGGAATCCAAAAGGCAACATCCTCCATGAGTCGTCTTCCAGAGGCACAGCCCTCTACAGCCTGGGTATCCACAAGCCTGTTATTCTGGCTTCTTTCTGGATCAGGGCCATTGTTCCAGAGGCTAGAGTGCAGCTAAGATAATACTTTCTATGTGTTTATCAGTTACTTATTTGTCTTCCAGCAACGCCCCTGTGCTGTGATATGGAACTCACTTCACTATAAAGGTGCAGATGGATGTGAGCCCTCGGGGAGGACACAGCATCTTGGCATGATGCCAATTATCAGGGGGTTTGGAAATTTCTAGAGCTCTGGTGTTTAAACTCTGGAGTCCTTCAGAGTCACCTGGGTTCCTTGGTAAGGATTCAGAAGCTTTCATGCCAGCCCGTAGCTGCTAGTTTAGATGGTTTGGGATGAGGCAGCTATTTCAGGCAGTCTTTAACAGCTGCAGTCTGGGTGGAAACATTTCAGTGATTATATGAAAAATAAAGGTTCAGCATGGGCATAAGAGCAAAAGCTTTGGGGTGATACAACCCCTACTTTGAATCTCACCTGTGCCACTGTCATTGTTATGGTAGGTGAGCTACTAAATCCTTCTGAACCTCAGTTTCTTCACTTACAAAATAATACTGATGATACCTACACCATAGGCTGCTTAATAACATTTCAAATTTAACATATGCAAAGAACTTGGCACAAATGTAAGAGATGTTATTCTTATTTTAATCATTATTGCTGTCAGTGGACCCAGGGTAAAAAAGGAAAACAGCACAGACCATCAAAGTCAGTTGGTGTGAACTAAAGAAGCTAAAGACGCTTTATCTCTCAGATGCCTTTTTTAGTTTCCTTTGGAATGTGTTCATTTATATGTAGATCCCTTACTTGTACTTGGAAAAAAACTATATAGCAAGCTAGTTTTCTTATAATGCTTACATGTAAAGATGATTAATAAATGTTGGTTGATTCAGAGCTAAACCTTAGCAGCAAGTGGTAAAGGGTTATGGAAAAGCTGAGAAGGGGCCCAATGTGATGGGCTTGAAAACCTCTTCAGAGTACTGATGACCATAAAGATAATTATAGTGCAGATCTCTCCATCTAGATGAGGCTCCATACCTAAAAGAACAGAAGATGGCTGCAAAATATCTGGGGAGGGGAAAAAAAAAAAAAAAAACAGAGAAAGCCCGAAAAGTAAAATGAACCCATTGTATGAGTGCTTGACACCAAATCACTGTCATTTACTAAGTAATGAATAAAATACATACACACACATAAAAATATATGCACCAAGGAATTGCTAGGTCCAACACAAGTAAATCTCTGTAAATTTGACTTTTAGCAAGTAGCACACTATACAATCTAATAATGACAGGGTGTTGTTTTTTGGATGTTCTTCTTCTGTAAATTTACTAGAGAGGGAAGGAATGAAAAGAGGGCTCTTGTCTCCCATGACTTTATACATGCAGTAGTACAGTAGAGTTGCAGGATCAATCATTGAGGACTATTAGAGGCAGAAGGCTCTGGGTGTGTTGTCCCAGTTCTGCCCTGCCATGTGATGTCACCTTGTTTTTCTCCCTGCTGTGTCAAATCACTCAACCTATTTCTACCCCAAGAGCAGAATTAGGTGATTTTCTGTTGAGCCAAATGTAGCGGGACTTGGAACCTAGAAAATGTTTCTCTTTTTCACCTGCCTGCTTTAAACAGACCTCAAATGAAATGAATCTCAAAAACAACCTGGTCTCTAGAAATAGCAGCCTCTGGAAGAACTTAGTGTGTAATTTTTGTCATTTGTAATCAGAACCAAGCGTCCAATGCAGATCTCACAAATACTTAAAAATCAGGGGGAGAATCAAATCACAGAGAGAAGTGCATAAGATGCTATTGGCCAGACTCCTAGGTTCATTTGGTCAGCCCTTCCTTCATCTCACTTATCTGGGTGGCTGCTGTGTGCTATAAACACTGTGCCTTTGAGGCACTGGGGCTACAACAGGGAACAAAAGCAGAAATGTAGCTGTTATGTCACCCACAATCTAATGGCACAAACAATAGACAAGGCACATTTAAGTCATTGGGTAGAGATACCTTCAAGTTTGGCTTTGGCCTTATTATTCAGTTAAAATATTTTATATACCTTTGGCTTCAACTTGCCTTTAGGAGACCAAATAGTCAAGTGTTATTTCAAAGTCATTTCTGAAATTTCTGGACTTGCGCATGCTCAGTGATCTTGGAAACACATAGATAATCATCATACCCAATCAATGTGACAATGTCTGTAATACAAGCAATGCATATCATTCTGACTTATTGTTAAAATCTGAATATTCATTTTTAAAATAGGTGAGCATTCCAAATGCACGATGGAGTAAAAAATCTTCATATGTGCTCTATATGTTGAATTCTATTAGTGGAACTACAAAAATATGTACAAATATGTATTAACATGTTAACATGTAAAAATTGTTCATTAAAACTATTTTATATGAATAAACAAATGACTAAGAAGATAAATAGTACAACAGTACAACTCGATATCTTTAAGAAGAACATTATATCACTTCTGAGCCAAGAAATCTTCAAAAAAATTAAATAATGATGCAAAGCAGAAAAGTAAAGATGAGGCTATATCATAACGGTAATTTCTCTAGACCTGTTTGAGGCACTAGCATTCATCATATTAAATGAAATAAGATAAGGCTTACCTTAATTCTTTCCTATCCGGAAGGAGAAAAAGCTTAACAACCCGCTGTCAATGTCGCTGTCAACGATTGGCCATACTGAAAGAGCTGGCCCCAAAATATTTCACTTCCCACTAACCTCAAGTCAAAGTAAATATCCATTTGCCGTCTGTCCTAAGTGTGTTGTATAGAGGCAGCAGGGGGAAGTAAAAAAAAGTTTAAATTTTAGCTAATTAAGTTTTTAATAGCAACATTGTAAAAATAACTGAAGTGTTAATTTCGATTGTTCTTGTACCCTCAGAAGTTTATTCAGTGACATCTATATTTGGCTTTGGCCAAATGTTCATTTTTAATCCTCAGCCCATTTAGCATTCAGCCAAAATGTGGGTTCAGGGCCCCTGCACCACTGCTGTGAAGCAAAGATGTAGGGTGGTGATTTGGTGGAGATTTACCAAGTTGGGGAGAAGCTGTTTTAATTAGAGGGGTCACAAAATATCCCCAAGAGGTGGCATTTGCACTTAAACCTAAGCAAGAGGGAACCAGTTATGTAAAGAGCATGGTAAGCAGAGAGAATTGCCAAGTCCTGAGACTCTACGGCAAGAAGGCACCTGTGAGGGGCAAGAAGAAGACCTGAGGGTGGAGCACAGGGAGAGGGAAGAGAGAAGACAGCAAGTCAGCAAGGCTGGCGGGGCCAGATCTCACGGGACCTGGAGGTCAAGGCAGGAGGCTTGGGTTTTATGTCCCAAAGTAACCTGGTTGGATTTATGTATTTAACAGATCAGTGTGGCTGCTATATGGAGAAGGACCGCATGAGGCATGAGCAGCAATGGGAGTGGGGACACCAGTTGGGAGGCTGTGGCTGTCATCATGTAAGACAGGGTGGTGGTCGATGATGGCAGAGGAAAGCAAGTGAGAGGGACAGGTTCAAGACACATTGGGACATAGAGCCCAAACTCTCTCCTTTTCATTCCCATTGTCCGCTCTTTTTCCAAGGGTGGTACTATGCCCTCTGGAGGTTGCATTCTAGCAGCAGACAACACTTGGCTCTTCTCTCCGGAGTTTGCAATTGTTTATTACCACCAGATGCTGCTCTGCACACACTGCTTGTCAATTTGTAAGTTGTAGTGCTAGCGTCTCGGTGAATGACCTTGAGTGAGTTAAAGTCACCTGGCATCTCTCACAACCATGTGGGTAGTGGATGTACAGATGTGAACTGGGGCAGTGAGTTCTCAAGCTGGCCGTTTTATTCCCATAAGGATTATTCTACAGCTGTACCAAATTTGTTCTTTTTCCACTTTAGCAGAGACGTGTCTTTTACAGAATGTTACATGCTGACATTAGGGTGACATTGACACCTAACCAAAAAAAATAAACGCATTCCCTTCCCCTTCTAGATTTCATTTCCTGCTTGGTTTATAAGTCAGATTGCACTGTGCTTGTGGTCGTGCTTGCTGCTAGGTAGGGAGGTATTATTAACGGGAAACTATTTTGAGAAATAACCTACAGTGAGTCCAGTCCCACTGAGCAAGTGAGCTGTTCTCTGTAGATAATGTCAGTGTTGGGTACTTGAAGTCTTTCATGAGGATAATGTTTAATTACATGTAAATAAATCAGGCTTGACTCCAACTCTACGGTGGAATCTTGGACCCAGGACCCTTCCCAACAGATAAAACCGCTAAAAAGTCTGGAGGAAAAATGCATACTTTGTGCATACACTTCAAATAATATTTATTTGGTAACTATTTTGTATAAGGCAGTGTGGTTGGTCTTATTATTGGCTACATTTTTAAAATAATATTTTATGTTTTTCTGACCAAAAAGTTATAATCCTTGTTGTAGAAAATTGAGGGAAAGTATAAGGAAAAATTAAATATTACTCATGATCCCTATATCCAGCAATAATCACTGTATATGTTTTGGCGTTGTTTTCCAGTTTTTCTGTATCTGTGGGTGTGTCCACACCCATCCAGAGATATATGCATATGATAGATAACCTCGTATGAAAATCTGTATACTCATATATGATTGTTCCTTTTGCATCAATTCCTAGGAAATGGTGTTATTAGTTCACAGCTAGTTATGTCCTGTATGTTGGTGAATAGGGTGACCAAATCATTCTAGTTTACCCAGGACTTTTCATTATTGGCATTGCCCCATCCTGGGGCAAACAGACAGTTGGTCACCTTGTTTTAGTGAATACATCACATCTGCTCAACCTCCATCATCCTATATACCGAGAGAAAGTGAATGGCTGAAGGTCACTTGCTATATTTGTTTTTGGGAGACCTCTATCTCTTCGGCTTCTACCATTAGGAAGCTGTCTCTCTCTTGCAGCCTCAGAGAATTCATTGCAGCTTTTAAATATGAGCCTGGAATTAAGATATGGTTCAGCTGTTTGTATACAAACAGCAAGCAAATCATTGTGCTCAAATGAAGGTCACTGCCTGGTCTCACTGAGCAATCTCAATTTGCTCCATTTGTCTGGATATATAAAAAGCTGCACAATTAGAGTTATTGTATAAACAGCAGAGTGATACTTCATGTAACTAAGCAAGCAGATTCCACTGTGGTGTTTGTACATGGAACTGAGGGCAATTAATGTCTTAGTTATATTTGTGCAGGATCTTGCGTGGAAGCATCAGGAGAAAACAAAGCCATGGATTAAAATATTCAGAGAAATGCACATGAAACAAACACAATCATTGTGGGAATTTTCCAGGTCTTTCACAGGAACTAGTAACAGTATAAGTCCTTTTGTAAATAGAGTGTTTTGTTACTTTCTTCCTAATTTTTAAAAATCCATCCGTGATCAGGGCACCAAAGCCATATTGTACATGTTAAGTTTAAGTGACAATGGGTCTGCCAAGCAAGTATTAAAACCAAGGTTAATACAATTAGTTTTAATTACAGTAAACTCAGATTAACTACCAACTTCATTACCTACCACCTAAATTTTTCCAGGCTCTAGGAAAAAGTATTACATATAGAAAAAATAAGTGTGTGTGTATATTTGTGTGTGTGTGTGTGTGTGTGTGTATTATACAGATAAAGTTTTTAAAGTATGCATTTATAATTTGAGGAAAGAAGTCTCTTTTCATTTCAGCTTTTATTGTCTCTTTTTAAAAATAAACTAAAAAAAAAATATTTGACCCATATTTAAAATGGAAAATTTAGGCACTTGGGAAATAAGATGAGAAACCTACATAACCTTGAGGACACTCAAAATAGAAAGGCAGTTAATAGGACTTAATTCTAAACCTTGGTTGTCAGGGTGACTGAAACCACAAGTCTCTTAAAATTTACATCAAGCACCTTGTTAAAAAGTGGGAGTAAATCACACAAAACTCCAAGTCAGCATTATAACATGTTATTTGCACTGATTTTTTTATGCCCAAAGTACAAATCACAGGTACATACTCTCTCTGTATGAAGTTAAACCAATCAAGGGACAAGTGATTATATTTTCTTCATAGGAATACTTACTTTAAAAAGAAACTGCATGGTGGCTCACGGCTGTAATCCCAGCACTTTGGGAGGTCCAGGTGTGTGGGTCGCTTGAAGCCAGTTCAAAGACCAGCCTGGCCAACATGGTGAAACCCCATCTCTACCAAAAATTTAAAAATTAAAAAAAAAGCTGGGTGTGGTGGTGCATGCCTGCAATCCCAGCTACTCAGGAGGCTAAGGCACAAGAATGCAAGAATGGCTTGAAGCTGAGAGGTGGGAGTTGCAGTGAACAGAGATCTCACCACTGCACTCCAGCTTGGGTGATAGTGTGAGACTCTATTTCCAAGAAAATAAAATAAAAGAGGCTGGGGCAAAATACAGATTCGGATTCAAATATATTATCAATTCAACCAAATTAAAGACTGTAGTTTGATGTGGGTTTGCTGTTTATGTGTTTTAACTCTCCAGATTCACTTTGCATTCTGATTTAGCCTGTTACCTGTTTCCTTATTCATTCAATACATGCTTACAAAAAAATATGTATTAGACACTGCTTTAGACACAAGGGATACACCAATTAGCAAGACAGACACAGTCTCCACCCTCAGCAACCCTATATTCTAGTGGGTGGAGACCAAAAAAAAGTATGTAAACAAATGAAATAATTTAAGACACCAATGAATTCTATGAAAAAAATTAAACAGAGTAGTGTGATGGGAAATCACTGGTGTGATGGGAAAAACTCCCTTGAGATTAGCTTCAAATTACCTCCTTATAGAGGAGCTATTTGAGTTGACACTTCAATGTCAAAGATCCACTCACCTGAAGATCAAGTGGAAGAACAGTCAAGGAAGAAAAAAAGCAAGTTTAAAGTCCCCAAGATGGGAAAAAGCTTGTAATATTCAAGGGACAGGAAAAAAACAAACAAACAAACAAAAAAAAAACTGTACCAGAGTCTGTGAGCAAGAGGTAAAGTAAAAAGAGACATAGGCAAGGACCACATCATGGAGGCCTTGTAGGACACGAAAGGTCTTTGATTTCCGTTTTAACTGTAACAGGAAGCCCTCAGAGAGTCTTATACAAAGAATGGCCATGGTGGTGGTTACTTTGTGGGAACTGGATTGCAGGGAAATGCAGGGTACTTAATAGCTTTGTAATATTCTAGTTCAAAGTTGAGTGATGGCGTCCCAGATTTTTAACTATCATTTAGAAATTACATCTATGGGTGTACTGTTTAGCAATAAAAAGGATTGAAGTCCTCATACATGCTCCAACATTGATAAGCCTCCAAAAAATTATGCAGAGTAAAAGCCAGAGGCAAAAGACCACATATTATCTGATTCCATTTATAAGGAAAATGCAAATCTATGGAGGCAGAAAGTAGATTAGTGGTTGCCTAGGATTGTGGGTGGGAGTGTGGTTGACTACAAACAGACACAAAGGATCTTTTTGGGGTTGTTGGTTATATTCTAAAATTGGAGTACAGCAATAGTGGCACAATGCTATAAATTTACAAAAACAGTCATTGAATTATACACTTAAAACATGAATTTTATGATATGTAAATGATCTCTCACTAAAGCTTTTATTTAAAAAAATCATCAGGAGAGAAAATTTTATCCATGTTACATATGTTCTTTTCTTAAGAGAGTAGACATAAGGAGAGAAGTGGGGGGCCTATTGCAGTCCTCCAAGCAAGAGACAATGGTGGCTTAGGCTGGATTGACAGTGAAGAAAAATAGATGTTTTACAGAATGATACAAAAAGGCTCATGGTTGGCCAGGCGTGGTGGTTCATGACTGTAATCCCAGCACTTTGGGAGGCTGAGGCGGGTGAATCACGAGGTCAAGAGATCAAGACAATACTGACCAACATGGTGAAACCCCATTTCTACTAAAAATACGAAAATTGGCCAGGTGTAGTGGCGGGCACCTGTGGTCCCAGCTATTCGGGAGGCTGAGGCAGGGGAATCACTTGAACCCAGGAGGCAGAAGTTGCAGTGAGCCAAGATTGCACTACTGCACTACAGCCTGGTGACAGAGCGAGACTCTGTCTCAAGAAAAAAGAAAAAAAAAAGGCTCATGGTTGAATGGAGAGAGAGAGAGTGTGTGTGTGTGTGTAAAGGAGTAGAAGCAGTAGGGGCAAAACAGGAATCAAGGATAGCATCTAGGTTTGGAGGCTGAGCAACCAGACAGTTGCAAAAGAGCAGGTTATTAATTTGTCACCCCACCTGGGAAGTCACTATCAGTACAAAGCATATTACTAGATTTTGCTGACATTCAAAAAAATTCATTAAATATAGAAAATTCAGTTATCTCTATATTAAGATCTCTGTAATTCTCTTGTACTTTTATAAGCTTTTTTTCTGAGCCCAGAAGAAAATGATTGCATGATGGCTAACATGTACAAAGAATTTCATCTCATCTGCATTCTCCCATATCTGTGTCAAGGCCCCCAGCCAGTGACTGCAGCTAAGGAAGTGTTCACTGTTGCAGTAATACAAACTGGTATAATGCCTTACTCCTCTGCACGTGTCAGGGAGTGTTTCTCTCCAATCTGGATATGCTTACGGGAGCAAGTCACACAGCAGAACGCCTTCCTACTTTGTTTCTTCCTAAACTGTGAATCTGAACAGAGGAGGAACACTCTACTTCACCCACAATAGAAAAGAGCTAGGTGTTTAGATATGACTACTATGAAAATTTCACCTGCTAAAATTTCCTTAGGGGAAGGGATGGATTGACTGATTTATGAACACATTGCTTACCATGAGGATCCTCGATTAGAATTTCACATGACAGTTTGAGGTTGAATATACTTGAGACCTCAAATATAATGGCTTTTTGAGGAAAGGGGAATCCTGTTTCTTCCCATTGGTTTTGGAAGCATCAGTAATGACACAATCCAGATGAGGGAGGGAGGGGAACAAAGGCAGACTCGAGCGAGCATGATGATCAAAACTCAATTACCAGAACTTCACAGGTTAGGGTCTTCTGAATATATAGATTCTTAACAGCTTAGGAGGTGAGCATAAGTAATGTGGATATATACATTTTTTTAATTCTGTATTACCATATAATTTAAAAGAAAAGCATCAAATAGTGGTCTGTTTTAAAGATTCTCAGATTATCCTGAAAGAATTAGTCTGTGTAGTTATTTCTATACTTACAACACCAATATAGTTGATGTCTCTTAAATCCCTGCATTTGAAATTTCCGTTTTAGTAAACAGGCCATAAAGTAGGTCTTATTTGCTTTCTAACAAAGAAGGCAGAACAGCTTGCCCATGGGGATTTAAATCATAATTTACATTATGTTTATTTTTATAGACAGGCCATAAGTACAATTTGCAAAGCTGGGTAAAACTAAAGCACTAGAAAATTAAAAAGAGAGATTTATTTTTTCCTTTAAAATTGAGCTCAGTTATAATTTAAAACTAACTGCTTTAATTATACTGAATAATTGGATTAGGTGGAGGTTTGCATAATTTCTCAGAATCAGAATATGACAATTAATGTTTGCTCTTCTGTTAACTCAGGATACACACACACACACACACACACACACACACAACTGGAAAGTAAAATGTAACATGGAAATGATTCAGAGGAGTTAAGAACTTAAGATTAAGAATAAATCCTCATATACACATATTAATGATGAGGTTTCATAGGAAAATCTATTCCAAATATGGCTTTGAAAAGAATTAGGACATATATCTACTTGTAAGACACCCTCCCTTTTTCAAATCTGACACATATCTTTAACATTCACTGCAATTAAATATACAAGGTAAGGTACTAGCTACATTTTTCTAAAACTTCAGTCATTTCTGTCTACCCCTCACAACATATCAGCATATCATTGATACTATTATTTGTTTTATATTTTTCTTTAAATCTATTTTCACTTTTTAACTTAGATTTTAAAAGGCATCTTGTTCTGTCTGATTGTAAATATAGAGTAGCCATAAAAATAACTTCAGTAAAAACCATGTTAGTAAATTCTAGATTGATTCTGTTCCCTGCAGAAGGAACTCCAAACGTCAACAAAATTGCCTTCTTTGTACAACAAAAAAGGCTTAGCAAATTTAAGACGTTCTTCCTTCACACTGAGAACTTCTTCCTAGGGTAATCAGGAGAAACAGAAGAGAACAACTGCCTCACAGTGCCATTTGATGTCCCGTCTTTGTGCCATGTCAAATCATCTCCAGGGGTACAAGATTTGTGCTTGAAGAGTCACAGTACCCAATCTCTGTTTACTGAATAATTTCACTATAGTCTGTGTATTTCCCTGGTTTACACTCATCCTTTTGGGTGTTTTTCCTAGAGCATTCCATGGTTTCTTTTCTGTTTAGTAAATCCGTGCCAGCTTGCAAAGTGACGTGAATGAGAAAGATGGAATTAGTAATGTTGTTGAATGTGAACACTCAAGACAAAAGAAAGAAAACATTTTCCCCCTTAGCTGGCTTTGTCTTCTCAATGACCGGAATGAAATGTCAAGTGAACGTGTTAATTCTTAATGGGGATACCAATGAAAGCTTCAGGGGAAGAGAACATTTAACAGAGGCTCTCACTTTTCTCTGAATTTTATTTGGATAGACATTAGCATTTTATTACAGCCTTGGAAAAGATGAGATGACAATTATTGACAAGGTTCCCAGGACACAAATAAATAAAATGAATAAATTGTTTATTTGATAAATTTCAATTATCTACAAGGTGTAAAACACTATAGATGCGAATGATTAAAAAATAAAGAGCAAAGACCCTGTTTTCAGGATGCAGCATACTTACAGGGAAATAAATCATGTACATTTAGTAGTGAATATAAAAAAGTAAAGATTCCATTCTGGGGAAAACTGCAGATTGCTTCTGTTGAGAAAACCAAAGAATGGTCCTGGAGAAGATGGCTCTTGAAAATGGCCCTTGAATTTGGCTAGAAAGCATTTGCAAGTACAGAAAGGGTGGCAAGGGCATTCCAGCAAAACGAAGTGGTATCCGCCAACACCTATAGTCTCAGAAGTGCTGTACTGTGTAGGGAACGTAGGTTCTAAAAAGGAGGTATAAAAGGAGGAAGAGAAAAGAAAGAAATCTATAAATATAGGCTGAGTCAAGGTATAAAAGAGCTTTGCGGACGAAACTAAGAGGAAGAGAGCTTAAAGAAACAAGTACATTTAGCAGGGATAGGATAAACACTGGGGACAGAGAGCTCCTGAACCAGTGTGACCCGGCTCCAGTGGTGTCCTGTTTCTGTGCCTCTCCATTCATGTGAACATGTGTGTGCATGTGTGTGCGTGTGTGTGTGTGTGTGTGTGTGTGAAAAACTTTTATGACAAAATTGAAATGACATTGTTAGTCATACATTTTGACATTGAATTTTACAATGTTTATGCATCTAAGCTTGCAGCCGTTATACTTGGATAATCTATGTCTTTGTTTCTGCTATAAAACCATGTTTTCTCTTGGTGTGGGAATTGACTAGTTTTTTTTTTAATGTGTGTAGTCTTTAAAAAAAATTATTAACTTTTATTTAAAATTCAGGTGTACATGTGCAGTTTTGTTACATAGGTAAACTTGTCATGGGGCCTCAGACTAACAAAGGAGCAAAGACCCTAAGTGCCTTACCCACACCTCCAACAAGCTGTAGTCAACCCAAGAAGAGGGGACCACTCTGTCTCCCATGGATCCCACACACCCTCTCTGCTCATCACCAGACAAAATAAGACTCTCCATTGTAAGTTTCAAATTTCAGAATGAGGCAATGATTGGCTCGTCCTGGGTCAGGTGCTCATACCTGGATCAAGCAGCTGTGGCCAGGAGGGCAAGATCATGTACCACAGACATGGCTCCTGGAGGTCCAAGCCAGGGCATGGAGGTGGGGCCATAGAGAAAGGATAACCCTGATCTACACACCCCACCTCAGAACAATTCTGTGAAGTAGATATTATCATTCCCACTTTACAAATAGAGAAAACCAAGACTTAGTACCATCAGGTAGCTTGCCCTATGGAAGGAGAAGAAACTTGAAAGTACAAGCAAAGAAGATAAGCAAATCTGTGTTTGGGAATTTCCAGATTCTCAGTAAAACAGGAAGCAAGTTCATCTGAAAAAAGATGGGCAACTTAATCTCTTAACCAGAGATTTTTTTTTTTCCAGTGATTCTTTAAGAGACTGGAGACATTTTGGAATAGGTTTTTTTAAAAAAAATATATTACCAGCCCTAGTTTAAATGGTTCTTTGCAAAGCTGTATACTTAACAGAGAACAATTCATTTGCATTTTTGGCATCTTTTTTTCTGAAACATATGGATGGTCTGATGCAACTCACCAACAGCTGGAACTGGGAAGGGTTTGCAAATACACTGGGATGGGAATGAGGAGAAGAGATTCAGAAGGACAGAGATTTAGGGCCCAAACATTGTATTCTACCAAAGCAGTCAGATACAAACAACCCCATCATTCCTTCAAGGACCTGTGCAACTCTTAGAACTACCTAAAATTTCCCTACTACTGGATGAAGGTGAAAGATTTGGCCAAGGTTTCTCAGCCTCAGCACTGTTGACGTTTCAGGCCAGTTAATTCTTGGTTCCAGGGGGCAGTCCTGGACGTTGTATTGAGGCTTAGCAGCATCTCTGGACTTTAAAACGTTCTAGAAGGCTCTCAAATGGCATAAAAGGACTAGAGAAGAAAGAAATCTATAACTATAAACTGAGTAGATGCCAGGAGCACCCCCACCCTCGTGGTGACAACCAGAAAAAAAAAATTGTCAACAGATACTCTCAAATGTCCCCAGGGAGTGGAAGGGCAAAATCACCCCCAATTGAGAATCATCTCTTTTAGCCAAGAATTCTTTTTATTTATGATATCAAAGCATTTTAATTTATTTTTATTGACTGAAACAGTGGTTTAAGAGAATGATTGTTCAGCCGTGGGAAGTTACAATTTATGTTCATTGTTCTTGTTGGCAACATTTTCATGAAAGACAGTGCTGAAAAGTCTGGTTACCTAAGGGTTAGCTCAGAAAAATCATCCTTCCAGGATCTAACACTCCTCACACTATTGACAAATAGGGACCAAGGTACAGCTAGCATGCAGAAGGACTAGGAATTTATTGTAAATCAATTTAGGGCTTGATTCTTGGGTCATATTATCTTCTTATATGCCAAAAATAAATAGAAATCCATTCCGGTGTAGTATATTTCCTGATGGTGTCCAGGGATAGGACTTGATTTTAATGATTCAATCAGAGGAAATGGAGGGATTGTGTATCAGTACTAATTAAATCAGGAGGAGTTATCAACCACCAATAAAGAATAATCCAGTGGAGCTTTCCATTCCAAAAAGTCAACTCCCTGTCTCTCTGTCTCCTTGATCTAAGTTTCTTATTCTCTAAAGAATAAGACCTGGAATGACTCTGTGTTGACCTTGTGTCTCTCTCTCTTCTTGGTCAGCTCTCTCTTCTGGATCAGCTCTGGGGAGAGCCACAGGGGCTAGATGTAAACCCAGGAGCCCATCTTCACCTCACATGTGGGACTTACTCCCAGAGAAAGAAAATGGAATTTTCTTGAGATACACTTACCTTCCATATCACCGTAATACTGTATCCATATCATTGTTATAAAACAGAATCAAAGTTTGTTTAAAAATAAATAACAAAGGTGCATTTCAAAATTACATTTGAATATTAGCCATAATTACAATTCCTCTTTATTAGTTGATTAACTCTACTTGGTTGAATTTAAAAAGTAGTTAAGAATGCAAAGGACTTAGTGTGTTCATGAACATTTCCAAATGAGCTGAAATATTTCTGCAACAAATGGAAATGTACTTGGAAGCGCAGGATTAAAAATGCGCTGTGGCTGAATTTTAGCGCAGGCCTTTGAAGTTGGCTATTGTCAAACTTTAGGGAACATTTACAGCCTGGGATTGCCATCTAGTGGCTAAATTCTATCATGACTTTTTTTTTCCTCCTGGGTTTCAGCAACCTTTTATATCTCAGTGTCTTATCAGGGAACAAACCATCAAGTGGACCAGTGTACCCATGCAGCTCAGCTCAGGGATAAACAACATAGAATTATAAAAGAAGGAACCAGGATCCCTAAAAATACTAGTAGTTAATGTGTCTTTGGCCCCTTCCGTTTCTAAGACTTTTTAAAAATATTTCTTATTTCATCAAGGTTAGCTCCCTACCTTTAAAATCATAGCTAAAATTGGAAAGCCTACAATTGCCATGTCTGGAAAATAAATCAGATGTGTGTATGCATATGGGCCTGATTGTTCAGCTTTAGGAAGAAGTTTCAGTGGCCCGGAAAAAACTAAAAGGCCTGGGAAACAAGTAACAATGCTATGTTGGTCTTGTTCCCTGCGGAATCCCCAGCACCAAGCCCCGGACATCGTAGAAATTCAATAAACATTTGTGGTTGAGAGCGAGAAGTATCCAAAAGTCAGAGACATTGAACTCCATCCCATCTCCTTTTTACACCTCAGACCCTCTGAGATACCAGGAGGGCCCACTCAGCATACAGCTCGGGGCTGATTCTCTGGAGATACAGACCAGCTGCGGGCCAAACCAACCCAGGAAACCAGTGAAAGGCAGCTGAGAAATAAAATATGCATGAGAAGTTTGAATGCAAGAGGAGATGAGCAAGGGCTGGATTTATCCAGAAAGGTGCACAGAGGACGTGAAACTTGTAGGAGGATGGGTGGGATGAGTGGGATTTACATAAGAAGGAAGTGAAGAGCCATTACTGCTGGAGAAGGCAGGCTCCAGATGAAATAAAAACTCTAAATTTAAAAAAAAAAAAGAAGTAAGTAGGACTGCCTTTATCTTCAGCAAACTAACACAGGAACAGAAAAACAAATACCTCATGTTCTCACTTGTAAGTGGGAGCTAAATGATGGGAACTCACGGAGGTATAGAGGGGAATAACGCACACTGGGGCCTATCGGAGGGTAGAGGGTGCAAGGAAGGAGAGGATCAGAAAAAATAACTAAAGGGTACTAGGCTTAATATCTGGGTGATGAAATAAACTGCACAAGAAACCCCCACGAAGCATGTTTACCTGTGTAAGTAACCTGAACATATACCCCTGAACTTAATAAAAACAAAAACACCCAAAAATCACCTGAAAATTGTAATTATGTATATTTCTGTTAAAAACTATACCCCATAAATATGTATACATATACCACATTAAGTTTTAAAATTACAAAATAATATATATTTCTTAAAAGAAGTGAATAGGACTTTGGGGCTTGTGGTGGAATGAAGTCACCATTAGGAGTGAGTAAAGGAGAGCTTTGCTCACTGGGATTCTGCCAACCCACTAAACATTCCCATTCCTTGAAGGTGGATGTTCTGATCTGCCACAGGGACACACGCAACTCAACTTCCTCCAAGCAGCTTCACGGACCAGCATTCTCTTTCTGCTCCTCTCCCCCATCCTCCGTACTTCCCTCTAGGTAATAGTCCTCTGGACATGGGAATGGCACCAAGTTTCCAAGAATACAGCAATCAAAGTTCACTTCACAGAGCAATCTGCGGTGCCCCCATATCCAGAGATTTGTCTTTTAATTCACAGAAGTTTTACAGGAAAACCTATGACACTTTGGATACAGATTAAATAACAGAAACAAAGATGCTGGATCCAGAAGAGAGTGTTGAGTTTGTCCTGTCCAACCTTCTCACTTTACAGATGAAATGACTGCCAGAGCATTACACAAGACTGGAGAGGGGCTAGAACCTGGGCTTCCAAACTCTCAGTCCAGTGCTCCTTTTAATCATCATCCTGCATCCTGACAGAGGCAAAGGGAGGCTGAGTTTGTCTCCCACTGTGGAATTCCTGCTTGAAGTGAGGAATCCCTTCCAGGCCCTCAGTCACAGGTACCAGGCTGTCACAGGTGGTGGAGGCCAGCTCTAATGGGAGAGCAAGGGTGTTGGTTTCAAAGGGTGCTGCATTTGCTGAATGCCAGTTCCACTCCTAAGAAGCAAGGACAGCTATACTAGCACAGGTTTTTCAAAAAGGACTCTGAAGTCAAACTGGGCTTGAATGTTAGTTTCACTCCTCACTGATCTGGTGACCTGGAGCAGGATCTCTGACTTCTTTGGACATCAGTGTCTTGTTCTAAAGCATGGAAGCAGTAGTAGTACCTGCTCTATAAGGTTGTTGTGGCAATTAAACAAGACACTGTGTTTGAAGTGTTTCATACAGTGCCTAGTATATTAAGTGTTCAGTAAATGTTAAATTATAATTGTTATTGTTTTCATTGTTGCTTGGTTGAGTGACCTTGCTCAAGTTACTTAGAGACTCTAAATTTCAATGTCTTCATCTGTAAGATGGGAGTAAAAACTCCACCTTGCTGTGATTGTGGTGCTCAGTCAATGAGATCCTGCAGCAAAAGCACTTAGCACAGCACCAAACACATAATAGGCTCTCAGTCAATGTCTTTAATGAGTGAACTGGAAGAGATCCCTAAATGACAGCAGTCTCTCAGCCCTGCCTGCCATCCCTATTCCAACAACAGAAAAGCTGGCTCTGTCTAATTAAGTGATTCTCTTTCCAATACGGTTAAATGAAACCTAATGATATGAACAGATCCCTGTTTCCCAAGAGTTAAAAAAAAAAATCAATAGCACCCAATAAATAATGAATGTCCTTTTGTGCATCAATAACAAATGCAATGCTCCAACCACACAGAGCAGTCTTTCTACTACCAAGCATGCCAAACAAAGGCAACAAAATAATCCATAATCGTCACCTCAAACCAAGAGATGTGTCCTGAAGCAGCCTCTGTCCACAAATAATAATATATTGATGGTCTCCAACAAAGCACCTCAAAGAGCAGTCACTAGGGGAAAGGAAAGAAAACACAGTACATTGAATAATATCAGAATGTCTCCTCTCATTAGGAAAACTGTAACACTTCAAAAACCTAAACAAATAGTACAACAAAAACTTTTCTCTGTCCCTTGTAATTTCCAAGTATTCCAAAGAGGCGGATGGGACATACTGAGGCCAAAAATTACCTGGAAACAATGGTCTTTCCTGATTGCTATTGTCTCTCTAATGGGAGGCAGAGGGGTTGCAGGGACTAGAGAAAGCCTCCTCTCCTCTAAGCCACAGTGTGAAAAGTCTCACATTAGAAACATGTTATTTCTAATTCATGCCATGTTTTTTCAAGCTGGAACCTGAGGTCATAGAGTTCAACAGAGAGCATCTTCTTGTCATATCAATGTATTGATAAAATCTGAAACATTTTTGTATTGAAACAAGCAATCATGTTATGGGGTAGAATGCAGCACGTGTAGGGCTTTTAAAACCAGAATATTTCAAATAGGTGTGCTTGTTGTGTGGGATTTCACATAGTACCACCAAGTTCCTGAGGGTTCAAGTTTACCTTTTATTTACCCTCACCATTTAGAAGCACTGAACTAAGACACTAGATATCTTGGGATCTCATTTATGCTGCAGGTACCACTGTAGGGAAACAAATTAGACCAGTAGTCACCAGACTTTTCTATAAGGGCAAAATAGCAAATACTTCAACTTTGCAAGCCATACAATCTTAGTTGCAACTGTTGAACTCTACCAGTGTAGTATGAAATTAGCCACAGAGGTTCTGTAAGTAAATGGGCATGGATGTGCTCCAATTAGACTTTATTTACAAAACCAGGCAATAGGCCAGAATTGGCCCAAGGGCCTTAGTTTGCCTTTTCCTATATTAGACCATCCCTAGTCATCAATACCTAATTAAGATAAGATTATTATACAACAATCCAGACTGTTAGCTCTGTGAGAGCAGGGATCTTTTTTATCTAGTACTTGAAATGTCTAGCATAATGCCTAGGCCTTCTAGGTGCCAACAAATGAATACATACATAAAGGAAATTTTAGTTTTCAAACTACTCTATGTTCTATTAAAAGCCTGAAGGAATGGAACTCAAGAGAGGTGAGGTTTGATTAATAGTTCTTAAGAAAGTTTCAAATAATGCAGTAGTGCCAGCCCAGTGGGAAGAACAAAATATCAGCCTCTGAGAATGAAACAGTTGGCATCTGAAAGGAAGGAAAGCATGGAACATGGAAGATGGGAAGAAGCAAATGAAAAATCAGGAGTCAGGTGAAGAAATACGGATAGGCGGGGCTCTGCTTTACTAGTTTTCCTCTGGTGCAATTAACAGAACTCCAATTCTTTATTTTAACTTTTATTATAAAGGGAACATGTGCAGATTTGTTACATGGGTAAATTGCATGATGCTGAGGCTTGCAGTCCCAATGATACCATCACTCAGGCCATAAACATCGTACCCAACAGGTGCAGAACCCCATTTCTGATTGGCTTAAACTGAGACAGGATTTCATTAGTCCATATAAATGAAGAGTTTAGGGCTATAGGCATGACTGGATCCAGATGCTCAAACGATGACATTAAGAATTTCTCTCTCTCCTTCCCTCAGCTGTTTTCCTCTGGGTGGTCTTTAGTCTTAGGTAGCCTTTCTCCTCATGGAGGCAAGCTGGTTGCTACCAGTAACTCATGGCTTGCATTCTGCAGTGGAGTAACTCCAATGGGAATAGCTTTCCCTTCCCTGGGGTTTCAGCCTAAATTTTGTGGCTGACTCTTATTGAGTCATTTGAGTCAGATATCCACCCATGAACCAGTCCATGGCCCAGGAAATGCAGTGTCAAGAACGACCACCTGTCAATTCAGGGGTGGGGTCACCTTCACCCAAACCATGTGTACCAAGTTCAAGGAGAGGTAGTCCCAAAGAAGAATTTGAATGCTGTGACCAAAAGCAGGGGCAAGGACGTTGAGCAGGCAAAAACAACAGATGTTCACGAACTTTGCCTACTTCACCAATTTTCCCAACTCTGCCTACCCTCACATAGTTCATTCATCCTACCCAACCTACAGGTTTCTACCCTTTCTTCAGCAACCTAAGTAAGCCACCCTCCATAACCACCAGCACTTCTCTGTGAAAGGAAAGAACTGACACCATGTGTGTTAGGTGTCCTTACAGGGATACTGAACAGCCTTCCCCTCTCTCATCCCCAAATTAAATAAGCTCCCACATTATATGATCCTTAGCCCCTCAACTTTCACCTTCATAAATCTCATCACACATGTCTTGTTCATTTTGGGGTTTCTCCACCAGCCTATGAGCCCCCTTGAAAGTGGGAACCATGTCCACACTAACTCTAAGCACAGGGGATACTTGATATTTACTGATTGAAGAAATAAACACAGACTTAGAAATTTATCTTGAAAGCAAAAGGAAAATACTTCAGGATGCTCAGTAACAATTGCTTTCAACTTCCCATCTCCAATATACTTACTCTGTTCATCCATATATTTTTTTTCCATTCTTAAGACCCATTCCAGCTGCCCCTTACCCCCAGTAATGGGTTCCCAAATCCCTGCTACCACATCAATCTCGTTCTCCTCTGAACCACAGTGTTCATTAGCACTATTTTTCATTTATTGGCTCATTGTGTTCTCACTTGGGACATTTCTTGAACTATACCAAACTGTTTAGTTCCTCTGTGTAGCTCTCTAACTGTTCAGGTAATTACTCAGTTCTTCAAATGAACTAAGACAAACCAGGAGCTAGACATCTTTGCAGCACTCCAATATTTAACATTGTGATATACAAAGAGTAGATTATCAATTAATGTTTATTGAGAGACTGATCATACATCTTTTCCCAAAATGCCAGGGTAAAATAAAATTACAAAATCTAAGATGTCTGTTTTTGTCTGCAGGATATTTTTTACAGGGCTAAAGGGACATTTGATTAAAACAAATTATTTCTGAGAAAGAACATGTCTAAGTTAATGCAAACTTTTAACATTTGGGGCATAATAACAATATATAGATAATATGATAAGTATCTGTAGCATTAGACGAAAACTTTCCTCAGCCTTGGTGAGTCTCTTTGACACCTCATATGTAAAATGGAAGTAATCATATCCCGATCACAGGACTGTTGCACATATACCATATGCTATATGTACAGTGCTGAGCATTATATTGAGGATATAGTAAACATTTAATACATGTTACTGTTGTTAATATACAAAAATGTGGGGTTGCAAACTAGATGTGCTGTAACGTGATTACAGATAAAACATTGACCCAGCCGGGGTCCCTGGACATGACCAGCAAATTACAATTTAACTCCACATGGTAAGATCTGAATGTAAGTCCCTGAACACCACTGCTGTAGGAAGAGCTAAATTATGTATCAGTCACTCATTGTGTCATGTATCTGATTTTTTTTGGCATTTTCTCTCACTTCCCAGGAACGTAACTTTGTTTTTTGTCACCCTCCACAGAGAAGAGAAAGTTTCAACACACTAAACATAACCAATATACGTGCCTGACACAAGACAGAAGGAGAAAAAAAAAGTCTGTCTAATCCAAACAGCTCTGAATTTTCATGTTGGACACATGTCAAATTTTTAATGATGCAAATAATTCATAAAAATTTACAAGCAATCAGAATGGAAAATGAAATTATCATTCTGTGCTTAAAGTGATGAAATTAATGACTACAATTCTGTGAATTTTCTTCGATGATTGATGGAGGGAATAAACTGGATTTTATTGTGCTCATAATGAACTGTCAGAGCCTAAGCTACTGATAGAAAAGGGGAAAAACATTTGTAGGCAAAGGAAAAAAAACACATAGACATCTTTAGAGAGGGATGGAGACTGGAGTTTAGCTGTAAAGTGATGCAGTATCGAATCTGTTCTTCTCCATCATGAGAAGGGAGGTGAAGCTATATGACACCACTCAGAAGGTTGCAGGGTTGTCTTATTATTCCTATAAATCTGAAAGCTATAAGAGGAGAGTTCAAAACATGAATAGTCACAGAATTCTGATTGTCAACAAATTTACTTATCATAATGTTTTACTCTAGGACAAATGCATTTTTCTTCCACTTTCTCATTCTCTTCTCTCATTCCTCTGTGGGTGTGGGTGGGTGTGTATTGGGGGTGTGGTTGACCTTGTATCCATCGGGTACTTGATATTCCCACAATATTGTGAGACAGTCACTGTTAGCCAAAGCGTTCTCTGCTCATGCAGCTGTTTTTCAGAAACTGAGTGTAAACCGGGGTCCCAGACGTGCTTCATGAATCAAGTCTTCTTGACTGTGGCTGACCTTGTGAGACATAATAATCAACATTCATTCAACTCAGGTTCAATTATTAATTTACTGAATGAGATTATCCATGTAAAAGCACTTAACACAGTCGCTGATTCAGAGTAAGCACTCAGCTGATGCTTTGTTACTGTCATCATCATTTGCTGGGAAGTGGGAGAGTCATTAGCATAACTCCCAACTAAGAGTCACTCTTGTAGTAACCCTTTCAAAGCTGCCATTCCAATAGTCACTGTTCCAATGTGCCCATTGATGGCTACAAATTAGAGAAGGTGGTTTGCCTGGGGTCAGCATCTCAATAAAACTGAGTAATTACTCTTTCCTTCCTTCATGACTGGGAGACCAAGACCTGTCTTGCACAGTATTTATGGAATGGAGCCTGAAAATCTCTTTCAATACCACATCCATCATCCCTGCAAACCATTATTCTCAGACCATTCTCTTGTCCCACCTAAACTATTACATGCTGCCAGCCTCTCCTCACTCTGAGGTCCTGTATCCTTGACAAATTTTCATCCTAAATCACATATTGCTAACATTTATTGAGAGCTCTCAATGGTATCTGACACTTTGCTGAGCTCTTAAAGAACATGCACTGTCCCATTTAATTCTCACTGCCCTAAGAGACACATATGTTATGTTCCCATTTACAGACAAGAAAAGAGAGGCTGAGAAGGGTGAGGGTACTTATCCAAGATCACATAGCTAGTTAGTGATCTGCATATATCTGGTTTTGCCACACCTGTATAGACACCAATGCCTGGCACAGGAAACCCAGGTGTGTCTGATTCCAGAGTTCCAGCTTCAAAATATTACATAATAATTACATCATTATGTACACATTATATGCATATACATCATGCACATATCTACACAGTAATCATTATATCACTCCCCTGCCAAAGACACCTTATTCCCTTCAACAGGGATCACAAACGTAAATGTTTACAAGAGCCAGACAACAAATACAGAATACAGATGCCTGAAACTGAGGCAAGGGACAAGATAAAGGAGCTACGCTTTTAGTGTGTAAGCTTCCTGCTTGCCCAGGTGTGATGCCTTTTCAAACATAGTGGCCAGGTCCTTGCCTCTCTGCCTTCAGAAAATCATCATTAAAATGCTCAACAAGGATCATTGACTGAAGTAAGCCACCCTGTGATCCTGCAGTGGATTCATCAGAGTAAAGTGGATAAGAGTGGGACTTGAACATAAGATGGGGACAGGGGGAGGGTCACATATACTTAGCAAACATGTGACTTTTGTCAAATTATTTATTCCTAAGCTTCAGTTCCCTCATCTGTAAAACAGGGCTAACAGCTCTCACCACCCCATAGCATCACTGTGAGGATTAAATAAAATAATATGTGGAAACCTCTTGAAACATTGCCTGGCCCATAGTAAGTGCTCAATAAATAGGAGCTGTTAGGCTGAATTGATGATGATGGTAGTGATTAATAATTAAAATATTATCTTACTCAGCCTTGAGTTTAACAATCTGAGATTTTCCCAGGCCCTCCCCTGTAGCAGGCAGGGAGTTGGAGGTGGGAGCACTCTCTCAGGGTCATGCAGATTGGCAGTCACTCGGGGAGCACAGAGGGGAGTAGGGAAAGAAGCATAGAGAGAGATCTCTCCTCTTCCTTTCTCTGCATCTCCCAGATAAATCCCACCAGTGACTCCACCCACAGCAAATTGAATGGCTGCCCTCCTTTCTTCTAACCAAGCCTCTTAATTGGTCTGATTATTGTCTCCTTCATTTCAGCTATCGGTTTTACCCGATTTCATCAAGACACCAATATATGTCTAGGAGATGATACCCCTGGTCTCAACATCCCTTTGAGATTATCTTGGTTATCTAAAACTGATTATTAGCCAATAAGAAATTCTTTGGTACATTTGTCAAACTCTTTCAGGTTTGTCAAGGTATCCTCCACCAAACACTAACCATTCATGATGCTCTTTGGAAAAAGGGTTCTATAGTCACAAAAATTTGGGAAATATTATGTGCTGTGGCCCCTCTTGAAAATCTGGAATGCACATTAACATAATAAAGGCTCTGAGAAATCCTACATAAAGGAACTGATCTTTGTTCAAGCCAACGTTTTCTGAACTTATGAAGAAGAGTCTTATGAGGACGACCCTTCTTCCTCATAAACACCTGTATTGCCTGCTAACTAAACTGCCAATGCTTAGGTATTACCACCTAGGAACTCTGGAGCTGAGCCACAGAGAGAGATTATCAATCAAATGGATTTAGACACTCAAAAAATACTTTTAGGATGCTGGGCTCCAGAGACAAAGTGAAGAACAGGGGTTTAAGTAGATCGCTTCCTTCTGTTGAGTTTGAAGCTGTGCTTCCACACCCTGTTATCCCTTTAGTACACTAAGAGGGAACAGAGAAGGAGGAGCAGCTTGATGGGGACCCCTCCTCCATCTGGTCTCAGCTCAAGCACCATGTCTTCAGGCAGGATGTCCCCTGATTACCCCATCTAATGTGGTCCTGCCTCAGTCATTCTCTGTGTCCTGACTCTGTTCTACTGTATTCACAACTCCTGTCATTCTTGTTTGTTTATTTGATTATTGTCTGTCTTGCCCAAACACTATGAACTCCTTTCTGAGTGCAAGGATTTTCTGTCTTATTCATTTGAGTCTTGCCAGCGCCCAGAACAGTGCCTTGGGTGCTCACTATGGATTGGAGAGGTGGGTGAATGGATGAATGGATGAACATCAACAAATGGGAACAAAGGAGGCTAAATCAGTAAACTTGCCCCCATTCACTGGAAAACTCAGAGGATACAGCAAGGACAGCTGTCCAATCAATTCCCTCTTGTCTCCCATTCTCTATCACTGCTCCAGCTCTCATCTTGTGCTCCTCACAAGCCCAGAGTAGAAGTCATTTGGTTGGTACCTGGTGACTCATCTCCATTATAGACATAACTATTGACTTCAGCAATGAGTCCCTTACTCAATTAATTTATTTGGATTAAAATAAGTGGAATCAGAAGGTTCAGAAGCCTGTGAGACCCTGGAACTAGCCTGGAAAGTCCCACAAGGGATGAATGGGGAAGGGGCAAGTGGCAACACTCTGGTAGAGTCCATTGAGGTTGGGCAGCTGGAGAGGAAATTCTTAGTGTGCTCCTGTACAGACTAGAGAAAATCCCTATGTGTAGCACCATTTAATATCACTGTGGCAGTTATTAGTTATTCAGTGCTTTGTATGCGTCCAATGCTTTATGTGTTTTATTTCATTTAACCTCATGACACCTTAATATGTGATTTTATTGAACTTCATAAGAACTCTGATAACTTTTCAGGTGAGGAAACTGAAGCCCAAATAATTTAAGTAGCTTCTCATAGTTATATAGCATTTAAGTGGCAAAGAAGAGATTCCCATTTGGAGTATTCTATACATAATGAATGAAAGTCATTCTGACATTGTAACTCTTCAGTAGAACTATTTCAAAATTGATGATTCACTCAAAAATATTTGTTAAGTGTCTGCAGTGTGTCTGACATTGACCTAGACACAGATAGAACAGAGAACAAAGCAAGCAAGAGTCCTTGTCCTCCACAGAGCTTGGCTTCTAGTTGGGGGAGACAGGCAATAAGCAAACAAAAACAGAAATAAAACATATGTCGGGTGGCAATAAGTGATAAGGAGAAAAAAGAGCAGGGAAGAAGAGTAAGGAGTGCTAGGGAAGACTTTGCCTTCCTAGATCATCCTGCGTAAAGTAATATCCCCAGCACTCCTGGAACAAGCTGAGTGATTCATGCAGGGAGCTGAGGGAAGAGCAGATTGTGCGTAGGGAACAGTAAGTATGAAGATCCTGAATGGAAAGCATGCTTGGCATTTTTGAAGAACAGCTATAACAGATTGATGTAGGTGAAGCTAAATGAACCAGAATGAGAGGGGTAGGAGATAAGGTCAGAGACAGTGAAGGTTCAACTCATCAAAGGCCTTGTAGGCCATGGTGAAAACACTGTCATTCATTCTGAGTGAAAAGAATGCATTGAGGGGTTTGAACAGAAAAGTAGTGAGAGCTGACTTACATTTTAAAGGATTACTCTGGCTTCTGGGGACTGAGGAAAACAGGGCAAATGTAGAAAAGCAAGTTAGAAGGCCATTGCAATAAATCAGGGAGGAAATGATGGAAAGTTGGTCCAGGGTGGAATGAGTGTAAGTGGTGGGAAGTGGTCAGATTCTACCTACATTTTGAAGATCAGACCAACAGGTTTGCTGAGGCATTAGGTGTGGGATGTAGGCAACAAAACGGAGTCCTGGATGACTCTACACTTTGGGCCTAAGCAACTGGAAGGATGGAGCTGCCAACTGCTGACCTGAGGAAGCCTTCAGAAAAGCCAGTGTAGGTTTGGGATGGGGAAGATCAGAAGCCGAGTGTTATGTGGGGTGCCTATGAGACAGTGGGGTGGTCAGTGCTGACCAGGATTTCTCAGCTTCAGTGCTACTGACATTTTGGGCTGGATAATTATTTGCTGTGGGGACTGCCCTGTAGGATGTTTAGCAGTATCCCCAGCCTCCACTCACTAGATGCCAGTAGTAGTCCTACTCTCTCCCCCACACCCCTGTGTGACAGCCGAAAAATGAGTCTCTAGACACTGCAAATGTATTCTGGAGAGCAAAATCAGCCCCCCACACCCCCCTCCCAATTAAGAACCATTGGTGTAGACAGAAAAGAAGAGGCCTAAGGTCGGCTAAGTGTGCTAAGGTTTAGAGAGGAGATGAGGAAAATCAGCAAAGGGGACTGAGGAGGCCTGGCTAGTGAGACAGGGGAGAGCCAGAAGAGGGGGTCTCACACTCCCCTTGCTATTCAAATGATTCTAAGTAGTTATCTTGATAAAGACCTCTACAAGCAAGTCCATCATGGAGCATAGAATTTAATGGTAAGCTGATTATGACTGATACTGAACAACCCAGCTGTACCAAAGAAAGGTGTTTTTAAGTTTAGTTATGGCCTTCCTCAACAAAATCTCTGGCCAGGCATGGTGGCTCATGCCTGTAATCCTAACACTTTGGGAGGCCGAGGTGGGTGGATCACTTGAGGTCAGGAGTTCAACACCAGCCTGGCCAACCCGGTGAAACCCTGTCTCTAGTAAAAATACAAAAATGATCCAGGCCTGTTGGTGGGTGCCTGTAATCCCAGCTACTGGGAAGGCTGAGGCAGGAGAATTTCTTGAACCTGGGAAGCGAAGGTTGCAGTGAGCTGAGATTGTGCCACTGTACTCCAGCTGGGGTGACAGAGTAAGACTCCAAAAAGGAAGAAAGAAAGAAAAGAAAGAAAAGAAAAGGAAGAAAAAGAAAAGAAAGAAAGAAGGGAAAGGAAAGGAAAAGAAAGGAAGGAAAAAAAGAAAAGGCTCCAAATTCAACCACTTGGGGTTTTTTGTTTTTGTTTGTTTTTTGTTGTTTTTTTTTCTGGTGTGTTTTTGTTTGTTTTTCCAGAAAGGGTCTCACTCTGTCACCCAGGCTGAAATGCAGTGGCTCAGTCTTGACTCTCTACAGCCTCGACCCCCTGGGCTCAAGCGATTCTCCCACCTCAGCTCCCCAAGTAGTTGGGACTATAGGCACGGACCACCACTCCCGGCTAATTTTTAGTATTTTTTGTAGAGATTGGATTTCACCATGCCCAGGCTGTTCTCTTAACTCCTGAGCTCAAGGGATCCACCTGCCTCAGCCTCCCAAAGTTCTAGGATTACAGGTGTGAGCCACTGTACCCAGCCCCTCTACTTGGGTTTTTAAAGGGCCTTTTAAACTTCTGTCACTTCTAGGACATTGTTAATAAAAGTAGCTACATTTATTCATTCAAGCCATACCATGTGTTCATGTGTTAATGCTTTGCCTGAATTATCTAATTCGATCTTTACTAACAACCATGAGGTAGGTGCTTTGCTTATTCCTATTGTACAGATGAGGAAACTGATGCTCAGAGAGGTTATATCTCCTGGCCACAATCACCCAGCTCCTAGTAAGTGAAACCAAGACTCAAATGAGGCCATCTAACTACAAAGTCCACATTTATAACCACAGCATCTCTAGATTTCCCCACTGGCTATGCCTGGCTTTACTCTCTGCCACTTAATTTTCCAAAGTCCTGAGCCTCACTCAATGTGGTGGAAACCTTAAAAGGTAAAACAGAGCACCTGACAAACAGAGCAGTGGGAATGCAGAGGTACCTAGAAGCTGGCAGGCTCCACATGGACTTAACTGTATACCGTGAATCTATCTCTAACATGAGAAAGGAGAGAGGAGGATGCAGGAAAGAAGGAAGCAGGCAGGCTGGAAGTGTCACAAAAAAGAAAAAAAAAAAGAGGGTCCACTGAAAAAAGATCAACTAACATTTGTAAGAACCTTAGAAGCATTAAGGTTCATAACTTGCTGCTTTGTCTACCCCAGGGGTTAAAGAAAGCAAGTTTTGTTATTGTCAAATGCATTGAAAGAAAAGTTCCAGGGGTGAGCGATTGGTTCTTTTATTGGGTATTTCAGACAGTCTTGGTTGAACCTACCCTCGCTTACGTCTATGTCTCCTTGGGACTGAGATAAAGGAGAGTATGAATACCTTTTAGGAGAAAATGCATGGCAGAAATATTTGCTCTCTTACTTTACCTGGGCAAAGGACATGAAGATAATTTTTGTTGGAAGGAGGCGTACAAGTTGGCATTCAAGGAAATTAAAGTTAATTCTGGCCCTTATCAGTTGGTAAGCCTTCAAATTTATTATTTCAGAGGAAAAATTGAGTACTGGTCATCAAATTTTAGTTATGTCTGGGATTAAGACATTTGGCCTGTGGGGCCCAAATGCTTTTCAAGAGCTTAGGAAGCTACATTTTAAAAGGAACTGTATAAACTCCAAAATATATAAAGATAACTATAAAATCAAAAATCATATTTAATTATACGTCTTTTAAATTTAACCTATATCAGCTAGTTAATTACAACTCAATTCAACTTTCAGCTGGGTGCAGTGGCTCATGCCTGTAATCCCAGCACTTTGGGAGGCCGAGGTGGGTGAATCACTTGAGCCCAGGAGTTTGCACCCTGGGCAACATGGCAAAACCCCATGTCTACTATAAATACAAAAATTCGCCTGGCATGGTGGCACATGCCTGTGGTCCCAGCTACTCAGGAGTTTGAGGTGAGAGGATCACGTGAGCCCGGGAGGTGGAGGTTGACGTGAGCCGAGATTGTGCCAATATGCTCCAATATGGGTGACACAGCAAGATCCTGTCTCAAAAAAAAAAAAAGCAACAACAACAAACAACTTTCATACAGTTTTTTGGTATTTTTTTTTCAAAGATAGTTTTTAGTATGTTTGTTATTTTGTGGGTGTGGGGTCCCACAGTAAGAGTGACTAGGCCTTGTGGTGAACTTAACATAGCCCCAGTGGTCAGTGTAAGGAGCCCCAGATGCAACTGGGAACTCAGGTAGTATTTTCACTCTGCTGTGATAGTGTCAATATACCAGGGTCCAGTTATTTCTCTACAACTGAGATTCATCACTTTTCAAGAACAACTCTCTGGCTCCAGGTTGAGCCTATGTCATGCACTTGGCCTCCAGAGCCATTTCCCCAATTCTTTAAGACAACACCTCAGTCCTTACTGAAGGGCATTTAGCCAGCTGGCCTCATTCATCATTTCCTTTTGAGATTCCTGGCATTCATGGCCACTCCTAGTGGTTTCTCATAAGTGTTGAAAAGAGAAAATAAAGACCAAACCCACAAGCCAGTCCCTGGGGAAAGAGACAAGCATGGCTCACAGTGTCCTCAGGGGTCCCCTTCAGTAGGATGATGGGAACCCAGCCCATGAAAGCAGCCAACCCCCGCCCCAATGCAAACCAACAACAGCTTCCGTAATCCCCTCTATCAAAGGCAACCGGGAGGTCTCACGGGATGGGGCTGGCTGCTTGGAGGGCAGCCAAAGCCCTGAATGGCTATCCCTGAGCACCCCTAAGCGCTGCTTCTGTGTACCCACCACAATTTGGGTCCCCATTCAGAGACACAAATGTTGGGGACACTCAAGTGCTACTGAGGTTGGCTTTGTTGTCATTGCTTCCATGTGGGAGGCTCGATCGGGAGTGCCTTTGATGTGGTTAGGGCTTTTCCTGGGAGCACTTGAGCGTTCGTGATTTGAGAGACATTGGCTGCCTGCCTTAGCCCTGGGAGGTGTTAACACACTTGCTTATTCGGGAACCTAGACAGTGCCTGTGGCAGGCTTGGCCAGCATAGCCAGGCCTCAGTGCAGCTCTCACACCGTGGGTAGATCCTGCTTAATTTGACACTGGCAAAACAGAGCTGTCATTTTCAAGTCACTAAAGTCATTAGGCAGGTGTTTATTGAGTGACTGCCATGGACTTTATATAATATGCAAGGGCTATAAAATATCTCTGGGCACTGCATAATGTGATATTCTAACTAAGGACTGCAGACAGACCAACAGAACATAGAGTAGAAACAGGATGATGTGATTAACAGATAAAGAGGTTGTATCAGTTCACTGTTGCTGTGTAACAAACCACCCCGAAACTCAGTGGCTTAAAGCCATAGTCATTTATTCTCATTTGTCATCTGAAAATCAGTTGAAGGTTGGCTGATCCATGCCAGGCTCAGCTGAATGGCTCTGCTTTCAGTTCTGGATCTGGCTGGCCTTCGATTCTCACTGTGGGTTTGGCTTAGGTCTACTCCACATAGTTCATTCTGGGATCCAGGCTGAAAGGATAGCAGCTACCTGGAGGAGGCTTTGCTCACATTGGTGACAAAGACACAGGAGAAAAAGCTCAACCACTCAAGCACCATTTTAAGCCTGTGCTTGCATCACATTTGCCAATGCCCCGTTGGCCGAAGAAAGTCACATGGGTAATTTTAAAGTCAAGCTGCAAGGATGTATAGTCTGCCTAGGAGACTGTCTTGGTCTATTTTCTGGTGTTTATTACAGAATACCTGAAACTGGATAATTTATAAAGAAAAGGAATTTATTTCTTACAGTCATGGAGGCTGAGAAGTCCAAGGTCAAGGGGCTGAATCTGGTGAGGGACTTTTGCTGGTGGGGACTCTCTGCAGAGTCCTAAGGTGGCACAAGTCATCCCATGGCAAAAGGGCTGAGCATGCTAGGTCAGGTCTCTTTTCCTCTTTTTATAAAGCCACAAGTCTCAGTTCTTTGATAACCCATTAATCTGTTAACCCATTAATCCATAAATAGATTAATCTATTGATGTGGGCAGAGTCCTCATGACCCAATCACCTCTTAAAAGCCCCACTCCTCAATACTGTCATATTGGAGATTACATTTTACAATGTGTTTTTGAAGGGACAATATTCAAACCATAGCAGAGGCCAAAAGGAGTAATCGCATGAACAAATCCAACATCAAGTGGGCAGGAGGAAGACTCCTCTCTTAGAGAGGGCAGGAGAGTGTGAATCCCATTGAACAATAATCTCATCTATCCCCTGGGGTCAGGAAGGGCCAGTGAAGGAAGATAAGAGGATTGGGAGTGAGAGGAAGTGTTCCAGGCACTCAGAGAAGGAAGTCAGAAAAATGAGAACAAGTCCTTTTGCCATAGCTGCCAAAAAAAAATCAGACCCAAATTCAAGCCCCGATTTTATGTTTCTCAGACTGAGAAAACACAAAAGCCATTGCTCAGATGGTTTGGAAAACATTTGCAAGGTCAGCTCATTTCATGATGTTTGATTCCAGTACTGGCACTTGGATTACTTGTGCATCTTTGAGATGTCACTGAATAATTATCACCACACTTTTAGGATTTATTGAGAATCAGGCTAGGACGTATTTCCTCACCTCACAAAAGAAAGCTAGGAGAAAAGCACTATAGACATCTCCATTTTACAAGTAAGAAAATAGAGTCTGCAGGAGAGTCAGCTGTTCAGCATCACTCAGGTAGAAAGTGGCACAGCTGGATGTAGAAGCTAGGCTGCCAGATTCCAGAGCCTGCACTCTTAATCCTGTGCTGCCCAGATAACGCTGACTGCTTTGTATTAAGAACTTACATTCTCCCACTTAATTGGGAGCAAGGCAGATTAGAAACCCTATAAGGTAGATGCTATTCATGTGACCACTTTACAGACATGAAGACTGAAACCTGAGAGGCTAATAAATGTGTCTGAGATCATAAAGCTGTTAGATGATAGATATAGAAGAGTCTTACTCCAAAATTCCTCCCCACTGCACCAGCTTCTTCATTTATAAATGAGGGGCATAGCCAAAGTTGTCTTCAGGACTTCTTCAGCTCAGAGGCTGTTGTTCTGTCTCTCCCAGTTTTTTTTTTTTTGTTTTTCCCCTCATTTGGCTCCTGTTTTCAGAGAAGCTGGTTGGAATGCAAAGGGGTGTGCAATGCATTTTACAATTCCCCTGGCCCAAGCCTGTCAGTGGCTTTTGCCTAGCTGGCTGTAGTGTAGGTTTTGTAAACTTTTGAGTCTTCTGGAGCCTGTAAGGTGTCTTAAGGCAGATTCAAGTTCCAAAGACACAATTAGCCAGAGTCTCCCAGTTATTTATGGGAACCACAGTTGCAACCATAACAAACAGCTCAGGTTACAAAAGTAATTATAGGGAAACACCCAGTGTTGGAAATTAAATAGGAGTTGGTTAGCAGAATTGCTGAGAGGAGGGAATAAATGAATGCTTTCCCTATAACTTCATAGGAGCTCCTTTTTATGTCTGCCATGCGGTGAGCAGTTCATTTTCTCTAAAGATACTCAGGAACTAAGAATAAACAGATGTCTAGAAGAAGGCAGCTGGGTGATGGAGATGGGGCAGAAGAGCCTTAGACTGGGAAGACAGAGCCAACATTTCGAAGGACAAAAATCTCACCTCCTTTTACAACAAAGGGGGAGATCCTTGGGATGCCCCATGAGCTCCATTTCAGAGAAGGCAACACTGACATTCAAATCAGGTGATCTCTCTAATTTAGCCTTTGACAGTTCCTCACTATGCCATCCTGTTGCTTAGCTCCAACCTTGGAAAATGTAGACTTTACTGTTGCCCAACTCTGTATTTTCTTATGAGTCAACCTTCAATGAATAATGCAATCTAAGCTTTCACAGCTGAATAGGATTTCAAAATAATACAGGCTCAGCCGGACTTCCAGTCCCCAGTCCTGCATGTGAAGAGCTTGGAAGTCATTGTTCCTGTCCTCACCACAAGAAAAACGCTGAACAAACTGAAAATCAGCATCTCTTCTTAGATCCATCAGAAATGAGGTTACAGGGCAAACCACTGCCCCCAAAATTGGAGAGACAGGCAGGCAGATCCAGAGAATCACACCTTACTGGAGCAGAAGCCCAAGAGCAGAAATGGCCACTGAAGTCAGTGCAGGGTTTCTTTTACTCAGTGCATCAACAAAAATTTGCTTTCAATAAAAATTGGAAATCATACTTGAAAAAACGTATAGCAGGCCGGGTGAGGTGGCTCACACCTGTAATCCCAGCACTTTGGGAGGCTGAGGCGGGCTGATCACGAGGTCAGGAGATCGAGACCATCCTGGCTAACACAGTGAAACCCCGTCTCCACTAAAAATAAAAAAAAAAAATTAGCCGGGCGTGGTGGTGAGTGCCTGTAGTCCCAGATACTCAGGAAGCTGAGGCAGGAGAATGGCATGAACCCGGGAGGTGGAGCTTGCAGTGAGCCGAGATCACGCCACTGCACTCCAGCCTGGGTGACAGAGCGAGACTCTGTCTCAAAAAAAAAACACAGCATACAGATAGCAAGCATCAGAACCAGATTCAGATACGGCAGAGATGTTGGAATTATCAGACCAAGAATGTATAAAAACTATGATCAATATGCTTAGAGTTCTAATGGAAAAAGTGCAAGAAGAGGTGGGTAATATAAGCAAAGAGATGGAAGCTCTAAGAAAGAATCAAAAGGAAATGCTAAAAATCAAATACCAGGCTCTTGGTTTTAGGACAGAAAAAAAATCAGCCCATTATACAGGTATGCAAACAGACTCTGCCAATGACTTGGCCAAGGTTACACAGTTAGTGAGAAAATAAGCACTGAGATGCAGGTCTTCTATATGTGCATAAAGTGTGGTATACATTATTCCCTCCAGCCTTGATTCGATAGGCATTTATTGAAAGTTTCCTCTGTACTGAGCACTGAGCTAAACAACTGGAATATAACAATAAGTAAGATGGACTTGGTCTCTGTCCTTATGAAGTTTATAGCATGGAATTTTCCTCACTTCCTCTTGAACCATACCAAATAATGTCCATGGATAATCAAGCATTGTTAAATTTCATTTTCAACTTGAATTTCATCTCCACACATTTGTGTGTGTGGAGGAACTCAGAGTTTCTTGAAATCATTTTTTCAGCAAATGCCTATTGAGTGTGCTCATGTGCTTTGCACTGTGCTAGAAGCCAGGGGCATAGAACCCTGTCCTGTGAGTTTACATTCTGGCCAGAGACAAAGCAGCCAACAAAACAGATAAAGGAGTGCATCGTACAGGTGACAATTGCTTCGTGGTGAAGTTTTCATGTTCCACCCTATTTAAATATTGCCCCCGCCTGCTTCCTGGTACTTCCAAATGCCATTTTCTGCTTTCTTTTTCTCCATAGCAAAAATCAGATTTGTGATATACGTAGGGGATTTGAAAGATCCGGTGACAAGACGGACATGTGGCAAAGAGAGGCAAATAAGAATGATGTCTGGGTGGCTGGCAGTTCCTTTAACTAAGCCGGGGAAGCCTTAGAGGAACAGATGTGAGGGAGAAGAGATCAAGCTGAGGTTTGGACACATTTGATCTCAGACTCCTGGAGAGGAGACGTTCCAGTGGAAATGTCAAGGAGGCAAACCAAAGCCTTCATCTCTGCCTCCCAGACAGCCCAATTTCTACAAAGCAAACGCCTCACTTATGTAGATGAGAGGTAGCTTAGCTTTTCTAGTACACTAAAGAACCCAAAGCCCAGCCTATCAATTAGTTTGCATGAGACACACTGCGATGGCACAATTGATTCCCTTGGAGTGGAATATCATGCAGTCCACCTCAAAGGCAGGCCACAAGATTTTAATGCAGCTGTCTCCAGGCAATTATTAACTTTCCTTCTTAGCAACAGGACCACGGCACTTTCATTCCTTGAAATGACACTTCTCTCTTGTTAAAGCCCACAGTTAATTTTATGAACCGCACCAATTTAACACCCAGTTCACATGAGCCGTATACCTTGAATAAATGCAAATCCAGTCTCCGAGACATGAATTATGGCCTTATGCTGAGCATCACCATGGCAACTAATGACATCCCCCCACCCCCGACCCCAGCACCAACCTGCACAAAATCCAATTCTCCAAGGGTCCTTATTTGCCTAACGTAGATGTGTTCTTGGCTTACTCACATATGCATTCGTAAATATCACTCTGTTGTCAAAGGTTTGCAGTGGATGTTTACTGTCATTTTGGGAGGTATATTCCCTATGTGGCAAATGTTGTTTTTTGTTCATGGGGGGAAAAATTCTAATGAAAATTACTGTGTGTATTTGATTAGCAACATTTGTTGATAACATATGGTCTGAGGAGGCTTCCGCAAATAAGAGGCTTTAAATAGTAAACAGAGATGCGACTGTGATCAAGCAGATGCTCCCCAAACACAGAGAACAAGGTTGTTTTACCCATAGATTTTTCTGAGCTCCACTCTCCCAAAAGCATATTCTTCTCCCTCATTTTCTCCCCCAGATCAAAGTGTTCACTTTCAAAGTGGTGGTACTGTGGAACAGGTTTGGAGAAATAATGTGCTGTGACTTTAAAAGTCATCCCCATCCCCCTAAATATGAATCATCTGCTACTCATGTTTATTATTTGATATTAATAATGATGTAGTGTGACTAAATGAGTCAGCCAGCTCAAGTGGATCAGGAAGCAGCATTTGGGCACCACGTGTCTGAAATGCTATGATACACAAGCCCCAATTTTCTAATAAACTAAGAGTGCTAGAAAGAGCTCCATGAAGAATTTAGAGCAGCAAATTGGATCCCCATGGGGTCAGCTGTCTTTGTGAGTGCATGTTTATAGTTCGTCTTTGTGGGTATGCCCAGATGAGCATTCTGCTAATCTGCTAATGAAAATAAAAGTATTTCCATTAGGCCAAGTCAGCAATTTAACTGTTTGTAACAGAGATCGGCAAACTTTTTCTATAAAGGACCAGAAAGTAAAAATTTTCGGTTTGTTGGCCCTATATTCTCTGTCATAACTACTCAATTCTGCCATTGCTGCACAAAAGAAGCCATAGACAAAACAAAAATGAGTAAGCTAACTATGTTCTAATAAAACGTTATTGATGGGCATCAAAATTTGAATTTCATATAATATTCATGTGTTGCAAATATTCCTTTGATTATTTTCAGCCATTTGAAAATACAAAGCCCTTATTAGCTTATGAGCCATACATAAGCAGACCCATACCCATGGCCATAGTTTAACAACCCCTGGTCTATAATCCTAAAATGAAGACTTACATTTTTTAGTGCTTTCTATGTGCCACGTATTGAGGTAAACACCACATATCCAATAGCTTATGTCCTACATATCCTTCCGTCAAGGACTCCATCCTCTGGGTCAGTTCTATTTTTTTAAGAGACTGGGTATCACTATGTTGCCCAGGCTGGCCTCATACTCCTGAGCTCAAGCAATCCACCCACCTCAACCTCCTGAGTAGCTGGGACTACAGGTGCAGACCACTATTCCCATCTGGCTATATTTATAATAAAACTAAATATTCTTATCCCCAATTTATAGATGTGAAAGCTGAGACACTCTCACACGTTATAAGTGTTATTTCTGCACGGGGCATCTCCCCCAAAATAATGTAATATCCATGGGGGCAAAACTTACATCTCACTCACCTTTGGATCCATAGCAGTGCCTATCATAGTGATTTGCACACAGTAGACATTCAGGAAGTGTTTCCTAAATGGAGCACTATTTGGAGATAGAATCCCTAAGCAGTGAAAGTTAGAGCCTCATCTGATGCCAATATGGCGCTTTTAGATTAGTCAGTTACACTGTTCATCTATTTATTTGCCACCCTCTTACAGGAAGTATTTGGTTTGGAATAGACACACATGTCCCAATACACATTCCTTCATCTTTGGAGGTGCCTCTATGGGTGATGGCATTTCTACAGTCTCTGCTTATGTGCTTGTGGCTGAAAAGACCAAAAGTAATAATAGCAGCTTATTATATAGCTTGGTGGCACTTTCCATCACTATACCGTTGGCAGCCACATTGCTGCCAGCCCTTGGAGAGCCATTCCTCAGCCTTCATGGATTGACGCCTTGCTCCCAAGAGAGCTGTTGCATGCTGAGTATCCTCTGCATGCTGCCAGCTGCTGTGTGCACTTCAGAGAGTTTGTCTGCTCAAAAAAAAAAAAAAGAAAGAAATCAACTCCTCAAAGAGATAAAAGCCCTCAGTTGAAAGGGGCAGTCACACCTTTGGTTATTTCATGTGTCTCACCTCTCTACAATCCCCTGAATTTAGTGACATGGTTATTCTGAATTTGTTGCTTTCCTAGTTACTAAGCAAATATTTACTGTGTTCCAGGCCCTGTGTTGGGTGCCATGTATATCATTATATATCGTACATTATATATATTATATATATAATATATTGTATATTATATATAATATGGTATATATAATATATATATATTATATATTATTATATATTATATATATTATATATATATAATATATTATATATATAATATATAATATATTATTTATTATATATTATATATATTATATATAATATATATATTATATATACAATATATATAATAGATTATATATATTATATATACTATATATATTATATATTATATAATATATATATTATAATATTATATAATATTGTATATATAATATATATTATATTATATATTATATATTATATTTATTATATTATATATTATATATAATATAATAAATATATAATATATTTATATAATTTGTATAATTTATATAATTATATAATTTATATTATATATAATATATATAATATATATGTAATATATATATAATATATATAAAATATATATATAATAAAAGAAACCACAGTAAAGCACTCTCATTTAATGCATGGGCTTTGAGGTCAGAAACTCTGAGTTTGAAGCCCAATTCTGTGATTTGTCAGAAATATTAATTGAGATAATTCATTAGAAGCACTAAGCCCAGGGCCTGGCAAATCATAAGTACTCAATAATTGGTGGCTATTTTTAACGTTTATGTAAGCTAGTCATACAGTGTGAGTACAGTGGAGGAAAGGATGGGATCACAGAATAGGGACACCTAACCCATTTTACATTATCTACTTCATCTTCAGAGAGAAGTTAGTCAGTTAACCTTTCCAACTTCTGCTTGCAATAAATATTATCCACCTCTGGTCTTTTCAAATCAAAATGCAATTGTATTTCAGTTCTGGGACACTTTAAAGAGGTATTCATCTTAATAGCCACAATCAGTTGCACAGCAAGGGCAAAGAAATGAGCAGAGAACAAAATAGATTCATTTTTGGGTGTGTGGCCCCACCAAAAGGCCAAGGTTTTTGATGCTTCCTCCACTGGCTAATTTGTCTGTCTGGGATATAGTGCTCTGTGAAGTATATTGAACACGTGAAATAAATTCAAAGTAAAAAGCCAGAGTGGCCCAACGTCCCACCAGTCTTGAAACAGAACTTCCCTTTTCAGTTACAGAGGTAACTCATGTTGATTTAATCAAGACATAAAGCAGTGAATGATGGAATGAGCAAGGGAGGCAACATGGTGGCCTGATTAGGAGTTTGAATTCTGAGGTCACTAACTGCCATTTACTCCTTGTGTGTGACCCTGAACATATTACCCAGCCTCTCTGTGACTCATTTATAACTCTGGAGGTGATAATTGTAGGCATTTCACAGGATGTCCAAGAGGCTTTCAAATGATCAAATGCATGTATGGCTGTGTCCCACTTTTGAGATAGGAATTTGTGCCTAGCACATAGTAATCTGAATAACTATTAGCTATTTCTATTACAAATATAGCCAGATCTCTCCGTGGCTACAAAAGGACAAAGAATGAATATTTTTCATGACATTTTTTCCTACAGAGGAAAGGAAGATAAGGAAGGGTGCAAATATTTAAACCTTCTTGATTCTACTAAGAGTAGGAAGCATTGACAAAAAAAGGCCAGAATTCCCACAGAATCCAATGACTGTGGCTAAGACCAAAAGTTTCATGTCAACAGCCAGTGTCAGCCAACATCCACTTCTCAGTCCAGGCTAACCAGACTGGGGTGACATTGGATCAGAGCCAGCTTGAGGGGCATGTGACCTGTATAGCTGCACATCTTCTACATTCAGAAGGGGCCCCCATTTGATTTAATGCTCTTTTGTTGCCATCTCGAAATTCTTAATAATTTTATCTTCGAGCTTGTGTTTGTGACATCCCATGGAACGATGGACTGTGGATTTGAGGAGAGGAAATACTCAAGAAAATGAAAATGCTTTATATTTTAGTACCTTGAATGGCACTTTTTGTGTGTGTTTTGTTTTGGAGTTTTGGAGTTTGCTGTTTTTTTAACAAGGAGATCTGCATTTTTTATTTGCACTGGGCCCTGAAAATTGCACAGCCAGTCCTGATTAGATGAGAGAACTTCTCTTTTGGCCTGCTTCACTGGACCAGGTTACCATTTTGAAATCTGATAGTTAAATAGTTAAACTGGGATTCATTAGTGACCTGACAGCTTGAGGTGAGCCAAGGGTCATGGTGGGAAGCACAGCTGCAGGCCTGGTGGAAGGGAAAAGAAACTCTGTGTCCAATAGGATGGGGGTTGTCAGGGCAGCCTCCAGCGGCCTGAATTCCGTCCAGCTGATGGGTTCTCGGAAGCACTGACTGCCCCACAGTCAGACTCTTGTTACACGCCTTATGAGCTGAGCATCTTTGGGTAGCAGCAGGGGTTCAGGCATCCTGGGTTGGTACCCACTGAACATGCCAAGAAATCCATCCACACTGAGGACAGTAGCATGGAAACATACAGTGGGGTATCTCCAGGACACTGGGCTCAAGTTCTCTTTGTGGCTTAGTGTTAAAGCTTCTCATTTCAGAACTCTTTTGGTTTCCAGCAGAAATCTTTCTCTTCCCCATGACCAAGTATAATGAATGCCCAAAGAGGTATCTTTTATTTTATTTTTATTTATTTTCTTTTAGAGACAAGGTCTCGCTCTGTCACCCAAGCTGGAGTACAGTGGCGTGATCATAGCTCACAGTAACCTCAAAGTCCTGGGCTCAAAGTGATCTTTAGGCCTTGGCCTCCCAAGTAGCTAGGACTTCAGGCATGCACCACCATATGCAGCTAATTATTTTACTTTGTTTTTTGTAGAAAAAATAAAAAGCCTGGGTCTTTCTATGTTGCCCAGGCTACTCTCAAATTCCTGGCCTCCAAAAGCACTAGGATTACAGGAGTGAGGCACCACACCCAGCCATGCAAAGAGATTAATAGTACAATTAATCATAAGTAAATTAATGGTCACATTTTTTCCAGTGTTGCTAATCACTAATAATGCTTATTACTGATAATTTTTACAATAATAACAGCAACAGCTTTAAAATGAGATTTTGGGTTCTGGTCCAGCTTGGTCATAATTCCCTGGAATAAAATAGGCAAGATCTTTGAGTGTCTCTTCAGTTTTCTCATCTGTGAAATGGCAATGATAATAGCTATTTTACCATTCATCTGTGTAGTAGAAAGGGCAGTGTCAATCTTGCTTCCTTTACACAGGGTCAGTTACTTAGTAAGTGCTTGATAAATATGTGTTGGGTAGAAGCCACAAAGGATACAAAAGTACAGCAAGATAAGGGGACTGATTTCTAGTGTTCTCTAGTACTACAGGGTGAATATAGTTAACAATAATTAATAGCATATTTTCAAATAGCTAGAGAGGATTTTGAATGTTTCCAACACATACAAAAAATGATAAATATTTGAGGTGATGGATATGCTAATTACTCTGACTTGATTATTACACATTGTATACATGTAGCAAAATAGCACTCTGGGCCAGGTGTGGTGGCTCATGCCTGTAATCCTAGCACTTTGGGAGGCCAAGGTGGGTGGATCACTTGAGGTCAGGAGTTCGCAACCAGCCTGGCTAACATGGTGAAACCCCGTCTCTACTAAAAATACAAAAAAATTAGCTGGGCACGGTGGCGGGCACCTGTAATCCCAGCTACTTGGGAGGCTGAGGCAGGAGAATCACTTGTACCCGGGAGGCAGAGGTTGCAGTGAGCCAAGATCATGCCACTGCACTCCAGCCTGGGCAACAGAACGACACTCTGTCAAAAAAAAAAAAAAATAGCACTCTGTACCCCATTGTATTAGGGTTCTCCAGAGGGACAAAACTAATAGGATATGTGTGTGTGTGTGTGTGTGTGTGTGTGTGTGTGTGTGTGTGTGTGTGTGTGTGTATACATATATATAAAAACGGGAGTTAATTAAGTATTAACTTACACCATCACAAGGTCCCACAATAGGCTGTCTGCAAGCTGAGGAGCAAGAAGAGCCAGTCTGAGTCCCAAAACTAAAGAACTTGGAGTCCAATGTTTGAGGGCAAGAAGCATCCAGCATGGGAGAAAGATATAGGCTGCTGGAAGGCTAAGCCAGTCTCTCCTCTTCACGTTTTTCTGCCTGCTTTATATTCGCTGGAAGCTGCTTAGATTGTGTCCACCAGATTAAGGGTGGATCTGCCTTTGCCAGCCCACTGACTCAAATGTTAATCTCTTTTGGCAACACCCACACAAACACACCCAGGATTAGTACTTTGTATCCTTCAATCCAATCAAGTTGACACTCAGTATTAACCATCATAGCTATAAATATGTACAATTATTACATGTCATCTAATCATTAAATAAATAAATATAAATAGATAAGCAATAATCACTATTACTAGAATACATCTCCTTACCTTGGGAAGGGAAAGTAGCCAAAATTTGTTGGGTTCTCAACCTGTTCCAAACTTGCAGCTGTTTGTTCTTTACAACTAGTCTGTGAAATTAGCTTATTTTATAGCTGAGGAAATTGACAGGGACATTAATTCCTTGCCCCAAATTTCATAGTTTGCAAGTGACTAAGCCAGAATTTGAACTAAAGATATCTGGTTCAAAACCCTTGCCATTGCTAAGACAAAGATTTCCCTATCTCGGGGTCTTGCTGCAGTTGCTGACAACCACTTAGGAGCTTCTATCTGTACCTCAAACGTTTTGCTAATGTGTTTGAAACCTGTCACTTTTTGTCCTATCTCATGGCCTCCTCCATGTCCTCTCTGTCTCTACTATGACTGTTGTGCTTTCTCAGTGGTTTCATGCACTGAGATCCCCATGGATCTGGTTTCCCCTCATCTCAATTTTTCTGGTCTTCTTTTGTCAACTCTCACTAGATTCCCTGTGTCTTTGAGTTAATAGGATTTATTTGATTGAAGGCAACACTGAGACTAGGATGCAGGTTTCCATAATTTACAAAAGAAGAATGCAAGCAGCCAACAAACAGGGTAAAATGTTCAAGCCCACTAGTAGTCAAGAAAATATCCATGAAAACAACAATGATAAAATAGGCCAGAAGAAAAAGTGAATAGTGATACTCAGAACAGGCAAGAAGGAAGCCCTGTGATTTGAACTCTCGTTCCCAAATGGTGGCAGGATAGTCACTGCCTTTGTGGAAAGCATTTTGGGAATAGGCATCTCAAGCCTTGAAAGTGTGCATTGAGGAACACAGCTCCTGCAACAGTGTAAGATCTCTAAATTTTTGTTGATGGAAGAAGTGATCTCCCAGCTAGGTCTCTATCCCAAGGAAACAATCAGAGATGAAATCAAAAATTAATATCTAACTCCTAGCTACTCAGGAGACTGAGGTGGAAGGATTGCTTGAGCCCGGGAGTTTGAGACCAGCTTGGACAACAGAGTCAGACCCCCACCTCAAAAAACAAAACAAAACAAAATTAATGTTCAATTCTATTTCAATAATAGAACAATGGCTAAATAAATTATGGTACATATAGAAAGTGTAATATTATAGAATCATTAAAAATCATAATGAGGGCCGGGCGCGGTGGCTCACGCCTGTAATCCCAGCACTTTGGGAGGCCGAGGCGGGCGGATCACGAGGTCAGGAGATCGAGACCATCCCGGCTAAAACGGTGAAACCGCGTCTCTACTAAAAATACAAAAAATTAGCCGGGCATAGTGGCGGGCGCCTGTAGTCCCAGCTACTTGGGAGGCTGAGGCAGGAGAATGGCGTGAACCCGGGAGGCGGAGCTTGCAGTGAGCCGAGATCCCGCCACTGCACTCCAGCCTGGGCGACAGAGCGAGACTCTGTCTCAAAAAATAAATAAATAAATAAAAAAAATAAAAAAAATAAATAAAAAAAATAAAAAAAATCATAATGAGCATTTTAAAGTATGGAAGTTGGTCATTGTATAAAGTAAAATGAAAAAGTTCTCTAAATGAAATTGTATCTATGCTGTTTTCTAGTGCTGTAAAAGACATTATATTTGGCATCTTTCATTTATTCAACAAATATTTGTTAAGTTCCTTCTATATGTCTAGCACTGTGCTAAGTTCTGGGTATGCAACATAAAAACACAGTCCCTGTGCTCATGGAGCTTACAGAATATTAGGGGATTCTGCTATAAAACAATGACACAAATCAATAACTTAAATCCAGTGATTGCTAAGATGCAAAATTAAATAGTATGCTAAAGAGAGGTTAATACCAGAACCCAGTTTAGATTGGGAGATCAAAGGACAGTGGTTTTAAGCTGAGCCCCAAAAGACATAGCCCAGTGAATGGGTGGGGAGAAACATTGCCAACAGAGGAAACATACATGTAACAGGTCTGAGATGGCAGAGTCAGGAGGCTTGTGAGATTGGAGCAGATGAGTGGCAGTCCATAGGTAGGGGTCCAGATTGCCCCCTGAGTGCAATGGAACAGGTGCCCTGGACCTGGGGCTCAGTGCAATCCAGTTAACACTTCTGGAAGATCACTCTGCTTGCAGGCACAGAATGGATAGAGATGAATTCTCTGTAAGAATAATAATGAGTGAATGAAGAGGCTGCATTTGAAGGGCACATCAAGGGCTCATGTGAGCCGCACCTGGTGCTCTACCCAGATTTTGGGTAAGCCAGGCTCCCGTGTGTGGAAAACTGAGACTCCGATATCCACAAACTATGAGCAGGGAATGGCATTTCCCACATCCTCATCCTTCTCCCTTCCAATCTCTCTTTGACCTTAACAGGGTGGAGCTCCATAATCTCCTTATTCAACTCATCTTTGAATGCCAGTGAAAATGGGGCTCCCCACCTCCCCACCACTATTGTTGAAGTCTCATTTGAAAGTCAGGTGTTGGCTTGAACCAAATGAAGCCCCATCCCAAGATGTACAACTGCAGTTTCCATGAATGAGGAAGTCAAAGGATGCAATGAAATATTAGTGATTTCCCTGGAATCGTTTGTAGATACAGCAAATGCATGGGAACAAGTTCTCACCAACATGAGTTTATGCTAATTTCAAGTCATTCCTTATAGTGCTCTGTGAAGACCATGGCAACTTTCTGAGCATCTGTCTTTCATTTGCCTAACAAGTTAATTAACACGTTTGTTACTCTGGCAGCTTTGAAGGGGAGGAGAAGAGGATGTGACAGCTAATGCTGCCTTGGGTTAACCCTGCATTCACCTGACCTGGGAACAATGGAATAGTTTAGACTCATCAAGGCAGATATGTCTACAATGACCTCTTTGATTCTGTCTGCAGCTGGGGCACCCAGGGTGACTTCTCCACAACCCATGCACTGCCAGCTGTGAAGGTGAAGCTGTTCACAGAGAGCACAGGCGTCCTGGCGTTGGAGGACAAGGAGCTTGGGCGGGTAAGCACTTCTTATCACAAGGGGAACTCCACAGAGAGGATTTCCCCAGCTAGGTCTCCAGTGCACAGGTCACCAAGAGGCAGCATTGCCAAGTGCTGAGAGGCTCAGTTTTGAACATTAAGTCCTGGACTCCACTCTACATTGGCTGGGTGACCTTAAGCAAGTTCCTCAACCTCTCTGAGCCTCAGATTCTCTTCTACAAAGCTGGACTAACAAGAGTGTGCCCTACAGGAGATAGAGCAGGAGTTCTCAATACTATCAGACCCAAACATCCTTTAGAGTTAAGATTTGTAATGTCTTTTACTGTCTTAAAGTGGAGTTCTTAGATGATTTAACTGCCTGCCCACCTGACAATGTTAAAGTCAACACAATGACATAAGAGAGAAACAAAAGGAAGTAAATTAATAATAAAAAACTTCAAAATGTACATACTCAAAGATCTAATAGAGGAGTGCTTTGCTTGCTCCCATATGAAGAGTCACTGTGAAGGTGACAGCTACAAAATCCACTGTGGGGTGTGGATGTATGCTGTAGTGGTGACTCCTAAGCCTGAGGATCAGTAAACCGATTTACTGACATATTAAGCAATACTTGTAAAGTTTCCTTGATTTCCTTAGAAATGTGCCAAAAAGACTTTGATTTGAAATGTAAGACAAGAGTTAAGATCTCCACGTAGTTCATTATAAACAGATTTTTTCACCTCCACCAATATCCCATGGGAATATTCAAAAGTCAGATGGGATGCAGGAAGATGCCTCACTAAGGAGCATCATGTCATTCCTTGCAGGATGTTTAGCATCCCTGGACCCACCCACTCAGTGCCAACAGGGACTGGCACCAATTATTTTGTCAATCAAAACATCATGAAAATTTCTGAGACATCCCTGAGAGGTGGTACCAACCCCCTTAAAAACCACAGAGATAATAGTGAAATTTCTGTTTGCATCTGAACCATTGACTCTGCACCAAGAAGCCAGTAATATTTTCACAAGTTGATTTTGCCAATAACCCCACCTGCTTGTGGTAAAATCTGAACTCGTTTAATTTGGCTTCTGCTCACCTCTTCACCCCCATCTGCTGCCACATTCCTCCCCGCCTACTATACCCCAGCATCATTGGCCAAATTTCAATCCCTCATATAAACCAAATTCTCTCCCTCCTCAGGGGACTTTCTATCTGTTGTCATTTCCCCACCTCCCAACCCTTCAAAAAGCATAAATGCATTCTCTGCATAAATGCCACCTCCTTGGAGAGTCCTTTCCTGACAGCTCAGTCCCCTTCATTTGCTATCTTAGCTCCTTGTTCACATATACTACTAAAGTGATCACCAATGAGAGAAAGAAACAGAATTGACAGACATTCAGGCTTCTGTCTGCCCCACTGGACTGTAAAATCTCCACGGAGACAGAAACCTAAACTATTTTGTTCACTACCTTATACCCAGAGCCCAGCACATAGACTTTCAATAAATTTTATTTCAGCCAGGCGCGGTGGCTCACGCCTGTAACCCCAGCACATTAGGAGGCCGAGGCGGGTGGATCGCCTGAGGTCAGGAGTTCGAGACCAGCCTGGCCAACATGGTGAAACCCCATCTCTACTAAAAATACCAAAAAAATTAGCCGGGCGTGGTGGCAGGCACCTGTAATCCTAGCTACTCAGGAGGCTGAGGCAGGAGAATCACTTGAACCCGGGAGGCAGAAGTTGCAATGAGCCAAGATCGCTCCATTGCACTCTAGCCTGGGCAACAGGAGTGAAACTCCATCTCAAAAATAATAATAATAAAATAAATAAATAAATATAAATTTTATTTCATTCTGGTTTAATGTGTAATCACTCCTGAAAGCTACGTGATCTCAGCCCAGAGAATCTCTCTGAGCCTCTGATATAACATCTATAGCATAATGAGAGACCACCCCAGACAAGCACACAGGCACACACACCTAACGATGCCAGCAAGAATTCATCTCCTGTGCTTCCTTTTTTTCTTCCTTTCTTTCACCCATTTTTCCAATCTGGCTTTCATCTATAGAATCAACCTGGAGTCATATTACTGCAGCATAGACTACAGATGGAGATAAAACGAAAAGTAAATAAAGCTAACAGCAAAAACAAAAAAACAGTGTCCCTACCCAGAAAAGTGGGAGGAAAGGGGATGATGAAAGAAAATAAAAGGTTTAGCTGTTTTCTTTGAGAAACGATACTCATTTCTGTCCCTAGGGAAAGAGAGACACACATAGAGTGGAAGAATTATCCTGCCTTTCATTTTTCTTCAAATTTCTCCTTTTCCAGTAAGGCAGATGTTAAGAATCACGAGTCTCAGAGATCCTGAATATTAGTGTTAGAAGGAACAAGTGTAACTGACCAGCGCAGGATGCTCAACCTGGGTCCACAATGAGCCTCCGAAGACCCAGGATCCAGGATGCCCTGGAATTTTTTTTTTTTTTTCTTTAGCTGGAGTCTCTCTCTGTTGCCCAAGCTGGAGTACAGTGGCGTGATCTCGGCTTGCTGCAACCTCCACCTCCCAGGTTCATGTGATTCTCATGCCTCAGCCTCCCAAGTAGCTGGTATTACAGGTGCCTACCACCACATCTGGCTAATTTTTGTATTTTTAGTAGAGACAGGGTTTTACCATGTTGGTCAGGCTGGTCTGAACTGCTAACCTGAAGTGATCCGCCCGCCTCGGCCTCCCAAAGTGCTAGGATTAGAGGCATGAGCTACTGCACCCAGCCTGGAAATAGTTTACAGATGTGTTTGTGCCTGGGCCTATATGCATTTTTCTGGACTGGCTACCAAAGCATTCACTGACTTCTCAAAGCCATTTCTACTCAGAAAAGTTAAGGCCACTGACATATTGAAATCCTTTGTTTTATAGATGAGAAAACTTGCTCCCATGGAAAGCGGGAGACCTCTCCAGAGCGATCAAGCCAGTCAGGGACCCATGCATGGGCCAGGCCACTGTCCCAAAGACTTTGTGCACAGCCCCTCAGTGCTCTCTCAAGACAACCCTACTGAGGCAGCCACAGTCATCACCTCTCTTGTACAGAAGAGCATGCTGACGCCCAGAGGGTTCAGTTACTTCAGGAATCATGTTGCCTCATCTCCAGGGCTATTTGCACTACACTGTGTTGTCCCTACACAAAAATAAAACCCTGGGCTGTGCTGTGGTGGTGAAGACCATGGGCTTGCCACAGCCCCACACACACTCATTTCATAATGGTTCATTCTCTTCTTCAGGCCCCTCATACATTCCCCCAGATGCTAGTTTACCCCTCCTTTGTGCCAAAGAAACTTTCTGCCAATTGCAGCGGAGCTGGCCTGCCTGGCTCTTGTGCTGGCTGGACACCCTCTGCTGGCAGCATCTTCATGGGCAGCAGCTGGGTGACCTAAGAGTGCAGTGAAGCCACACTTGGACCTCACGAGAGAGTGTTTCTATGCTCGAATTCTTCCCACACTTAGCAGACCTGTGTTTAGAATCCTGGCGTTACATTTACTTATTCAACCACTTTTTGGTTTGTTTCTTTAGGGTTATGTTTTGTTTTTAATAACCTTTTTAATTAAAAAAAAATTCATGCACATTGTGAAAACAAGTTAAAATTGATATATAGTGAAAATTAATTTTTCTCTTCTATCTCACCCTCGTATCCCTTCCCAGAGAAAGATTTTGTTTTCAATTTATGGTATCCTTCCCCAGATAGTCTCTGCATGTACCAACATAGCGTATATAAGCACATATGTATATATTCCCCCTCTTTTAAAAAAAGCACAGTTGGAAGCTACTATATACACACTTCTCTACATGGTGCCTGAAATCATTATATTTGGTGATTAGTTTTCATATGACCCTAGACTGACCTGTCTCCTTTTTACATAGCTACATTGTATTCCATTATGTAGATATATTTTATTTAACAAATCCTCTATGGATGAATTTTTAGATTATTTCATCTTTGGCTATATAAACAATGCTTCAGTGAATAGCCTTGAATTTATTTATTTGTATATGTGTGGGTATCTATAGAATAAATTTTCAAAAAATATTTTGCTGACTGAAATTTGAAATTTGACAGCTACTGCCAAATTGTCCCCTAAAGTGCATGCACCAATTGATCCTTCCACAAAAGGCATAAGAGAATGCCTGTTTTCCTGCATCCTTCCCAACCCTGCAATATTATAGGATTGTAGGCCCTCTGTGTCCAATCATTTGTCCTGTGCACAGAGCAAATAGGAATAATGACTGGTAAAAAACCCTTAACCTCACAAAGCATAAGGGACACAGACATAAAAACAGAAATTATAGTGCAATGTGGGAAGTGTTCTGCTAGGAAAAAAAAAAAAAAAAGAAAGACCTGGAAATGAAGCACCTAGCAAGAAGGCAGAATCCAGTCATACAGTCTCAGGGACAGGGATTCTTTCCTGGGGTATGCAAGAGGTACTGAAGAGATATAGGCTAAGTCGAGGAGGGGATCTGTCAGGTAAAGGCTGAGGGTAAAGCAGCCCCCTAGCAGGCCCTGCCTGTGTGCCCAGGCAACTAGGAGAAGCCACGGCTGGCTGGAGTGCAGCTACTTCAGGGGGTGGGTCGTGGCGGCCACATCAGCATCCCCACATCAAAGTGCAGCACACATGGTCCTCGGCTGAATTGACAAAGTGCTTGATTAGCAGCCTGGAATGTCCAGATGAGGTGTCTGGTCTGCTTGGGATTCATGTGCACCCAGAAGGACCCTCATAATTCAGCAGTGCTGACACATACAAATGAGTCATCAGCCTGTCAGAGGCATGGCAGGGTGGGGGCAAAGACAGAAGAGAGCTGTGGTCACTTCATCTCTCCATCCACCCTGGAAAAGAGGGCTCCCCAGCAAGCAGTTGCACAGGGGACAAAGTCTTTGTGGCATAGCCGGTAATGAGCTGCGGCTATTGCGTCACGAATGGACACCATATTGCCAGTGGGAAGCACGCCCAGAATCCATATGGCGAAAGGCCTGTTAATGAGCTGCGGGTGCCCAGAGCACTGCTCCCTCTGTGATTTTGCCAAACAGGCAGGAGCAGACAGAAGCCCAGGGCCTTTCTTACTTACCGCGGTTCTGGCCCTGGATGGGGTGTCTCTTACCAGCACCTCCCTTTCTGGCTTCCCAGCACATCTCACCCCTACCTCTCTCAGGCCAGACCAGCTCAGGATGGAGGGTCAGCTTCACTGAAATCAGCAGCTCCCACAAAGTGTCAGGCCTCGGGATGTGGTACATGATACAGGGTGACGTGTAAGAACAGGCAGTTCCTGGAGAAAAGGGAGAGGTCTCCACAACCCAGCAGTGCCCTATCTCACTCATTTCCTCCCAGCATCTGTCCTATGATATGTTGCAGTTCTCTGGTGCCAGTTAAGTGAATTTATACATTTTATGCTGGAGCTTTAACTAAATCAACCTTTACAAAATAAGCGACCTCAGAAGATAACTGCACAAAAGCTCTGATTTGGAGGTAGTACTAGCAATGCAAGCCTGGCAAACAAGAAAATGGTGGAGCCAACACCTGACCTACTGGCAAACACTCTGTCACTCATATCATGAGATAAAAACAATGCCAATGTAATCAGATGGGACAAGATGTCAGTCAAGACATGACGAAATTATTGAGAAGACAACTCAAACTACAGATTTATAACCAATGTCATCAACAATGTACCTTGCCCTAAATATATGTGGTACCTTAAAGATAGCTAATAACACCACAGCCACCACAATTAGCAAGTTATTCCAAAATGTAGATTTTTAAATCTTTAGCCCATCTTTGATTTTTGTATATTTTATGATATATGTGATAAGGTAATATATTAATACAAAGTAAACTTATGTAATATAAAATGTTAGTATACAGATACTGGGCTAATTGCTCAACAACATTGTACTAAAGTAGGGCATGATCAAAAAACATTGACAGCCTCTGTTCTGAAAAATCAGGCTTTTCTGTATTTCAATCATGTCATAAGACAGTGGGAAGACTTGAAATTTGTGGTTAGCAAGAATGTATATTTCATCAGAGACAGGGAACTTAATGAAGAAAAAGGGTCAGGCCCAGAAAGAGAAGGGCTGAGAAATCGGCATAAATGAAGCACATCTAAGTGGGCTGATTTTTTTTTCTGCCATGGCCTCCTCCTCCTCCTCTCAGCAGTCTTGTTTCACAATCACACAGGGAGCCATATGTGTCTGCCCTTCAAGCATGGGCCAAGCTTGCATGACTAGTGAAGCTGATACAGCATCTAGAAGGCCAGAGTGTCCACCCATAAGACCATGAGCCCCTCACGGCCACCTCCAGAGGTGAAAGAAGCCCAGGAAAGGGGCCTGCCATCCTTGCACCTAGAGAAAATAAATACTTTGAAAACAGCCAAAACAATGTGCCACAAACCAGGGCGTGCTGCCATCACAGAAGCAAATCTTAGCAAGCCCAGCTTTTGTTGTGCCTATATTTAGTTCATGTTCCCTTAGTTTCAAGGATTTTCCAAATATTCAATTCCTCCCTAAATGCATATTCCCCAGATCCCATGTGTCTCCTGAGAACTCCGTGATCACAAAGCGAAAAGTGGATTTAGTGAGTTACTCACTTCCTGTTTCACTCTCAGAATTCCAGACAATAAGAATGGATGCAGAAGACCCAAATCAAACTGCCATCTCTGAAGCACACTGATGAAAGGCATTTCCTAAGAAATGGTCCTTCTTCAAGTCATGTGTGCTTTCCTCCATGCCCGGGCAAAGTTGGATGTTGTGTGATAAGATTTCCAGGCCAGGTGAAATCAGGTTGAAATGTGTGACTCCAATCAAGTCCCTTTCCTTCCCTGAGTCTCACATTTCTCATCCATCTAATAAGGTTCCTTCCATTTTCCCCTGGGGGCCTTGAGGAATTTCTCCTCTTGAAAAGTGAAAGAAATCCTAAAGAATGGAGAAAAAGAGTGGACTAAAAGGACTGTCTAATATATAAGCATATTTCTTCCTTTTATGCATCCATCTTCTTATACAAAGATGTAGAGAATAATGTGTGGACAATATTCTCCATTCTGGGTTTGTTTAGTACGTCTGAACATTAGAAAAGTCAAAGCAGAATCACAGAGATCATGATTTTCATGACAGAATCATCACAGAATTACAGAAATCTTTACTTTTACAAAATTAGCCAGGAAGGATCAAAAGAATGTGTTTCTATCCCCAGGTATGGCTGCTCCACAGTGGGAATTGTTCAAGTCACTCCACTACTCAGAATCAAAGTTTCTAATCTATAAAAACATAATGGTGCTTCTCTTTTCTAGTTGCTTGTCCTTTTTCCCCTACAGGTTATTCTCCATCCCACCCCGAACAGCCCCAAACAGTCAGAGTGGCACAAAATGACAGTCTCCAAAAACTGCCCCGACCAAGATCTCAAAATCAAACTTGCTGTCCGAATGGATAAGCCTCAAAACATGAAGCATTCTGGGTAAGTGTTTCTTCCCCAACTAGCAGTTTTGGACACACGTCTGTTCATTTCTCAAAATGAAAACAAAAATAAACACAAGATCTTCAGAGAACTATGTAGAAGGAAATATAAAGAATTCATATTAAAATATTCGACTTTGATATTTACTGTAAACTTCCTCAATTCTTAGGATGACTGTATTTGCATTTTTGCTGTCAAAATAGAAAAATGTCCTTCTCTTTCTCTAATACGGTTTCTAGGACAATTCAAAACTTTCCTAGCAGCATGCTAGGTGATTCTAGTTTGGAGAGGTCTTACAGGCTCCGCGTACCTTGTCGGAGGCATCCAGATCATTCAAACTCTGCATATGACTCACTTGCACCTCAATCAGCAACCCACATCTTTGAGGTGTGAGCAGCAGGGAGAGGCCACCTTCAATCAACTCACATTTAATATATTTTAGTATTTAGTGCAGCATTTAAATGAATGAGAAAAAAATAGAAAATTTGTGATCATCTTCATTTTCTTAAGGTTTGAGAAAAATGACCAATTAATTTCAAGTAAAGCAAAAAGAATAGGTAAGATGCCAAATAAGACCAGTGATTTTTCTAGCAAATGTTTGTTGGTGACTGAGTATATGCTGAGCCATGACCTATTAAACTAAATCACATGGATGTCATTATCTCAGAAAACATGATAATCGTGTAACTCTGAAAAGGGAAAGTTTAGTAGAAGGGAATGGAGTGTTTGGCGGGTATTCTGCAGGTACGCTGCCAACTGGCTATCATTCTGCTTAGCCCCTCTGGGCCCTAGAGAGGTCTCGTTAATTCTTTTTTGGGTATATGTATATTGATGATAAAGCTCAAAGTACTAAAAGTGCCATTAAAAATGAGGGTTACGGCTGGGCACAGTGGCTCATGCCTGTAATCCCAGCACTTTGGGAGGCCGAGACGGGAGGATCACCTGAGGTCAGGAGTTTGAGACCAGCCTGACCAACATGATGAAACTCCATCTCTACTAAAAATACAAAAAAATTAGCTGGGCATGGTGGTGGGCACCTGTAATCCTAGCTATTCAGGAGGCTGAGGCTGGAGAATCACTTGAACTCAGGAGGCAGAGGTTGCTGTGAGCCAAGATTGCACCACTGCACTCCAGCCTGGGCAACAGAATGAGACTCCATCTCAAAAAAAAAAAAAAAAAGAGGATTGGGTAGATGTACTAGAGGTTTGGGGAATTCACAAACCCAATTTCAGGGCCTAGCCGTGATTAAGACAGGTCTAAACAGAAGCCCACATGAAGTCCAGGAGGGCGTGACCAGGACAGGAATTGAACTTCCCAGTAGATGAGCAGACCACAGCAGCATGCAGTCAGATAGTAAAGAACAGGAGCCTAGCCATGGTGCCTCAGAGTTCTAGGAAGCAAAAAAAGCCCAAGGTTCCAGAGAAAAACAAAGACCTACCAGTCAGGGCACCAGAGAGGTTCAGGTATGAAGGGTTCCAGAGGAAGCAAAGGTCACCTGTGAGCTGGAGACCAGTGACTCAACCCAAGGTTTGGTTTGGATTTAGAGAATTTGCTTTGCATTGTCTTGAGGCCAAATTATGCCAAGCCTGAGCTGGGATTATGGCAAAGCTCTTCTGCCTGGGGTGTGAAAAAGCCACAGGAGCATGTGCAGGGCCCTAAGGACACACTCAGTCCTTTGTCAAGTGTCCAGGATGAAGTACAACCAGGTTTTCTTCGATTAAATTAGAATGCCGTGAAACATTGCTGAGGTCTACCGTTCTTCCTTCTTATCATGCTCCTGGTATATATTCTGACAATATTCGTGGAATTTCTCCCTAATATGTCTTCCCCCTCTGTGATGAACATCCTACTTTCAAGACAAAGGAGTTGATAATTCAGTTAGGTTTCTGTAGTACACAAGAGAAGATCTTCATCTTTAGCAAAATCCTGCCTCATAAATACTCCATAAATATTTGCTAAAGGAACCAGCACATGAGTGAGCAGAACAGACGTAGAAAGAGAGAGAGAGAGAGAGAGAGAGAGAGAGAGACAAAGAGGGTAGGGCAGATCAAAGAGAGAAAATAAAGAACAGAATATGAATGAATGTATCTGTCCTCTAAAGTGCTTTTTTTAAACTTCCTTTAAAAAAATGATCAGTGCCTCAACCTACATTCGAGTTCTCTCTGAAGCACTGTACTAGGAGTTTTATTGTGTCACTTACTCTCCACAGCAACCACTTGACACAGGTATTATTTTCCCTATTGGATGAATGCCCATTTCCCACATTCTCTTCATTCACTCTGCTAGAAACTGAACTACCTGATTTGGATTGGGGAATTTTTGTGTTGACTTGTTTGTAAAATTATTAACATATTTCAGGCTACCTTGACCCTACAGATGACAGAAGAAATATGTAGCTCACTTCTGACAGGTTTCATAGCTATTTCATATTGCTGGACTTCCATTTTAAAATTACCCCTGCCAGGAGATACACCAAGAGAGCTTAAAATAGCTCTGAAAAGTGAACGGTGAGTGCCTTAATAACACCATCGGACCCAACGTGGCCTAAATCAGGGATGAGCAACCTTAGTTGCCTAAGGGACTATTCAGAGAAAATAAAAATGTTTATGGAGTACATTTTTTTTCCATTTAAACTTAAAATAGTTTTACTGAGCCCAGTTGTGTAAAGGAGGGTAGAAATATGAGAGCAATGTCACAGCTTGGAAAATGGGAGAAAAAAAGGAAAAGAAAAATTTTTTTGAGATGGGGTGGGGCTCTGTCACTCAGGCTGGAGTGCAGCGGTGTGATCTCTGCTCACTGCAGCCTCTGCCTCCCAGGCTCAAGCCATCCTCCCACCTCAGCTTCCCAAGTAGCTGGGACCACAGGTGTGCACCACCACACCCAGCTAATTTTTGTGCTTTTGGTAGAGATGAGGTTTTGCCAGGTTGGCCAGGCTGGTCTCAAACTCCTGGACTCAAGCAATCTGCCTGCCTTGGCTTCCCAAAGCTCTGGGATTACAGGCATGAGCCACCGCGCCCTGCCGAAAAAGCAATTTTTAAGAAGCATAGCTGAGGTTATAAATTGTTCCCATGTTAAGGTTTTTTCTAACATAAAAGGAACATAAGAATCACTGGGAATTATGAATATTGGTGTGCACTGTGGTTCTTTGAATGAGCCACTGGGCCATTCAGAATAACTTTATTGAATAGAAATGTGTCAATGGGAAAAATCAACACTGCTTCTTGACCTTAAAATGTTAGTATCTGGGCATATTTGAGAATCAGCAACTCCTAGATGCCTTTCTAATTTTCATCTTTTATATCTGCATGGTGTTTTCAAGTTCAGGAAGTGCATTCACATCCATTCTCTCATTTTATCACTGAAACCACCTCACAAGGATTAGGTATTATCATTCTCCCATCTTAATAAATGCCCCCCCGACACCCAGATACCCAGACCAAAAACCTTGAAGTAATCCTTGACATTTTTCTTTCTCATCCACCATCAATTTTTGTTTTTCTTTTTGAGACAGGGTCTTGCTCTGTGACCCAGACTGGAGTGCAAAGGTGCTATCATAGCTTACTGCAGCCTTGACCTCTTGGGCTCAGGCAGTCCTCCCACCTCAGCCTCCCAAGTAGCTGGGACTACAGCCATGTACCACCACGCCCAGCTAAGTTTTTTTAAAAAAATTTGTAGAGGTGGGATCTCACTATGTTGTCTTGGCTGGTCTCGAACTCCTTTTTTTTTTTTTTTTTTAATTTTCTAACCAGGTTCAAAATTTAATGTCCTTATTTTAATTATCCAAACAGACAATTTCAGTTAAAATTTATTTTTTTCTTGTGAAAAGACATAATAGAAGAAAAATAAGTTACAATTTGAGATGAAAATAATTATGGTTTTAGGGGAAGGTAGCATCAGAAAATGGGAATGCCAGCAGAATGAGCAAGAAAGTAGGAATGAGAGGAAAACAAATGCCTATCAGATTTGGCGGTTAGCTTCATATATATTATTTAATTCTTACAACAGCTCTACAAGATATTAGAGTTACCATTTTTACTAACTATAACAACTAGAAATGCAAGAAACTTCTTCTTTACACCAGTTAAATAGGCAGATAGTGATGAATGAGGATTCCAGTGCTTATCTCTCTAGCTCCATGATCACTCTTTACTGTACCTCTTTGTGCTATTGGACTGTAATTCAAATGACCCACATAAAATTACTTCTAAAGCACATTCAAATGCAGATTCTTGAAACCCATGCCAAATCCAGCATAAGATTTTCTAAGGTTGTAGTCCAAATATCTGCATTTTAAATAAGAACATCAGGGAAATTTTATGTCTATTTAGGTCAGAGATCCATTGAATACTACTAAACTAACTGATTTAGAGAAATAAAACTTAGGCTTAATTTCTATTTCTAATCTTTTATAGATTCATTACTTTAAGCAAGGCACACATTCTCTTACCCTTAGTCTTTAGCATTTGTAATATGTCTTCCCACTGCCTTATGGCCTTCATTGTTCCTGATGAGATATTAGCAGTTAATCTTATTGGATTTCTCTCATATACAGTCAGTGGTTTTTTTCTTGCCTCTTTCTTTTTTTTTTTATTTTTTTTTATTATACTTTAAGTTTTATGGTACATGTGCACAATGTGCAGGTTAGTTACATATGTATACATGTGCCATGCTGGTGTGCTGCACCATTAACTCGTCATTTAGCATTAGGTATATCTCCTAATGCTATCCCTCCCCACTCCCCCGACCCCACAACAGTCCCCAGAGTGTGATGTTCCCTTTCCTGTGTCCATGTGTTCTTATTGTTCAATTCCGATCTATGAGTGAGAACATGTGGTGTTTGGTTTTTTGTCCTTGCGATAGTTTACTGAGAATGATGATTTCCAGTTTCATCCATGTCCCTACAAAGGACATGAGCTCATCCTTTTTTATGGCTGCATAGTATTCCATGGTGTATATGTGCCACATTTTCTTAATCCAGTCTATCATTGTTGGACATTTGGGTTGGTTCCAAGTCTTTGCTATTGTGAATAGTGCCACAGTAAACATACGTGTGCATGTGTCTTTATGGCAGCATGATTTATAGTCCTTTGGTCTCGAACTCTTAGCCTCAGGCAGTCCTCCCACCTCAGCCTCTCAAAGGGCTGGGATTACAGGCATGAGCCACCAAACCTGGCCGTCATCAAATTCTTTTCACTCCATCTTCAAGATAAATCTAGAATTCAACCTTTCACCCCTGCTTCCATCTCACCATTGGCTTCCAAGCCTCCATTGCTGCTCCCCTTCACTTGCTGCTCCTGCCTCGTAAGCAGTACCCTGCTTCTGCCCCTGCCTCCCAGTAGCCTATTTCCTACTGTGAAGCAATTTTTTTTAAAAAACACAAGTCAGATCCTGCCACTCGAATGCAGGAAAACCTCCAATGATTCCCCATCTCATTCAGAGTAAAAGCCAGTGTTGTTACCATGACTACAAGACCCTACGTACCTGGTCTTGATCACTGTTCCAGCCACACTGGCCTCCTTGCTTTTCCTCCTAGGCACAAAGTACACCCCCATCTCAAGACCCTTGTCCTGGCTGTTTCCTTTCCCTTTCACCCAGATCTCCAACATTTCTATACCTTATCAGAAAGCCTTACCTGGCCCCGCTGTGTCCTCCCTCTCTCTCTTACTCTGTTTTGTTTTCACCAGAGCTCTTATCATGTATATCATATACTTCTTTATTTATTAGTTTGTTGTCTGTCTTCCCCACTAGACTGTGAGTTCCTTGTCAGAAGGGAAATTTGTTTCCTTTTTTCATAGGACCTTCATACAGAGACTGACATGTAGCAAAAGTCCAGTGAATTATTTATTGTTTAGATGAATAAGTGAATAAATGAACCCCCATTTACACTTAGAGAAATTGGAGCTTAAAGTGGTTAAAAGACTTGCCCAAGTCAGAGTAAGCATTAGAGCTCGGTCCACAGTTATTGCTTTCGATCCAACCTTAACTGAGGACCTGAAGCTTGACTAAAATAGAGAGCTCCTCATGACTCCACATTTAATTCATTCAATGAACCACAGTCCACCAACCGGGAGTAATTTGCAGCAATTCTGATTTTCCTTTTATATTTAACAAACTTCAAAAGGAATACAGTTTGTAACACTTGGCTATCTTCTTAAAATCTCTTTTCCCCTTCCATTTCTGTAGCTGTACCACTGTTCTAGACCTCTTTTTCTTCAAAATCATCACACTTCTCTCCTCCTCATAGGTCTCCAAGACACCATGCTTTTTGGTACAGACTCTGAAACCAGGGTACTGGACTAGACTAATCAAATATCTTTAGTGTTTCATTTTATCTCCCTTGTTGACTTCTTATCAATAAACGTCAATTAGATCAAGTCAGTTTATAGTGTTGTTCAAAGAATCTATATCCTTACTGATTTTCATTTATTTAGAGGAAGCTCTCAAGCTCTTACTAGAATTTTAAATTTGTTTCTCCTTGTAGTTCTGTCTGGTTTTGCTTCATATATTCTGAAGCTTTGTTATTAGATGCAGAAGCATTTAAGATTGTTAAGTCTTTTTTTTTTTTTTATTTTTTTGAGACGGAGTCTTGCTCTGTCACCCAGGCTGGAGTGCAGTGGCATGATCTCGGCTCACTGCAAGCTCCGCCTCCCGGGTTCACTCCATTCTCCTGCCTCAGCCTCCCAAGCAGCTGGGACTACAGGTGCCCGCCACCATGCCCAGCTAATTTTTTGTATTTTTAGTACAGACAGGGTTTCACCGTGCTAGCCAGAATTGTCTCGATCTCCTGACCTCATGATCTGCCTGCCTCAGCCTCCCAAAGTGCTGGGATTACAGGCGTGAGCCACCACACCCGGCTGTTATGTCTTCTTGATTGACTTACTCCTTTTACATTATGAAATAATCTTCTTGATCCCCAGCAGTATTCTTCACCTGCAATTTACTTTGTGTGACAGTGATATAGCCCCTCCAGCCTTTTTTGTAAAAAAAAAAAAAAAAAGTGTTAGCATGGTAAATCTTTTTTTTTCTATCTTTTTATTTTTAACCTATTCGTGTCTTTAAAAAGTGCATTTCTTATAGGCAGCATAGAGTGAGGTCTAACTTTTTAACTCAAATTTGAAGATCCTTGCCTTTTAGTTGAGATATTTAGCCTATTTGCATTTAATGTTATTATTGATAGGTTTAAACTTATTTTGTTGTTTGTCATCCTTGCTTTTTATTTTCTGTTTGTCCTATCTGATCTTTGTTACCTTTTTCCTATTTTTCTGCTTTCTTTGGAATTAGCTGAATATCTTTGTGATTCTACTTTGTCTTCTTTATTGTATTGTTATCCCTAAATGCCAATTAGATCAAATCGCCTAGAATGCAATTCCTGCCACAACCACTTACTAGCTGTAGGCAAGTTTCTTAACCCCTCTGGACTTCATTTTGCTCAACGTAAAGCAGAAATAACAACAGTGTTTGTCTTGTAGGGTTGTTGTGAGGACTAAGTGAGCTAATACATGTGCAGTATTTAGAACAAGGTCTCATACATGGTTAATAGCTACAGCTATAGAAGAGTTATTGTTGTTAGTCGTGTTGGTTGTAATCATCATTGTTATTTGCTTTCATTTATTCTTTGTACTTTTTTCCAGCCCATGCTTCTTCTTGCTGGGCTGCTATAAGATAGCTGAGGTACCTGGAGTCTCCCTGCTCTCCATCTTCTCCTTGACACCCAAGAAGAGGACAAAAGCATCCCTGTAGGAATCATGGTTCTTGTCTCACTGCAACTTCTGTTCTTATAAGAAATTTTTATGAAGAATTTCTGACAAGGAGGAATAAGTTCAAGAGACCTATTGTGCAATATGGTGACTATGATTAATAACAATACATTGTATACTTGAAAATTCCAAGAGTAGATATTTAATAAAAAGAGCCATGTTACTAATTCACGTTAAATTCACAAATACCATATGAGAGAAGACTGCCTCATTTTTTTATTCAAATGAAAAGTTACAAGCATTGCCATGGGTGCTACCCTACCAAGTAGTCCCAGAGCAGAGGGACACTGAGGCCAGAGGGGTCTTCCAGGATTCAGCAATTTTGGGGGATTCCTGGAACTAAAGTTGAACACAGATGAATCTTCCTCTTCTTTTTTTAATCCTTTGTAGCTCGCTCACTCTGGTCTCTCATATAACTAAAACGTCCCCAGTGAATAACAGAGATGTCAGTGACCCAGTAGCAAGAATTTTACAAAAATATCATAAGAGAGGATACATTCAAATCATGATACAAAATATGGCCTGGAGCTCCAAACCCAGACATGTGTACCTCACTTTCCTTCCCAACAGATGTGCACCCAAAATTATTTACTCTTTCTACTAGGACTGCTTTTTTTTTTTTTTTTTTTTTTTTTTTTTAGACAGAGTCTTGCTCTGTCACCCAGGCTGAAGTGCAGTGGTGTGATCTCAGCTCACTGCAACCTCCGTTTCCAGGTTCAACTGATTCTCGTACCTCAGCCTCCCGAGTAGCTGGGACTACAGATGCATACCACCATGCCCAGCTAATTTTTTTTTTTTCAGTAGAAATGGGTCTTCACCATGTTGGCCAGGCTGGTCTCAATCTTCTAACCTCAACTGATCTGTGCACCTCAGCCTCCCAAAGTGCTAGGAGTACAGGTGTGAGCCACCGTGAGGACTGCTATTTTTAATACTACAAATAGTAGCACACATAACAACAATAACAATAATACTTATCCAGCCCTTACCACGTGCCAGTGAGCGTGCTAAGCTCTTGACACATATCACCCCCATGAGTTCTCACAAGAACTCTATAAAGTAACTGTTAGGTTATCCCCATCTTACAGCTAAGGAAACTGAGGCACAGGGCAGCTAAGCCAAAGGAAAGTTAATGACAGGGCCAGAATTCCCACTTAGGTGTTTCTCCTTTAGTCTGAGATATAACCACTCGTCTAAACTGCCACTGACTACATTAGAATACTGCTTTGTCTATTGGTAAATCCAGATTTCCACATACCCGGACAGCTTGAAAACAGAGAGTTCAGGGCCACTAATGCCCACACAAATAGATCTGCCTGTAGTGTGAGGAGCTAGGAGGGAAGCCACCTGTATGTCTGCAATAACAGAACTTCCATCTGCTCCAGGTACTGTGTATCCTATTTAATGAGCATGTTTCCACCCAAGAAAACGCAGAGCCGGAGCTGACTAGACAGAAACAGTACATCTCAGCCCTCAGTTTTTCTTGGTTTTGACACCTTCTGGTATGTGCCAAATTAGCAATAAATTCCGAGGAAAACCTCAGAGGGAAAGCCCCTCCCTCAAGCAGACTTTCCAAAGGAAAATTGTTACTTTTTCTCTGATCCCACCAGCTTTCCCATTCGGAAGCCTTTAACCAGAAATCCCCTCTGTTCAATTAGAATCGTGACTCATGTTCTTACTTCAAAAAAAGAAACCAAAGTTTGTCATCTAGAAGGAAGGAGGAAGAGTGTGAAGAAGAGGGTGCTTTAGAGTTAGGCTGTTTTGAGTTTAATTTCTGGCTGTGTCCTTCATCAGCTGTGGAACCTAGGAAAGTTACTTAAACTTTCTCAGCCTCAGCTCCCTCAACTGTAAAATAGGAATAATAGTATATAATGATATATCTAATAGCAAGTATTTACTTTAAGCTAGCTATTGTTCTAAGCACTTTATATTTCTACTTTAATCCTCACAACCCTTGAGGTAGGTACCATTATTATTATCCCCATTGTAAAGATGAGAAAACTGAAGTAGAGATAACTCTAGTAATTTATTTGCCCAAGTTTGCACATGAATCTGGGTAACATATCTCCAGATTTAAGCACTTAACTCTTCCAGATGAGTGTAATAAATTCACATAAAGTGACTGGCACAGCACAGAAAACTTGTAACACTTCACTAAGTAGTAGCTATTGTTTTTATTATGAAGAAATAGTTAATGATTCAATATGAATTACACTCTATGGGTTCTATGAACTTCTTTTTCTACTTTTATTCTCATGTCTTATGATTATATACACAATAGATATTGTAGCTATATTCGTTTTTGCAAATCTCTTTCTATGGATGCAAAGTAAAGGGAAATGGTTAGTAGCTGCCAGATATAATTCCAGAAAAGTGTGAGGCTGTTACAATCTTGCTAGTCATTACTAAAACAACTACAAAATTTCTTGCCCACTTCCTGAATTTGATCTTTGAAGTCATCTACTTCCCTTTGTACCTAAGTCCAAGATTTCCTTTCACATATTTAAGTTATTGTTTGCTGCTAAAATGATACATTTTCTCTGTCCGTACAGAGATTTTGTAATAAAGCTGACATTTATTGTACACCTACTTCCTGACATGCCTCATGCTTATACTTCACAAGCACTGTCTCGTTTAATCCTCACAACAGCCCTGTGAGTTAGGAACCATTACTGACCTGTCTTACAGAGCACCAAGAGGTTAAGCATCTTGACCAACATTTCACAGTAACTGGTAGAACTGGAACTGGAAGATTATACTCTTAACTGTTACAAGCCAATAATCTGTCTCCTTAGCCCTGGCTGAACCTCCCTCTTATGTCTATTTACTGCATGAAAACATTAATATATTATTTTAAGCACTGACCAGGACAGCTAGATGATCTATGTAACCCCAGAGCTGTTTGTGCTGGCCTCATCAGCAGCACAAGGTTGATAAACTTATCAGTCATCCGGTCGATGCTCCCTGGCTCAGCTTTGGTCCAGCCATCACCTCTCTTGCCTGAGCCCCTGTGACCAGCTCTTCACTAATCTCTTTGCTTTCTCTCTTGCCCCGCTTCCTCCTACAGTGTATTCTCTATCCAGCAGCCAGTGAGATCTTCTTAAATAGAAATATGATGGTGTCACCCCTCCTGCATTCTTAAAACCCTGCCATAGTTTCCCATTCATATTTAGAATCAGCATACTGGCGATCTGATTTACCCATTTAAGAGGTCAGTCTAGCTACCATGGGATGAATGGAGCATAGAGATGAGAAGGAAAGTAGGGAGGCCAGTTAGCGGACTCCTGTCATGGTCCAGGTGGTGTTGATGGTGACTTGACTGGGGAGTTGCAGTGGGGATGGAATGAGATGGGATACATTTGGGAAGGAAAGCTTGAAGAACTTGGCAATGGATTACATGTTTTTATGCAGTGTTTTAAAATCTCATCAGAAATCTTTAAAAAGATCGCTCTGATCTCGCAAGAGCATGGCACTTAAAACCAACTGAACTATAACAAATGTCTATTGACCAGTTACCATCTATCAGGAACTGAAAGGAATTCAGAAAGAAGAACATGTTTCTATGCTAAGTATTTAGAAAGCAGGACCAGGGTTCCTTCCCTCCAGAAACTCACAGTTCAGTAGGAACAATAAATATAACCACAAATAAATTAAAGCTGTGTGATAACTGTAACAGCAGAATTATCTACAAGGCCTAGGAGATGATGACATCAAAGTAAAGGTTTAAACTGAGGGAGAATATGAGTTTTCCCATGAGGAGCAGGGAGAAGGCATCCCAGGCAGCATAGGTTGTACCAAGTTACAGAGGTGTGAATTTTTATGGTGTGGTCAGGAATTACAGATACACAATGTAGATAATACAATGGGCAGAAGCCAAGTCAAGGGGGTAAGCAGAGATGGAAAATTAAAAGTTTTTTAGGCTAGGTCAAGATGCTGGACTTTGTCCCTATAGGCTAAAGTTTTCCCAAGTGCATTCATGGCACTGATAGTGCACAAGATGGTTTTAATGATATATAGACGAGCATGGATCAAATACAATTGGCCTTCCCCATCCACAAGTTCTACATCTGAGAAATCAACAAACCATGGATGGAAAATATGTGGGGGGAGAAAAGCAAGGAAAAATAAAAATACCGTAATAAAAAATAATGTGAATAAAAAATAATACAGTAGAGCAACTATTTACATAGTATTTACATTGTACAAAGTATTATAGGTACTCTAGGGAAGATTTAATGTATATGGGAGGGGCCAGGCGAGGTACCTCACGCCTGTAAGCCCAGCACTTTGGGAGGCCGAGGCAGCCAGATCACCTGAGGTCAAGAGTTCGAGACCAGCCTAGTCAACATGGTGAAACCCCATCTCTACTAAAAATACAAAAATTAGCCGGACATGGTGGTGCACATCTGTAATCCTAGCTACTCAGGAGGCTGAGGGAGGAGACTCGCTTGAACCCAGGAGGTGGAGGTTGCAGTGAGCTGAAATCATGCCATTGCACTCCAGCCTGGGTGACGGAGTGCAACTCCATCTCAAAGAAAGAAAAAAAAAGTATATGTGAGGATGTGCTTAGGTTACATGCAAATACTACACCACTTTATGTAAGGGTGGTGGATTTTGGTGTCTGTGGATTTTGATGTCTTCAGGGGTCCTGGAACCAATTCCCTGTAGATACTGAGGGACAAGTGTAATCATTTATGTATTTTAATATGTGCTACATAATGTATAATTGGTATATCAAGCCTATAATATAGTTTACTTTTCAAAATAGATTTATTCATGTTAAGTAAGTTAATTTAAAGAAAAATGTCAAGTAAATCATAGAATAGGTGAACAGATGTGGGACCAATGATGAAATGTAAGAGGCCAAAGTTTGAGGCACTTTTCATATAAATGGTGGGGGTAGGGGGGAGGCACTGAAGGAATTTTAGCTTGGAAAAGGCATGATAAGATTTGCAGGTGGTAAGCTCTGTCTCGTTTCCAGGAATAGGATGAAAATCATTCTCGTGTCCCTGAAACCAATTAAGAGGTTCCTCTATAATTGTCCATGGAAGCAAAAAATGTGGGTGGGGACTGAAATAGTGGAAGTGGGAAGAGGGAAGACAGAGCCGTGAGGAACTCCCCAGGAGGTAAAAACTCAACTGCACTTGGCGACTGAGGAATAAGGATGAGGAAACAGAAGGACCCAGGATGACTCCTGGGTTTCTGGCTTGAAGATCTGAATAGATTTTGGCTGCCAGCCACTCTTAAGGGCCCCTGAAATTTGTCAGGCAGGAAAAATTTTAATTAGGTGCATTCTTCATTATGTTCCAAAGCAGAAATTCTGTCTGATTTGAGGTAAAGTGAGGATTTGGAAGTTTTCCAGTGGGTGTTGATGACAGTAGACAGGTAAAGCCAGTTTTAGAACTCGGTATTTGAATGTATTTCGGTATGACCAGATCTCTCCTTTCTTAGTTGGATAGAGCCTGAAAAATGCCAGGCCTGGATTCCTAGATCGGTGCCAGTTCAATATGTAACAATCCACAATGCAGATAGGATAATACATGAATTGATTAGTAATATTGACCTTACGCCAGGCACGGTGGCTCACGCCTGTAATCCCAGCACTTTGGGAGGCCAAGGCGGGTGGATCAACTGAGGTTGGGAGTTCGAGACCAGCCTGACCAACATGGTGAAACCCCATCTCTATCAAAAATACAAAATTAGCCAAGCATGGTGGCGCATGCTTGTAATTCCAGCTACTTGGGAGGCTGAGGCAGGAGAATCACTTGAACCCAGGAGGAGGAGGTTGCGGTGAGCTGAGATCACACCATTGCACTCCCGCCTGGGCAACAAGAGTGAAACTCTGTCCCAAAAAAAAAAAAAAGTAATATTTATCTTAACATGTCCGGACGGCTTTGAGCTCTGCCTCTGTAGTTCTCAACCCTCCGTTTTATTTTATTTTTCTGTATAAAAAAATTAATTTCTTTCAACAGAAGAGCTTTTGGAGAAGGAGGAAGGAAGTGGGGAGACCTTCCTATGTTGACTTGGAATTTGCTCCCTGTAATGTACCTGCATTCCTCCCTGTAATACACCTGCAATACAGCAAAAGAAAACAAGGGAAGGTTTTCCTGAGTGAAACTTGACAAGATGCAAAAGAGTTGTGAGATTTAGCACCCTCTTTTTTCTTTCCTGTGCAATGTCTTTCAGGAGTTCCCCTACCTAAAAGACTTTTAGCACATACACAAATTAAGTTGCAGCGTCACATTTTCCAAGGTGCTTTCTGGAATCAGTCAAGGAGTCTAAGTCTCATGATAGGCCTCAATTCCTCCTGTAAGTGGAAGTGAAAAGTGCTTGCTGTTGTTTATGCTCAACCACAGAGCTCCAAAATCTGCGCCCCGTTCCTGAGCCATGTGCGTTTCCTTGTTTATAAGTACCAAGCTTCACGGCAAAGTGTGTTCAACAATTCACTCACTCAAGCATTAATGCAGCTCTGGTCTTTCTCCTTTCCCTTAGGTATTTATGGGCCATCGGTAAGAATGTCTGGAAGAGATGGAAGAAAAGGTTTTTTGTATTGGTGCAGGTAACTAACTCTTCAACTCTTAAGAGACATCAGTATTAAAGATTTGCTAGAATGAATGAATGCTTTTTAACTGAGGTATAACTTAAATACACAGAGCTCATGCATTTAGCTTAATGAATTTTTACATATATCCATGTAACCACCATTCAGAGGAGGATACAGAACATTTCCAATACCCAAAGGGCTCCCTTGTGCTCTATTCTCTATTTTTATATCACTTTTAAATTTTAAAAAATTAATGAATACTCATAATTTTTTAATTCGAACAATACAGTAGTATGTGAGATAAGTCGGGGAGAGTAGACTCCCACCCCTGCCCAGTCTCCTGCCAGGGATGGAGGATTCCAGAAGGGAGCAAGCTCATGCCAAGTGAGGGCTATAGGGACATTAACTTTGGCTGAAAACAATGTAGTATTTTGAAAAGAACTGAGATAGGCATTATGAGTAAAGTCAGAATTTAGTTGGACTTTTTGCCTCTATTTTATTATTTAGTGTGTTTGAATTTGAATTATCTGTGTGGGAGTGCTCTACTCTTCTTGGTGCCTGGTGCTTCCAAAAGTCTTAGCCAACGTCCCATAACTATGTTTAATATCTAGGATAAATTTTTCTATTAAACTTCTTTTTTTTTTTTTTAACTGAAACAAACCAAATTCTTCAAGTTGTTCTGCAAGTTGCTTTTTCCACACAAGTTATTTAGATACCTTTCAATGTTTACATATATAGCTCTGGCTCTCATATCTGTAAACTTTTCCCTTTTGGATAGACTTCTGGACTTTCCCAATTTGGGCTATTCTTAACAAGGCTGCAGGGAATATCTGTGTATATGGATACAAATGTAGATGCGGATATTGATGTTAATACATTAGTCATATATAAATAACACCTTTACTCTTGAGCATTTCTTAAATTTTTTTCCAGAAATAGTAATACCTGTCCTTGAAAGACCCCATCTTTTTGGTAGGGGAGGGTGTTTATTTTTTGCATCAGGATTTTTCAGTTTACAAAGTTTTCCAGTGCCTGTTTTTAATTTTCAGACTCCACCAGAGCATTTAAACTATAATTCAATTTGCAGAAATCTAATTTATGCTATACTCTGAAAGATTTCACAAAGTGAGTCAACTTGGAACTGAGTGACAAAGGTTCTTACTGGGTTACTTGACTAGGATTAATATTTAGAGTGCTACCAATATTTAGAGTGCTTTATACTCAGAGACCTGACTACAAAGCAACTCCCTTTTAGGTCTAAATGACCTTGAGGGTTTCACCAACTCTGAACTTCTAAGACTAGACTGTCTATAGATCTACTTAAGTCTCTGCTGTGCCGCTAAGGCAAAATACAGCTCTCTGGCTCTAATAAGCAAGAGGTCATCTTTGCTTTCAGTATTGTTGTAGGGTAGAACAAAACCTTAAAGTGATTTAGCCGCAAAGAACATTTTGGAATGATGCCCGTCCCTCAGAATAACCCACGGCTGCCCAGCACGGTGGCTCACGCCTGTAATCCCAGCACTTTGGGAAGCCGAGACGGGTGGATCACCTGAGATCAGGAGTTCAAGACTAGCCTGGCCAACATGGTGAAACCCTGTCTCTACTAATAGTACAAAAAATTAGCCGGGTATGGTGGTGCATGCTTGTAATCTCAGCTACTAGGGAGGCTGAGGCAGAAGAATCACTTGAACCAGGGAGGTGGAGGTTGCAGTGAGCTGAGATTGTGCCATTGCACTCCAGCCTGGGCAACAAGAGCAAAACTCCGTCTCCAAAAAAAATAAATAATTAAAATAACCCATGGCTAAGCAATTGAGGCTATTTTAGCTTGTGGTACATTTCCTCAGACTATTAACTGACCAGTATTTATTGAGCACCTACTTTGTGTGGAGTGCATTGAGAGGACATGGAGAACTATCAGGTCTGGTATTTAGCTCCCAGAAAGGAATCTGTTAGAGTTCTACATATGCAAACAGCAGAAGTAGACTCAAGCTAATTAAGGTTTAAAAAATGAATATATGGAAGGCTTTGGAGTTAACTCATAGAATTGTGAAAAAGGCTGAATTACCCATCCATGTTAAGAACAGGGCCAGCATAGTTCCAGAAATCCAAGTTGTATTAGGTTTCTCCAGAGAGACAGAACCAATAGGATATATGTATATAAGAAAGGGCATTTATTAGGGAGAACTGGCTCACATGATTACAAGGCAAAGCCACACAATAGGCTGTCTGCAAGCTGGGGAAGAAAGAAGCTGATAGTGGCTTATTCTGAGTCCGAAAGCCTCAAAACAAAGGAAGCCAACAGTACAGCCTTCAGTCTGAGGCCAAAGACCTGAGAGCCCCCAGCAAGTCACTGGTACAAGTCCCAGTGTATAAAGGCCAAAGAACCTGGAGTCTGATGCCCAAGGGCATTAGGAACAGAAGGAACCATGTAGCAGGGAAGAAAGACGAAAGCCTGAAGACTCGGCAAGCAGTCTTATCCCACCTCCTTCCACCTGCTTCGTTCTAGCTGCACTGGCAGCTGATTGGATGGTGTCCATTCACACTGCGTGTGGGTCTTCCTCTCCTAGGCCACCAACTCAACTGTCAGTCTTCTCTGGCAACACCCTCACAGACACACCCAGAAACAGTACTCCACCAGCCATCTAGGCATCCTTCAATCCAATCAAGTGGACACCTAATATTAACCATCACAAGTCCTGGAACCATGGCCAGTGCTGCTAGTGTGGTCATGAGACAGACTGGCTCTGACCACTTTCCATCCTTGCATCTCTCCTTGAGGGTCAAATTTCATAAAGGGAGAATTGGTTTAGTCTAACCTGGTTCACTCCCAACTTTTAGCAGGAAGAAGGGATGGCACTTGGATTGACAGTCCCACTGGATTGTCTTTCATGCAAAATCAGGATGCCATTACCAGAAGGAGAAATGGATACTGGGAAGGTAAAAATAACTGGTATCCACTTTAAAGAGCATACAATGTAAATGGGAAGACAAGACACATCAAGAGGCAGTGCTGTCCAGGAGCAGTGGCTGACGCCTGTAATCCCAGCACTTTGAGAAGCTGAGGAGGGCGGATCACATGGGTTCAGGAGTTTGAGAGCAGCCTGGGCAACATGGTGAAAACCCATCTCTACTAAAAATACAAAAACTAGCCAGGCATGCTGGCTCGCACCTGTAATCACAGCTACAGGGAACGCGGAGGCAGGAGAATTGCTTGAACCCAGGAGGCGGAGGCTGCAGTGAGCTGAGATTGCGCCACTGCATTCCAGCCTGGGAGACAGAGTGAGACTCTAAAAAAAAAAAAAAAAAAAAAAAAAAAAAAAAAGCAGTGCTTAGTCATGGATGGTTCTCGCCCCTCAGTGCTTCTCATTGCACTTGGCACAGCAGTCTCTCTTGGAATCACTTGGGAGCATGCCTGGCCTCCCCGATAGACTGTGCACTGTTTCAGGGCCAGTTTTGTTTCTGATTCTTTTTTGTGTCTTTCCCTCTTTCCTCCACCACACGCATACACAGTCCCTAGCCCAGTGTCTGGCAAAGAAAAGAAAAAGGAAGAGAGAGGAGAAAAGCTCAGGCAATACCTTGGGTGGTGCTGAAAAAGGAGAGATCATGTGCTCCGAGAAGTGGCTGGTGACAACCATTCTCAGATTTCTGAGAACTTTTGATATGATGAAGTACTTAGGAGAAGTAGATGACCTCTTATTTTGGGAGAGGAAACTCTGCAGGAAAAACAAGAGGAAATATGTGGAAAACATCAGTAAAGCCATGTCTGTACAGTAAGTACAGGGAGAACCAAAAGGGAGAGAATGATTTTTTCAGGCAACGGGAACACAGGTGTTTAGAGCCTTCACACTGAGCCTTCTAATAAGAGAAGATGAAAGTCACACAGCAGCTAAAAAGCAAGCTCTGTGCTCACTTCTGAGAATCATAAAAGGGCACTTCTCATCTAAAGCTCAGTATCTTTCCTAGAAAGGCAGGAGAAAATAAGTTCAGAATTCTGTGAAATTTTTCATGTACATATGATTCTCATTAACTTTAAAGAGCTGTCAAGGTATGTTGGGGACATCCATCCCCCCAAAAAAATCTGTTTCAGCCTGAATCAGATTTCTCCCTTAACAACCTCTGTGACACACAGAGGTGACGTGAGAGTCCCATCATCACAAAGATAATGGGGGAGCCAGGATGACAACTCAGGTCTTCTCTTTCAATTCTTGTCCTATTCACCACAACAATATCTAAAAGCAATTTGCTGGCATACCCAGAAAATACTGCATTATTTTTAAATTCTTTCCATTTTTTCTTCTCCCCTATTTAAGTGATCACATTTAGAAGCACTTTATCAATATCATAAAGAAAAAAACACACTCCCTTTGAAACAACCCCAATGCCATCAGAGCTGCAGGAGGAAAGTTCAAGGCCACCAGTGCTGGTCCAATTCAGAGGAAGCTAAAATGTCTCAGGTTGCTGAAGGAAAGGATGTCAATCCAAGCGGTGGCAATTGGCCCCCAACAGCTGCATGCAATGTTGAATTCAGTCATATGTACAAACGATTTTCAGTTTCTCTTTAGCCACCAAACCCTTACTTTGAAACTCAAAATGCAAACATGAAACCCGGAGAACCACCCTGGTTCAATTTGCAGAAGCGTGAGAGTTCTGGGGAAGGGAGAAGATTCCCCTAACCCCGCCCCTGCTCCCAGGCAGCCTTGGAGGGAACTCCCTGGAAAACAGTGTGGAAACCACCAAACAGAAAGTATATCTACCCAAGTGACTTACGGAATCTTTGTGTCTTTCAATTCAGATGTTAGATCTTATGGAATGTGTTTATGTAGAGAGCTAGCAGCACACAATTTCCAACACAATTATGATTTAATACATTAGATTTAAAACAACGAAAATTGTCTGAAAAAACAAAGATGAAGAGAGGACATCCAACATTAGTCTCCTCAAAATTCATCTCCTGCTCTACACATACACACAGAGTCTACTTTTTTGCTTATAACGTGTAACAATTAAAATTCTCCCTGACTGAGATTTCCTATTAGTACTACTGTCTTGGGGAACCAAATTTTAGACTATAAACGGACTTCCTACTAGCCAGGGATAAAGGATATACTCAGAGGAGTGCTGGACCAAAGTAGCAATTCCCATTTCTTAAGGATCAGAGCTAAAATTACTATAGATGTGGCTAGAGTCTACCCTACCAACTGTGAAGGGAATGAAGCAGTTGCGAGGAGCTTCTGTGACAGAGATTCAAGCATTCCTGTGCAATGAGAGAGTGTCTGTAAATGGGGGCCTGGACCATCTGCATTAGGTGTTGTTTAAAATGCAGACCCCAAGGTGCCATCCAGAAGACTCTGATACAGTAAGTCTGGGGTGGGGCCCAGTATTCCGTACTTATAAAAGGCACCCCAGGAGATACTGATGCAGGTGGTCCAAAGGCCACCCTTGGAGAAACACTGCCTTGGAGGTCATTATCCCGCTTAAAGTGAAGGGTCTCATTCCCTTCAGATGACACCATCTTAGAGTTTATGTTCTCTATGGAACCGAGCATCAGAGTAGCTAAATAGATGACTATATTCAAATGGCACAATAAAGCCTCCTCTCGCCATCTTCCTTGAAATTCCAATATATGTCCTATAAACTTGGCTGGCTGCAAACCCTAACCCAGAGATCAAGGGGAAATGGGCCTTCAGCACCCTGAGTCAAGAAATTACTGGGGCCTCATTCTAAACCCTCGGGTCCATGGTGAGAACCAAACACATTGATTACTACTGTTAGTAACTCTAATGTGACCAAATCAACACTAATGATAAAGGTGCCAATTCCATAGAGCACTGCTGGATAGCCAGAACGCCCCACCCCGTGTGTGTGTGTAAGGAGAACAGTGAAAACAGGCCAACTTATCACCCATATCAGGTTAGAAAGTCTTAACGCTTTCATCTTTTTATTTAAAAAATATTTTTATTCTGTGATCAAAAGATTTCTGGTGCCCAGACATGGTGGCTCATGCCTGTAATCCCAGCCCCTTGGGAGGCTGAGTCAGGTGGATTACAAGGTCAGGAGTTCGAGACCAGCCTGGCCAATATGGTGAAACCCCATCTCTACTAAAAATACAAAAATTACCTGGGCATGGTGGCATGTGCCTGTAGTCCTAGCTGCTCAGGTGGCTGAGACAGGAGAATCGCTTAAACCTAGGAGGCGGAAGTTGCAGTGAGCCAAGATCATGCCACTGCACTCCAGCCTGGGTGACAGAGCAAGATTCTGTCTCAAAAAAAAAAAAAAAAAGATTTCTGGTTAAAATCTACTTTTTTGATTGGTGTTCAAATAATTTCTGAGACATTTCTCCCCATTTTAGCACTGTACAAACTGTAATATTCTGTGGTTCCTCTAATAATGTGGACAATCACTTATATTTATATGGTTTCTTAGAGTTTACAAAGTGTTCGTCAAGCTGGTCTTCACAACCTTTCTGTACTACAGTGAGGACAAGGCTTTTCGCAACTTCACATTAGAGGAAACTAAGGCTCAGAGTGGATAAGTGGCCTGCCCAAGGTCAATGGCTTGTAAGCAGCCAAATATGAAACCTAACACAGGCCAGGCACGGTGGTTCACGCCTGTAATCCCAGCAGTTTGGGAGGCTGAGGCGGGTGGATCATGAGGTCAGGGAATCTAGACCATCCTGGCTAACATGGTGAAACCCCATCTCTTCTAAAAATACAAAAAATTAGGCAAGCGTGGTGGCGGGCACCTGTAGTCCCAGCTACTTGGGAGGCTGAGGCAGGAGAGTGGCATGAACCTGGGAGGTGGAGTTTGCAGTGAGCCGAGATCATGCCACTGCACTCCAGCCTGGGTGACAGAGCGAGAATTTGTCTCAAAAAAAAAGAAACCTAACACAGGTCTTTTGATTGCAAGTGCCTTCAATAACTCCTAGCACTTAGACAGGACTGGCACCTGAAGAGATTGATGCATACAGAATGTTATATATATATGATGGAATACTACTCATCCATAAAAAGGAATGAATTAATGGCATTCACAGCAATTTGGATGGGATTGGAGACTATTATTCTAAGTGAAGTAACTCAGGAATGGAAAACCAAACATCATATGTTCTCATTCATAAGTGGGGGCTAAACTATGAGGATGCAAAGACATAACAATAATACGATGGACTTTGGGGACTCAGGGGGAAAGGGTGGGAAGAGAGTGAGGGATAAAAGACCACAAATTGGGTTCATTGTATACTGATTGGGAGATGGGTTCACCAAAATCTCATAAATCACCACTAAAGAACTTACTCATGTAACTGAATATCACCTGTTCCCCAAAAACTTATGGAAATAAAACATTTTTTAAATAAAGCATTGTGTTAAAAGAATGTTCTAGAACTGAATTACTCAGATAGAACCAACATGGCTCCTCTGTTTCTGATTCCCAACTGAGAATGTTACCAAAAATTATGTTCCAGCTTTCAGAAAAATCACTAAATCAGAATAAGATAAAATATTGTTAGATAATATATAATGCCTTGGAATACAATAGTAGTCACCTGGGAATACAATATTAAAATGAGTTAACCACAAAAATGAATTGTAAGACATATGAGTAGTTGAAGGATTTGTAACTCCAAATGTTTGTTTTTGCCACTCCACAATTGCTCTATAAGACATTTATATTTATATTCTGGTTATCAGATATCTGGTTATCAGATATAGTCTGGTTATCAGATATCAACCCAAACAGACTTAAGTTTTAAAAGGGCAAGAATTGTATTGGTTAACTAATTAAACTAGTAATTAGCTGGAGGGTCTTCTGTCATGACTAGATCCAGGACTCAAGCAATATTATCAAGCCTCTGTCTCTCAATATATTTAATCTTTTGGCTCTGCTTTCCGCTGAATTGACTTCACCCTCAGGCATGATCTCTGGCAGCTCAAGCCTTACAAAAGTTTACCAGCCCCAGAGAAAACTTTTCTTTAACAATTGTTCCAGTACAGGCCCTCAGTTAGCTTTCTTTGGCCCAGTGTGGTGCCAAATCCTTGCACCAGTCACTGCAACCAAGGAGATACTATGTTGATTGGCCAGGCATGGGCCAAGTGTTTTACTCACCCTACTTCCAGCTAGATGTGCAGTTACTCCCACACAAACCACTTGCCCTGAAAGTTGAAAAGAGAGTGGTTCCCAAAGGAAGACCAGGATTCAGTTGTGGGAGGGCAATGAATGGCCTGCATGCACACATAAGAAATGCCCCCACAGAAGGCCAGGTGCAGTGGCTTATATCTATAATCCCAGCACTTTGGGAGACTGAGCTGGGACGATCACCTGAGGCTAGGAGTCTGAGACTAGCCTGGGCAACACAGTGAGACTCCATGTCTACAAGAAATAAATTCTTTTTTAATTATCAAAAAAAGAAATGTCCCACAGATGTTATCATCATCCCCATTTAAAGATCACAAAACCATGTCCCAGAAAAGTTAACTGAACTGCCTTGGTTCACATAGAAAATAATGGATCTGAAAACCAAATCCAGTTCTGCATGACTCTAAAATCTATTCTCCTTCTCCTCCACCAAATGGCCTTCACTTCAGTGCCAATCAGGAGTCTGGGATTTAGACACTGTGATCCTTCATTCGCAACTACATCACATTAAAAATAGTCCTTAGTCTCCAGGAACTGTGATTCACACCATAAAAATTTTCTCCATGCTCAGATTTTGGCTCAATCCGTCAATGCTTCCTCAGGAATTCCTTGCCCAACCACCCATCTAGACCAAATCTCCAAGCTCTTACAGTACCATATACCTCTCTTTTTAATATTTGCCACTATTAAAATAACACATTTGTGAAATCATGGGATTAATGTCTACCTTCATGCTAGACATGAGGGCAGGAATCACATCTGGTTTTTTGCATGTTTATAGTCCTCGAACCAAACACACTACCTACGTATTTGTTGAAAGAATGAATGTATCTATTATAAACAACTCTTTTCTAAATTATGTATATGAATTTTGGACAAGGGCTGGTGACCAGAGTTCAGTAAAAATAACAGCTGATTAATTTTCAAAGAATGATGGTAAAAGCAAGGAAAGAAGATTTAGACAAAATACATTCTACTGTTGTATGTCCAAGTATTTTAGTCTCCCATAGGTGATAAGAAGGGGAGAGGAGAGTTGGGGACAGAAAAGTCTAACCTTTTCATCTCATGACTGGAATCTACTTGCTAACTATAATTGAAACTCAAGGGCAATCTTAGAGGTTATGGACAGTTCCTATATATTAAAACCGTGGTTCTCAGATTTTAACATGTATTAAGAGATATCTGGCCAGGTGTGGTGGCTCATGCCTGTAATCCCAGCACTTTGGGAGACCAAAATGCGAAGATCACTTGAGCCCAGGAGTTCAAACCAGCCTAGGTAACATAGTGAGACATCCCCCCCACCATCTCTACCAAAAAATTAAAAAAAAAAAAAAATAGCCAGGCATGGTGGTACATGCCTCTAGTCCCAGCTACTGGGGAGGCTGAAGCAGGAAGATCACTTAAGCCCAGGAGGTCAAGGATGTAGTGAGCCATGTTTGTGTCACTGCACTTCAGCCTGAGCGACAGCAAGACCCTATTTTGAGAAAGAGAGAGAGAATCTGAGACAGTTATGAAAAATGTATAATCCTAAGGCCCACTCTGACCTGAGATTCTGATTCTGGTCTGACTTAAAGAATCTACATATTTACAGCCTAATCCACCCCCTCACCCCCCACACACTATCTAATAATAAAGGCAGCTGTCGCCATCCACTCTTTTTTTTTTTTTTTTTTTTGAGATGGAGTTTCGCTCTTTCTCCCAGGCTGGAGTGCAGTGGTGCGATCTCAGCTCACTGCAACCTCTGCCTTCCCATTTCCAGCAATTCTCCTGCCTCAGCCTCCGGAGTAGCTGAGATTACAGGAGTCTGCCGCCACGTCCAGCTAATTTTTGTATTTTTAGTAGAGAGGGGGTTTCACCATGTTAGCCAGGCTGGTCTCAAACTCCTGACCTCATAATCTACCCATCTCAGCCTCCCAAAGTGCTGGGATTACAGGCGTAAGCCACTGCGCCCAGCCCACCATCCACTCTTTAAGGAACATTACTTCAAAGCATTCTGTAGTTTAAGCACGTGACTGGAAATGAGCTAAGGATTTTTAAAGGTGTGTCTGAGGTGCAGCCAGCTTTAAAATAAAACCTCGCTGACTGTTCCCTCAGAAGTCCCAACGGCCTGTCCTGTGATTCCATGAGAAGGTACCTACCCTATGAAAATCCCAAGGATGTGAAAGACAGAGTTCTTTAAGCCCTTCTCTGCAAAGTGCACTTTCAGATGTCTGCTGATCATTTGAGATCACTAGATTTTTATGCTTTCTGTTGTAGGCCAGGCTGTCTGACAAGGGTGGCTGACTTTCTCACTTCTAACATGCATTCCAGGCTCTGCCATGCCTTTATTACAACAGTGCTCACTGCCTCATTAATTTTTCATCAACAAAATACAGTTTTAAAAGAATTCTACTACGACAGAGGAACATGCATTTCATGGGAAATGGCTTTTACTTAGTGTGGTCTTGTGGAAGTTTAAAAAATAAATGTAAGGCTTTCCAAATCTTTGCAATTCTCCCACCATTCAATCAGTCTATAAAAAGTGAGATTCCCCCCAAAATTTCCAATAATTAGAATCATTCAAAGAGAAATCATTCTTTCTCCCCTCCTTTATTTCCTAAAGTACATTGCAAAATCCTAAATCAAGATGCTCCCAATAAACCAACTCAATTTGGTTTACCAACTCAAAGCAATTCAGTTTGTGGAGAGTGACTTCAGCAATATAACCAGAAGAGGGCATCAGCATACAGCTCTCCAAGAAGGAAGCCACTGAAATAGAAAAGGAAAAAAAAAAAAAAATTAAAAAGCCCAAACCATGTAGTAATAGTAAATGCATAAATCTTGAAATAACACCCTTCTGTTGTGATTTTTTTTTTAAATCTTAAGTGAGTGTCGGCAACTCTCTGTTTGGCCAATCACATTAACAAACTATGTCATCTTTCATGTTGTCAGATGAGAAATGCCAGGTTAAAAAAAAATCCGGCTGGGCATGGTGGCTCACGCCTGTAATCCCAGCACTTTGGGAGGCTGAGGCGGGCAGATCACCTGAAGTCGGGAGTTCAAGACCAGCTTGACCAACATAGAGAAACCCTGTCTCTACTAAAAATACAAAATTAGCCAGACATGGTGGCGCATGCCTGTAATCCCAGCTACTCAGGAGGCTGAGGCAGGAAAATCACTTGAACCCAGGAAGCGGAGGTTGCCGTGAGCCAAGATCATGCCATTGCACCCCAGTCTGGGCAACAAGAAGAAAACTCCATCTAAAAAAAAAAAAAATTCCCCATGGGACCGTTCCAGCAGTATCTATGATCATTGTCATGCAGAGGGTCACAGGAAATCTGTTATCCCTAGGATCAATAATAACAAGTTGGAAAGGCCTGGTACTGTACTTGGAATCCCCTGTAAATTTGGGGGGTAAAACCTCTTTATTGGATTGTATGTACTCAACTTTCTAGAACCAATCAGATTCAACTAGTGAATGCCCATTATATGGCAGATTTTGCTTATGAGACTGAAAATACAATCAAGACATATGACTCCCTAGACCTGTCTTCAATGAATTTATAATCCAGTAGGTAAATCCACCTATTAAGCTATACTATATTAGAAAGTGTGTCAAATGCAAGGAAGGGGCCTGTATAAATGCATGTGTATATGAAGTGTTCGCTCTATGGGTATCACACATGGTATGTAAAACTCAATTAATTCTCTAGCAACAATAAGATGCAGGTAAATACAGATGAAGACTCTGAGGCTTACAGAACGGACAGCTTATCAGAGCTGGGATGGGACCCCAGGCCCATGGAACCCTCAGCCTACACTCTTAACCTTCCATTTTAGAAGAGTGTGCTATTGATTACTTTGTTTATTACAAAAAATTAATATGTGTTCCTTTATGAAAATACTCTCAGTGACCCAGCCTTAGGTTTCCCCTGGCATTGTGATATAAGGAAGAAGTTCTGCAAACCCTATACATTATAAAGAAACCCAAGTGGGGCGGTAAAGTTTCCATCAGGAGCCAACAGAGGGCAGCAACAGACAAACCAACTACCAAAAACATCCTCCTGCGGACACCCTTCATCTCTCCACTGGGACCCTCAAGCCTCGGACAGTGCGGGAGATGCATGTAGCACTCGAGAGCGTCAATTTCTTATCACCATTAAAACAACAAAAACAAATCTCACTATAGAAGAGACTAAAAATGTCCCCCACTGGGATCAAAGTTCACTTAGAAAGTGTCTCTTTTAATAAAGGAAACTAAGGGATGAGGGATGTGGCACTCCTTCTCTAAGACATTTGACATCCGTGGATAGTAAATATGCCTGAGAGCATTTAGCCCAAAGCTAGGAGGATGCTTGCTTTCCCACGGGCTACTTGCAGACAAGCCAGATGTAGAAATGCTAAGTATATGTGCTGGATCTGGATGCACTAGAGTGACAGGGTCCTGAAGGCGGGCCTGCAGCTGTGAGCACCCGCCCTGCACTGGCATGGTTTGTGTTGGTAGAGTGAGGGCTGCCATTAGGGCACAAGTGACAACAGCCACGCCATTGTGGGGGCTGAGGATTGCTCTACTGTGACTGGCACCTAGCGATCAAGCGCTCATTGCTTGTGACAGCATGTCACTCCTGCACTTGTCTGAGATAAGAAGAAGACTTCAAAGCAACCAAAGTACTCCTTCAGCAGGAAGAAGGGGACAAAACATGTAGTTTGATGCTGATCAAAATGCTGCAAAAAATAAAATACTGAAATAAAAAGGCATGAATAAATGAATGTCTAGCCTCTAACTTCTGACCAAAAGGCCCATGTTGTATCTGCGAGCATGGCAGTCTCAGCCAAGGCCACAGTCACATTAGGTAGAACATACAAAATTGCTGTCGTTTAACCACTTTTGACCTACAAAAATGGCAGTCACATGTAGCTTAACCCAATTATATTAAAAGCAATAATGATAATAGCTAACCTTCATCAAGTACTTACTAAGTGCCAGGAACAGACTGTAAGTGCATTCCCCACGTGAACTCATTCAGTCTTCACAGTAAGCCAATGAGGTAGGTTCTAAGATTGTATCCAGTCTACAGATGAGGTTATGAAGGACCAGAGAGGTTAAGTAACATGCTCAACGTCACACAGCCAGGAGGTAGCAAAACTCAGTTTGAACCCAGCCACTCAGTCCAGATCCTCAGAGGAGAGAACATGGGGGAGGGTTTTTTGGAGAAGACAGGCTCCAGGGGTCAACCTCACAATCTGCTTTTCCTTAACAGGTCAGTCAGTACACGTTTGCCATGTGCAGTTATCGGGAGAAGAAAGCGGAGCCTCAGGAACTTCTACAATTGGATGGCTACACTGTGGATTACACCGACCCCCAGCCAGGTACCCACCGACCCTCAAGGCCACGAGCCCACAAACCCTCAACCTTCCCAAATCAATGGTCAACTAATAATTGCTGGGCACTTACTCCATGCTAGGCACTAAGTCAATTCACTAAGGGTTTCAGCTGTGTGCATGACAGTCACAATCCCTGATATTATGCCGTTTCCATCCCGGTTGGTTAAATGCCATCCTAACCTAGTGCTTTGGTTTTACTCAAGGGATTCTCTAATTTAAACCCAAAAAGTAAGAGCATTTTTCTTTTACCTGCCTGTATCCACATCAAATATGGACTCCACCATACAATGCTAAAAAAAAAATTCTGAAAAAGAAGTAGTCCCACATGTACACCAAGGAGTGTGTGTGTGTGTGTGTGTGTGTGTGTGTGTGTGTGTGTGTGTGTGTGTGTGTGTTGTTTTTCACCAGTGATGTGTGGGCTTGGCAGGTTTCAGTGACCAAGGGAGCCTGCCCAATATATCCATTTTCCCTAGCTACAATTCAAGAGATCATAAGGTTAGCTGGTAGCACTTGAAAACCCTCCCTAAATGTCTTTTTCCCTAAGAAGACACCAATCCACAAGCAGAGACAATGAAGCCCTTAAGCCTTATGTAGCTAAGAAAACTACACGAGCGGTAGTATTTCTTAAAAGTTCTACACCGCATAAGTTCTACATCCTGCCCCCTCGCACCTCTCCCCCCACCCATTTTATCTTTTTCCCAGAAAAAAAAAATGAATAGAAATCAGCCTCAAAGAACCTTCAAAATGGGAGGGGGGTGCGAAATCATTTCAGCATATTAATGAACAACAAGCACCAACAGCCCTCTCCCGGAGAAGTTTATTTTTATGCCAAATCTGCACAAGGAAAGCATTTCCAACCATACTGCATTATTTGGCCCAAAACCTTTTTTTCTACTCCCATATTGCTCTTCCACATGCAACAAAATACACATAAAAGAAAAACAGAGTTTGAGAGAAGATGGGGTGCTAACCTGAAAAGGTGTGGCAGGGAAGGCCTTGGGCCCAGCCCACTTAGTAAAATTAGCACCTGCAGAATCTCAACCGAGTGACTGGGCCCAGCGCCACCCCTTCGGTCTTTCATATGTTATTTGCTACTTGCCAGAGCAGAATGCAGAGCTGACCACATAAGGCATGAATTAAATGCTCTGCCTGGAAATCCTTCATGAGCAGAACCAACGAGTTTGAAACAAACAATTTCATGCAACTTCTCATGGAAAGGATGGGGCTCCTGCCTTAGGAAACCAGTCCTTAGGACATTCTGTGATGGTTTGTGTTCTTCTTAAGCCATTGTGTATCCTTCAAAAAAATAGATTCAGTCCTCCTTAGGACTTTTATTTTTAAGTAGAAGGCTAGGGTGAGGAGTGGTGGCTCACATCTGCAATCCCAAGGCGAGAGGATCGCTTGAGACCAAAGTTCACGACAAGCCTGGGCAACAAAGCCAGACATCATCTATACAAAAAAATTAAAAAATAACCAGGGCATGGAGGCACACACCTGTAGGTGTGTGCTACAGGGAGGCTACTAGGGAGGCTAAGGTGGGAGGATTGCTTGAGCCTAGGAGTTGGAGGCAGCAATAAGCTATGATTGCACTGCTGCACTCCATCCTGGGTGACAGAAATAGACCCCAACTCAAAAAATAGAATTGTAAAGAATAATAAATTTTTAAACATAAAATGGGACGCTAAAGGGCCAATATGAGAAGGGAAATCAATACCACCTTATGACAATAATTGCTTTTAAGCCAGTTCATTTTCCTTTCCCCCCATGTGATTGTATTTAGCCCTCAGGGTAATCCCACAAAGTGGATAAGACCAGGATCATTACCCCATTTTGTAAATGAAGAAACTGAGATTCTGAGATATCAAAGGCTATTGTTTAAGACTGCCTGGTGGCTGAGCTGGGACTCCGGGTCTAACCCATGTCACGCTTTGGCACTTGCAGTAAAGCATAGCTGCATGAACAGCTATAGCAAAGCTATGGTTGTTACTTTATCAGATGAAAGCAAAATTATCTTCACTCAGTGGGGAGGGCAGGAGTGGAGAGAGCTATTCTATCTACATGTGTAAGGAGTAACTGTGCACATATATTTTTAAAGCTTATTTCTTTTTACATCGATCCCATGGGATATAATTTATAAATTTCTATACGAAAGATGTAAATGGAAAGATGTAAAATGTAAATCAATTATGTTCTTGAGAATAATAAGCAGCTTCTTCTATCTTTCCATGTGCTAAGTCCTATTTATTCCCCAAGTAATGTCTGATTGAAAACGGAGACTTAAATTCTCTCAGTTGTCATGGGAAAGTCTAACTCAGAATTTTTTAAAGAGTGATTATTGGCCAGGCGCGGTGCCTCACGCCTGTAATCCCAGCACTTTGGGAGGCTGAGGTGGGCAGATCACTTGAGGTCAGGGGTTCGAGACCAGCCTGGCCAACATGGTGAAACCCCATCTCTACTAAAAATACAAAAATTAGCCGCACGTGGTGGCACGCACCTGTAATCCGAGCTACTCGGGAGGCTGAAGCAGGAGAATCGCTTGAACCTGGGAGGCAGAGGTTGCAGTGAGCCAAGACTGCGCCACTGCACTCCAGCCTGGGCAACAGAGAGAGACTCTGTCTCAAACAAACAACAAAAAAGTAATTATTAAAAATAAATGTTCCTGGGCCCCATTTCTAACCTGTGAACCAGAAGTAGGGAGAGGTCAGAATCTTTGTATTTAAATAAGCACTGCAGGGGATTCCTGAACACAGTAACATTTGCCAGCTGGAGAGCCAAGTAATGCACATTTTAACCAATGTCCTCAGATTTGAGGAGTCTCCTCAACTGCTCCCTGAAAGGTGAGTGTGCAAATGGGGAGGACTTCAGACTCTACCTCTCTCCCTCTTTCTCTTGGTTTTATCCAAATTGTCAGTGGATCCACCTGGTGGCGATTTTGTGTGCTAAGAACCCTTGTGGCCTGTTGCTCTCTGCCATAGAAGGGAGGGATGCAATTAATATTGTTGCCTTAGTACCAGCCTACAATCTACGTGGTTCCCCCAGACACAAGCATTTCCACTAAATAAACTCTACCTGTTTGGGTCCTTGACGTGTTCATTTGGTGAACTGGCAAATTATGTAAGTTTCACTTACAAGCTACTCCTTTTAAGCTAAAAATAAAAATGCATCACTTTACCTTTCCCTGTGTATGGTTTGGAAAGTTTGAAATAATCTCAATTTCTATCCGATTAGATAATTAAGCCTTCAAATAAAAGAATATTAATCCAGAATAATTCAATGCCACAGTTTATCAAACAACTGAATTATTCTTATACGACTCATAAAGACCTTTTTTACCCTCATAAATGGACTTTGGCCATGCAAGTTGTTGGAAGTGCAATTCCTTTCCCCTAGAGAGCTGGCCAGCATTCCTTTGCCTGGTCTGCCTCCATCTATTCCCAGACGTGTCTTTTTGTCTTTGAATTGTGGGACTGTGCCCCTCGTTCTCCAAGGAGAGCCCATTTGAGGTCACACATCACATTCTTCAGATTCAGTCCCCAGGAATTGTTGCTTTTTCTAAGACTGATGGCCTTGTGGTTATGACATGTGGATCTTCACTTTGTGGATGTTCACTTTGCTTTCTCCTCTCTTGGTTCTCTTTCATCTGTCGCTCTTCTATCTCCTTCTTGCTTTCCTTGGTGTGTCCTCAGCCTCTGGTGCTTTCTGAAAAAGCCCTGTTGCTCTCTGCTGCTGTGCTTGTCATTGCTGCCATTTCTTTAGATGTTTCTCTTTGCCCTTACCCACTCCAAAATTAGGCTTCATTTTATTGTTAATAATGACTCTTAAGAGAGCTGTTAGTGAGGGCCCAGCCCTGGATTCATGCTTTGGTGCAGTAAAGCACAGTGGTTATAGTCATCAGCTGTGGAGACAAACAGCCAAGGTCAAAAGCCAGCTCTGACACATACAACCCAGCTTTGTGTCCATGGGCTAGTTACCACCTTCCCCATGACTTAGTTTCCTCATCTGTAAAATGGAATAATAGTACTTACATCATAAGGCTGTTGGGAGGATTGATTAAAAATATAAAAACTTCCTGGTGTCTTTCCATCTCTACCTCTAAATAACTGCACAGTGGAGAGGGCTGTCCACTTCCCCAAAGTAACTCCATGAACTGACTTTCTGACGGTAGCTCCAGAAATACAGTATCTCTACCCCAGCAGCAGGCCCTGGGTGAGGGGGAGGCCTTGGGGCTAGTAAAAGTGATACCTGATCGTGTTTGTCCTGGCATTCCCTGACTGTAGCAAAACAGCTTATTCCTAAGGATACCACGAGACTAGGCTACAGGTCTATTGACCTGCTCTTCCTTTTTTAACTCTTTATTGCTCACTTTTCAGGCTTAAAACAACTCTCAGAGCTCTTCTTCCTCCTCCTTCCCCTTTCAGAATTTTCCTTTTTATTGTGCTATTCATTAGGTTCATCAGATTTTCCCAGCTTGCTAACTACACATCATCCTACTCAAATTAGGTATTTTAAAACTTTCCATATGAAATTAAGCAAAATAGTCCCTTATAATAAAAACCACCAAAAATCTTTTAGTAAAGCTTTATTGGTGTGATATTATCAGACCCTCCATATAAAGAAGTAGCTATTTATTGTCCTAAATCCCTGGCCATTCCAAGTGCAAAACTATCAATACACACCCACGCTTGCAGCATAGACACCTCAATAAATTGCATCGGCACAATGAAGAAGTCTTAATGTTACCAGAAATCTTTTCCAATGACAAATGTCAAACAGATTACTGGCTGGACCTCACTGGAAATTTGGGGATGCTAATAACTCATTCATTCTCCTCTTAGTTTTTAATAATTGAGGAGGCGACGAGGAACCTGATGAAGATATGAAGTATTATTTCCAGCTAGAGAATGCTGAGTAATCTAAAATACAGGTTTCTAGAATATGTTGATGGACACAATGTAGCTTTGGCCTGAACCCAAAGAGAAGTTTCCACCTACTTCTCACTAATTTTTTATTTTTTATACTTTAAGTTTTAGGGTACATGTGCACAACGTGCAGGTTTGTTACATATGTATACATGTGCCATGTTGGTGTGCTGCACCCATTAACTCGTCATTTAACATTAGGTATATCTCCTAATGCTATCCCTCCCCCCTCCCCCCACCCCACAACAGGTCCCGGTGTGTGATGTTCCCCTTCCTGTGTCCATGTGTTCTCATTGTTCAATTCCCACCTATGAGTGAGAACATGCACTTCTCGCTAAATTTTAACCTTGAGAACTGCCCATGGAAAAAGATGGATCTAGAGCATATTCATTTATTCAACAAATATTTGTGCACCCACTATGTGCCATGCACTATTCTAGGCTCCAGGGATACAGCAGTAAGCAAAATAGACAAAAACTACCTGCACTTATGAAGCAAAGTAAATTATATAGTTTGCTAAAAAGTAATAGGAGCAAAAAAGAAAAATTAAGCAAGATAAGAGATAGGTCACAAGAAGGGAGGTCAGGGAAGGTCTCAACAGGAATGTGATGTTTAGGAAAAGATACAAAGGAGATAAGAGTGTGAATCATGCAGATACCTGAAAAAAGAGTGCTCCAGGCACAGAGAAAAGCAATTGCAAAGGTACTGAGGTGAGCACATGCCTGGGGTGTTCAAGGAAGAGCAAGAGGCCAGTGTGGCTGCAATGAAGTGAGTACATGTGTGCATAGAGGGAGAGAGAGAGTATTAGGAGAGGAGGTTAGAGGTGGCAGAGGACCAATTCATGGGAGGCTTTCAGGCCTTGTCAGAACCAACGCTTTTCCTCTGAGTGGAACGTGGAACTGCTGGCAGGTTTTGAGCAGAAGAGTGACAGGACCTGACTCTAGTGCTAAATCAGGGACTCTGGCTGCCTTGTGAGCATCAACTATAGAGAATGAGGATGGAGGCAGACAGGTCAGATAGGAGGCTATTAAAATAATCCAGGGATGATCCTGGCTACATTTATGATGGCCGCAACTGGAGATGGAAGAAGTGATCAAATTCTGGTAATGTCCTAACGGTGGAACCATCAGAATTTCATGATTCATTGGAAGTGGGTAGTGAAAGAAAGTAAAGAGTCAGAATTGACCCCAAGACTGGGGACTTGAGTGGCAAGAGAGATGGGCTCAGCTTTGCTGAGGAGGTCAGGGAGAAAGACCAGGAGTTCATTGTTGGGTTTCACAAGCTTGGGATGTCTATCAGATATCCCTGGGGAAAAGTCAAGAAAGATATTCAAGTCTGGAGTCCAGGGGAGAGGTCCAGGTTGGAGAGAGAAGTGTGAAGGCCATCAGCATACTCATGGTACTTAAAGGCTGGTTGGCATCACCATGAGAGAGGGTGCTTCTAAGGAAGAGAAGAAGGGCAAGGACAGAAGCCCAGCATTTAAAAATCAGGAAGAGGAGGAGGAGGAGCCACCAGACAAGACTAAGGAGCAGCAGCCAGGATGGTAGGAGGAAAGTCAGGGTTTCCTCCTGAAAGCTAAGTAAAGAAAGCATCTTGAAGAGAAGGGAGTGCAAATGCTGCTGATAGGTGGGTGGGCCCAATAAAATGAGGGCTTTTAATCAGTCATTGGATTCAGCAATGTGGAGGTCACTGGTTATTCAGCAATGTGTCCACTGAAACCTGGACAAGTTTCAGTGGGGCAGCAGCCTGATTGGAGGGGTTGTAAGGCAGAAAAGGAGGGGAGAGACCCTTGCTACTCAACATGTGGTCCTCACACCAGCGCCATCTGAATCATCTGGGAGCTTGTTAGAAATGCTGCACCTCAAGCTCTGTTCCGGACGTACTGAATCAGAAGCTGCATTTTAACAACATGCCCAGGGGGTTCGTATGGGTACTAAAATTGGAAAAGCCTTGGTAGAGATTTCCCTTTCGTTGTAAAGAGAAGAACAATAGGACAGTAGCTGAAGGGAGAGATGTGGTAAAGAGAGGTTTTTGTTGTTGTTTTGTTTGTGTTTAAAGATGAGGGAGAAAATAGTATGTTTATAGGCAGATGTTTATCCCCCAAGCAGGCAGCCTGCTTGGCAGTTCTATCCCCAGCAGGACACAAAAAGATAAGATCCAGGCTCAGAAATACTTCTTCAACATCACGGTCCCACTCTGTGGACAAGTGAATCTCAGACTTCCCATCCTAAGTTAATCACTACCCCCCTCTTCTGTCCCAAGGAAAAGCAGCAGAAACTGCTTTTTCAAAGGCTGAGTCCAGTTGAGAACATCACAGCTCAGCTTAGTAGAAGTTGTTACTCCCTTTTCTTCCAGGTTTGGAGGGTGGCCGAGCCTTCTTCAATGCTGTCAAGGAGGGAGACACCGTGATATTTGCCAGTGACGATGAACAAGACCGCATCCTGTGGGTCCAGGCCATGTATCGGGCCACGGGGCAGTCACACAAGCCTGTGCCCCCGACCCAAGTCCAGAAACTCAACGCCAAGGGAGGAAATGTACCTCAGCTGGATGCCCCTATCTCTCAATTTTGTAAGTAAATATGCCGTTTTACAAAAATAGCTCTGTAGAGTAAAGTAAACCTTCCAAAGTTGAATTAGAAAACCTAGTTGCTTTTATACTTAAAATTTATAAAATCATGTTTGCTGAAAACATATAGTGAATTCAGGGGGAAAGTTGGGGCAAATGTTAGATGAAAGTAATTTTAAAGTGCAATACTTGACCTTCTCCCACAAGCACTAAATGAAGGAAAGTGTATTTTAGGTGGATTTTTATCTCTGTTTTGGTGAGAGTACAGAATTCACAGCCAAACATGTATTTGTTTGAGTCCTTCAAATATAGTAGATTATGTATGTCCTTGCTTCATTTCTTCCTATTAAAAGTAATTTAAAAATAGGGTTGATTTGAAATCAACTTAAATCTGCAATTTAGAACCATTTAAAAATAAATGATGACATTATCACATGCAGCGAAAAAAAAAAAAAAAACACAAAACATGGTACCTAAAATCCCATTCCGAGCTAAAATACCGAAGACCCAAAAATGAAACTGTCTCCTTAAACAGCCCCAGTTCATATTCGAGTTTTTTCTCCTCTTACCTCTGCATACATTTAATTTCTTGCCCCTTTTCCATGTCTTCTTGCTACCTAAAATGGCTTTTATCTATCAATACTTCTGATACACAGGGTGAGGTGAAAGCCAGTACATGTTTGGAAATATTTATTAAAACAAAGAAAATGGAGAAATAAAGTAATTCATTTTCGTTCCAAACATTCATTCTAAATAGAGTCTTTTGCTTTACCCTGAATATCAAGTCAATCAGAGATGACACAGGTACAAGTCATTTTTAGCAATAATCATGATGATTTATTACTTTAGTATGGAATTCACTGATTCATTCTAGGTCATTGAGCAACTGTCTAGAAATAAGACATGCTAATGAGAAGGACAGACAAGGTACCAGCTCTTATAATACCTGCATCCCAGTGGGGAAGCCTAGATAGTAAACAAGTGAACAGATAAATAAGAGAGCTTCAGACACTGGTAAATACCATGAAGAATGTCATTTAGTGGTGACTGAGTGAGAAGGAGAGACATTAGACAAACAAAGAAGCTTTCCCTGAGTTTAGGTTCAAAGGATAGGTAGTCAGCCCCACAGATATTTGAGGAAAGAGAATTGCAGCTGAAGGAAAACAAATGCAAATGCAGAGACTTAACCTCTAACACAGTGCTTGCACGATCTCTCCTCTGTTGCTCTTAAACAGAATATGGATGTGGGTGGAATAATTTTGCAGCTGTAACTACTAAATAGAGGTAAACTTGTATTTCAGTGAATTCTACTGCCATGTCCATTTCTGTCCAACAAGACTATATTCTTACACCTTGCAACACCCTTGTTGATCAGGAAATACAACTTCTTTTGGATCACAAATTCTGTCTATCAGATGCTCCCAGGAATTCCTGTCCAGTACTGATGGTGATGCATGCCCTTGTGGAACAGTGTAAATAATCATATAATGGCTGTGAGTTTCCACACAGAAAATCATGAAAGAATAAGAAAGAGATTGCCCACACCTACCACCAAGTTCTCCACTCTTGTATTCTCTAACATCTTCCTGCACTTAGGTTTACTTGAGAGCAGTAAAGAGAGTAATAGTTATTAGTCAAGATAAATCATACCCAGTATTTGTTTAATTGTTGTGTGTTTTTTTTAAAGTATGACAAAAATCCCTCCTTTCACCTTGGGCAACATGCTCCTTTGTAATTCATTTGGAAACAACACATCCTATCGTAACCTCTTGAAAAGAAGTTACCCCCTGTATCAGAAAAAAATTCTAACTATAATCACCATTCAAATCAACCTCATAAAGCATGTATCTCAGGTGATATTTGGAAAATACTGGTCTTATTTCCAAATAATCTTCATTTCTTCTAAAGTCATTTCACCTTACATTCAGTGTCTCTGTTCTATCATCTGCCCAGATTAAGAAACTGCTACATGGTTTGCTATTGACCCCACTTTTTCCTCACTAGTATAAGATGAAGGACATTCAGGAGTAAAATTAGAGACAAGAAATCGATTAAAAAAGAAAACCTGTGATGGAAGCTGCTGAAGAAGAGATGTCTCTTCATGGAAATGCATGGGGGCTCTTGATTTAGATTTCTGTCTGTGGATAGGATTCATTTAGTTGTGAAATTAGAACACTAGTTGTTAGGCATCAGCAGAAAGACTCAATTGAATACACACAGCTTGATGTGTATCACTACTCTAGTTGAAATAAGGAACTTTTGTTAAATGGAGCATCCAAAGCAAACTCCTAAGAGTTAGAATTTGCGGGGGGGGGGGGGCGTAAATGATATCATCCCTAGGGAATATGTAAAGTAGGCTGAGAAATGAGTGAGAAAACCAGATCATGCATGCCATTGGGATTTATCAGTACCTAGTGGTAGATTTACCTTCTTCTGTACTGTCTCCTTTATTACTGCCGAGGAACGGGAGTTCTTCAGAGAGCATGAGGCCCTGCTACATCTACCAGGTTCTAAAAGAACAAGCCACTACAATCAGCTATGGAGACTGTGTAATACAGGAAACACCTTGCACATACACAAAAATATGAATGGCACCCATTGAGTTCTGCAGTGCCAAATCTGCACAACTGTACACAGTGGCCATGTAATAAATGGCAGCCCTTACCCAGAACTTCAGTCTAATAGTGTGGATCCCAGCCGTCCCATGGTTACTTTATTATCCCTGCAACAGAGCTTCAACACTGCTCCAAATTCTATCTATTGCTAGTTTAAGCACTTAATAAAAACTGCAGCCAGAGTACCAGCCAGTGTGGCTTCTGTTCCTATAATTTACAAGCCATCAGAGACAACCAGTTAGGATTTAATCAACCCAACCTTTATGCCTGAGCATCTACAAAAAGATCAAGAAAGGAACCAGGAATTTTACATTCCATGGTATCATTGGGTAGTTATGCACAGCAACCAAAAGAGAAAAAAGTGTCTAGATATGAGGGAATACAGTCTTCCCTCAGTATCCATGGGAAATTGGTTCCAGGACCCCCTGCAGATACCAAAATCCATGAATTTTCAAATCCCCTTTATAAAATGGCATGGTATTTTCATATAAATTATAAACATCCTCCCATGTAATTTGAAACATCTCTAGATTACTTATAATACTGGATATAATGCAAATGCTCTGTAAATAGTTATTACACTGTATTGTTCAGGGAATAATGACCAAAAAAAGGTCTGTACATGTTCAGTATGGATGTAATTTTTTTCTGAATATTTTCAATCCACCGCTGGTTGAATCCATGGATGCAGAACCCTTGGATACTGAAGAGCTGACTGCATAATTGTTAGTGGAGTAAGCCACAGAATGGTGGTTAGTTCATAATTACTTCACAGCTGCTGTAATTTGTAAAATTCAAACCGTCAGTACTAAATAGATCAAGCCTTACACATGGGTAACTCAGTCAAACCCACAGTGTTGATTCATACTTACCGTGACCAAGTCATCTTAGTTTGCCCAGGACGTCTCTCCTTTTAGCACTGAAAATCCTGTGTCCCAGGAAACGCTTCAATCCTGAGCAAAGTAGGACGGATTGGTCACCAGGTACTACCACGCAAGAAAGATGAAAAACAGTCATAACATAGTTGTAAAGAACAAATTTTCATTCTTCACTTACATTTGGTTGCCAATCTATACACTGATTTATTTTAATCAAGTCACATCACAAAAATTAAGTCAATCACAGATTCTCTAGCTAACAAAAAATGTAAAAAAAAAAAAAAATCAAGTATTGCATTTTAAAAAGGTTTCCTTGACTTCCAAAAAGGTAAGGGTCATTGTTAAGTACTTAACTCTGCACACATCTCATTAAATCTTGTTTTTGAATATTTGTTCAAAGTACTTGCCTTTCTTGCTAGTGAATAATTTTTAAGAACAACAATCTTTCAGTGACTTAACTCTATAATCGCTTTATTAGTATTTACAAGACAAAAGGAAGCTACGTAGAAATGGAAAAATACATAGAGAAGGGAAGCAATATAGAAATATTTTTGGGGTAGAGAAAAAGAAACACTCCAGTCTTGTCATGTCACTGTCTGTTTAAGGGAAACTTAAGAATGGACCATTTTTATAGTTTGGAAAACTTGGGAGTAATTGTGAGTTTATTTGGGTCTTTCTAAATTCAGTTTAACAGTTTTTATTTTTTGCAATTTCAAAAGCTCAGTTTTAAAATGAAAAGACACTTCGAGAAGAGTGGAGTGGGGTATTTATGTGGAACTGTAAAAACTGAAAAAAATAGATCCTGCTATTCATTAGTTTGTGTGTGACTCTACAGAGATTTTTGGGAGGGTTTCACCAACCTTTAAAACTTTTTTGTTCTTTTGTAGTTTTTTTGTGTGTGTCATTGTTGATTTAATTTTTTTCTTTTTTGTTAAAATTTAACAAAATTAAGTCAGCACCTAGCTATACAATGTTTTTAAACAAATTCTTGCAATTCCCCGATTTTTAAGGCCAATGCTGCTTACCTTGGAAATGATGTCAATCTGTAGCTGAGTGTTCCACGATTTATTATGCTGAGTGGCCTCTCATTGAGATACCTTATCCCCTGTCCATTATGTGTTAGTGGAACAGTAAAAATTAGTACCTCAATTCTCATTTGGATTAGGGTGGGGTGGGGGAAGAGGGTATTTTAAGCTTTGACATTTGATCAATGGTTATTTAATATATCACTTGCAATGAGTCATTTTAATGTCTGTTTCTCAACTAATAACTGTTAATCACATCATAGAACCCCAAAGCTGGGTATTTTTGAGAACTGTTCTATTTTTGCTACCACCTGAACGTCTTCAACAGTTAGGGGGATTTGGGTTACTGTTGGTTTGGGGGAGGTTGATTTTGTTTTTTGTTTTGTTTTGTTTAAGTTTTCTTGTTCAATCTTTGCTCGAACCCAAGAACTTAGGCTGCTAGGTTAGAACTCCTGTCTGCTTTCCTGAGCCTTGTTGCTAGTCTTTATGTTATTCTGGTTTGTTCCTTCTTACCCTGCTAACTTCTAGCTGGACTGAAGGGTAAGTGCTCCCCTATAGCTAGCACAGCTCAGATAATCAGATTAGATTATCTGACACCTGCAATGTGCTTCCCTCCCCCTTAAATCTTCCTCATGTCTAGAATTTGTAGTACAACTTTTCATGTTATTTTCCTGACCTTAGGTTTGAAATGTAAGCTTCCATACTGAAACTAGGATGCATGTGATGTGTGCATAATTGCCTCCTCTCCTTGGCTTTCATATTGGCATCAAATGATCCTCTGAGTAAAGCCAACCATTAACGTCTAATTTTTTTTCATTCCAAGAATATTAATTAACATCACAACAAAATGGCAAATAATGCCTTTGTTTCATGTAATTCACAGCTACCTGACTGCTTAATGCCTGAAAACAGATCATTTTGCACTCTGATAATGTGCTGTTGTTGTTGTTGTTGTTGTTGTTTTTCCTTTCCCATTCCAAAGATTCGAATGGTCAGAGTACCAGTGGTGTGGTAACCATGGATACCTTAAAAAATAAGTGGGGTAGGAAACCCAGAGTTGTTAACTGAGCAAGACTAGAAGAAATTGCAAAATACAATTAAGAAAGCAAATGCATTATTTGAACACTAAAGAGTTCATTCTAGCTGGCTTAAGGGTGTGCTCTAATGTAAGACCCAATAGAGGATTAATTTTGAAAGGAGAGCTACAATACATGGAACTAGCACACACAAAAACAGGAAATTAAGGACAAGACTGAATCCATGTCACTCATTTACAAATGCTTTGGATTCACAGTCTTACAATGCCAAGGTATTAACCTTGGTATCAAGGTTGACATTTAACCTCTGGTATCAAATGTCATTCTGCTACTCCCCCAAGAACAATGACAACAATAACTTTTTTGACATCATTTGTATTTGTATTAATTTTTCTAAAAATACCCATGTAAGAGAAAAAGGAGACATTAAAACTTTAGAAAAATATTTCTCTTAACTATTCGAGTTATTAATAAAAAAGAACACATACTTCCTTAATTTATATAGGAAAAAACTATCAACCAAAAATGTGTTGAGGAAAGACTTGACGTTAGACGGAGTTAGAAAAATTGGTCAAGAGAGCAGGCAACTATGTATTTGAGTATTCTGAATGCTAATTTAGAAGAACTAGGTCATATCATTTCTCCTGACCATTTAATGATAGTCTTTTCTTCAAATTTTTTTTGTTTCCTTCTTTAATTTGCTTTTTCCTCCCTTTCTTTCTTTTTTCTTTTATTTTGCATAAATGTACCCCTGGCTAGCAGACAGACGTTTTTCACCACTTCAAGCAGATACTTAATTTGACTTTACTTTTCTTGAATGTCTGATGAGGCATTTTAAAAGGCTTATCATAGAATGTAAACTTAGTGGGAATTTAGGATTTTGCTATACTTTTTTTAAAGAATGAAAGAAAGGATGGATGAATAGTTAACTGAATGAATTCTGTTCTAAACAAGTTTACATGTATTTGCACAACAACGCATTGCTATCCTAGTAGATTTTTAAACAATTGTTTGCCTTAATTCCTTTCTGTAGTTTTATCTCATAAAATTTTGCTATATCTTCTTATATTGTCAACTTGCAGTTGCTACGTTGCAGGAATGCAATATCAAATAATTAATTCAATATTAACATAATTTGTTTGACCCAAAACCATACTGTAAATCATGTCCCTTTTCACTGTAAAAGTAAATCACTTTTTAAAAGAATATGTTCCCACAATCAGGTCTAAAATTTTCCAAACACCATGATTTGATCTAAACAGACCATATTAAATGAAGGTTTACCTCACTGTTAACTACGTAAGACATATTTAACATATTATTCACTAGTTAATTGAGTATTTTCATGCCATATAGTGAGTTATAGTAAGATTATTAATCAGGTATAGAAAATTTATTTTTGCTCATGTTGGAGTGAGTGCAAAAACATCGAGTACTCTGTAAGTTAATATAACTACAGCAGGAGAAAACTAAAATCATTTATTTATTTTGCTTGAGATCTTTGACAAAATCTCTGTTATGATTTTTACTCAAAGCAATTGTCTGACAAATAATTATAGAAATTAACATTGAAATAAACATCACACACTTATCCTTTTGGGGGTATTGCCATAGTAGTTTTAAATTCAAGATTTCTGCATGATGCAATGTGAGCCTTGAGAGCTTCCAAAGAAGCCATCCTCTTTTGGCCATTCATATTACCCCAGTTTAGCTAAAGGGACCACGAAGCAATTAAGTTGTTTCTCAATTAAGTGGTCCATTTGTGCCTCTGGGCAGCAGGCATGTGAGGACCAGTCTTTTGCTTGCTGTGCAGAGCTCAGGCAGGGCACAACATCCCCTGGTTACTTGACTATTCCAAGGAAAGCTCTTCTAGAAAAATCCATAAACAACCAGCTGCCATCAGTCATTGTCATTTCTTTATTTCATGTCTTCTGATGAGGCTGACTACTGTCATTGTTCGTTATTGTCCAAACCATACATTCACTCTTGTACTGTCAAGCAGATATGACAAGCACACATTTTCCGTATAAGAGAAATACAAAGTCACCTTTTAATTTGCAGTTTGGGTTCACAGATGACTTTAGAGTTGCATTAGCTATTCTCTTGCCTCTAGCATCCATCAGGAGTAGCAACAGCCATAACTGTGCTCTAAATTCCAATGTTAAAACAGCTACCTCTAGCTTATTACAAAAGGGATTCATGAGAGAGAAGAGCCTCTTTCAGACAATTTGTTAGTAATATAATCATAATTATTTTCAACAGTGAATTTTTCACTAGCCCAGAAAAATTTCCAAAATGTAATATCACAGAATAAAAAGGTAGATTTGACCTTTTATCTTCAATCCCTAAGCTGTTAGTATAATAGGAAAATTTCAATAAAATAAAAATTTGAAAACTACATTATTCTTCCAGGAAAATTACATTTATTTGCTAGACATTATTGCAAGTCTATCTAAAAATATATATGTTAGAAACAAGATCATATAAGTGTGCTTGATACTGAGATAATAGATCATGAAAAATAGTATATGGTTTTCATTTGTGAGGGAGGAAAAAAGGAAAAGACTATCAAACATGAAATGAACCCAAATATCATGATCAAAGAACAACATAGATGACAGAGTAGTCAATTAGGGACCATACCACTTGAATTTTAATAAAGTAGATTAAATGAGATGAGAGTATAAAACCCACATAATAGTATCACTTTAGGAACCAGTGTTTTCCCAACATTCCTTAAATGTCAAGCCAAAATTACTTCCAAGCAAACTTGGGGCAAGGTTTAGACTAGTTTCCGCTTGAAAGTGCACCTGCTCTCCGTAAGTCTGTATGTTCATCAACCTGCATCTATGTCATAGAAACCATTGACAGTGCTTGAAATTTCTTAATGTCAGTACCAATAGCAGCGTTATCCATCCAAGCTTAGTTTGAAGTCAGTCTCCTATGCCCATGTCATAAAGGACTGAAAAATCCTTATGCAATTAAACCCCCGAAGTGAAACAGGTAGCAATGTTTGCAAGGTGTGTTGAATTATGCCCTAGCTGCAGAGCCTATAAAATCATATAGCTCACTGTCAGTACATCAGTACATCTGGAGCCCTTGAAGACCAAGCAGGACTTAGGAACTACTTCCTAAGACTAGGTCTGACACAGGTAAAGATGATTGAAATTGGTTCTTAAAATGTCAATCGTTGATTTCTAGAAAAATACGGTTAATGAAAAAGAGCATTAGGATGCATCTCCCAAAGCAAGAGATCATCCAAACATCACTGGGGTTTTAAGCAGCCACTTTACCCTCCTAATTCCTTTTTGCTTAACCCGATGTTCAAATTCATTTTCATTCTCTTGACACATGCCAAATATTGGCAAAGGAAGTGATCCCAGAATGTCCTGAATTCAGGAATTGACTCTTTCATACTGCTTGCTCTGGGCTGTTTTCCCTCTGCTAATGTCAACATTGGAGTTTTCTTTTTCTTTAATCAACCAATTCCAACTGTTTGTACAGGGAAAAAATGGAGTTGCAAGGAGCATTTATTTTTTTATGTTTGACACTGTGGAAGAACAGACCGGGACAGTGCAAGAATGACTGTATGGTGTTGCTTGGGAAGCGCCCACAAGTTCTTTGAAACAGAATTTGGAACAGCTGGACCACTGCAGTGTTTTATTTTAAAATAGACAACATATGTAATGCATATGGTCCTAGACATGTATGGAGACACAGGCAGACAATCTGAATGGTATCCAAAGACACCTGCACCTAGAATTCTGTTTCCTTCTATAAGATTTTTTTCCCCTAAGAGCACATGTTCCTACTTTTGGATTTGCAAGATACCATCTGAATCCCCATGTGTGTGACTCCTTAATAAAGTCAATGAGAAGTTTACTGGGATGAAGGTGTCAGAGTAAGCCAGTTAATAACCCCTCCTGAGGACCTGGCTCCTCTAAGAGCTGGCAGGGGAAATAACAGATTAGAAACTTGCCCTCACAGAACATGTTATCTACCAAGGGATTCAATTTTATGTATGTGTCTTGACCACAGAGAAACTGGAAAATAACCCAATGAAAACACAGAAACAGGACATAGGAATTGGTTATACAGGGGCAGAAAAGAAAAATAAAGCAGAGAGATAGGGAAGGACTCCCAGCTTCCTAGAAATGATAAGGTTTAAGAAGCAAAGAAGGAATAGAACATTAGCTATAAATGCAGAGACATCCTTGGCTCACTAACTACTTGAAACAAACTGGCTTTTCAAACACTAAAGATCCTGTTTGTTTACTCCTAGCTAATGTTTATTGAGCCCTTAATATATGCCAGGGCCCTAGGTACTTTCCAGGTACTTCTCTTCAGATCCTCTCAACAGTCCTCTGAAGGTGGACTTGAATTTAACTTCATTTTACAAATGAGGCCAAGGAGGCCCAGAGGCATTAAGCAACCTGCCTCATATCATATACCTAGTGGTGGCAGAGCTAGTCTCAAATCTAGTGTTTGTGACCTGCCTATGCCCAGCCACTTAACCACTTGCTATGCTAGCTCCCATTAAATAAGCCGTTTCCAATCAATGTAGTATATAAATATGCCATAAAATCAAGAAAGAAAAATATTTGTTAATAGAGTGAGTTTCTGTATTTATTCTGAGAAGATAAACTTATGATTTTAACTAATATGTGCTTAGTGCCTACTACGTGCCAGGTACTATTCTAGGGCTGGGAATGTAGCACAAACAAAAAATACCGAAACCCCTGCTTGGATGAGCTTAAACATCAGATTTTTTTCATTAGCACCTTGAAACAGCACTCCTGGCTTACTCCTCCTTCTTTTTTTTTTTATAACATAATAAGCTCAGTAAATATAATAAGCTCAATGAAACTCAAAGATTTTGTGGGAGCCAGCCACCCTTGTAAGCGCTCTTGAGTTGTGGGAACCATTAGAATAATGAGCCCAATTTTGAGTAAATGATAATTTGGGGCAAGTAAAATCCAGAGGTGGCTCGCTTTACTTGCTGGAAATTCCCACTGCATTAAGCTCCATTCCACACATAGTGTGCAAGGGATCTTAAGGATCATTAAATTACAGCCTATAACGGCAGGAAGGGAACTGAAAATTCAGCTCCTCTTACACAGAAGGCAACTGATGCTCAGAGATAAACAATTCAGCCAGCATCCTACAGTTTTTTAAAAACAGAGCTCAACCTAAAATCTAGACCTCCTAGATCCAGTCCTAGGCTCATGCTACAAGTGGATGGGGAGAAAGAAGAAAGAAAGGAAGAAGGGAAAAGGAAGTTTTATTTTGACAAGGTTACTTTTTGAAAATGAAAGCAGGCTGATTTTAGGCTTTTCTGTAAGCTTGCTTTAAAACGTTAGTAAAAAATGAAATTGTTCTTTAGACTTCGACTAGAATTAGCACCACAAAGCTGCATTCATTGAGCCATTGTGATGGACTGAGGGGTGGGGAGTGGGTCTGAATCCAGGTCTCCATAAAGGAGCCAAGTCGCCTTTTCAGATCCATTTCCTGAGTGGCCAGCAAAGTGAAATAGGTCATCAGCAAAGTTTTCAAGAGTTTCAACAAACAAACAAAGAGAAAGAGACTTGAAACATGTGCCATATTTTTTTAACAGCTACAAAAGAGCCCCCTTCTCTCTGAGCTAAATGACCAGTTGTACCATCATAATTGAAGGCAATAAAATAGCCAAGCCAAACTGGCAGAGTAAGGCCCCGGCCGGTTTGTCAGTTTGCAGCCTTTTCTGAGAAACCCGAGAGCAAGAAGCTGCTGCTAGCCAAAATGCCTGATCTATCTGTTAAAATTGGGAGGCGAGGGATGGATGAGGCTTTTTATGAGGATGAAACAGCATGAGCAATTCGTGTGTACCCCATGCTTAGTTTCTCCTGAGTTAAATTGATCTGGGACTGACAGGTTGGAGGTGAGAGGGCAGAGTCTATCAAAGGCGATAGAGAAATGTCACCTGGATTGCAGGAGTGTCATTATGCCAGGGGAGACTACAGTTGGAGCAGGTTTAAGACACTTGCCTTGGGCCAGAGGAGTCACACACATGCCCTAGAAGCAGCTAGCTTTCCCAGGAGCAACAACTTCCTGGCCATCCTAAGTCAAAGAAGAAATGTAGTTTGGAGACCAAACAACCGAACTGAAAGAAGCCTCCTAGATGAAGCAGCCAACCTCAAGTTGAAAGCACTTTCCTGAGGATAAATCTGAGGCAGTTAATGCAGCAAGGAGGATTCTCTCAGATTCTCTAATATAATTCCTGCACATGTGATATCCTTTCCAAAAGCTGTGTTTTATTATTCTAATGGAGCGATTTGGCTGTTAAAATACACATTCTTCAACTTGCCTTCTGGAAACCGTTGCTTCTGCGAGTCTTGGGCATAAACGCCACATCTCGTTCAAACAAGGACCACTTGCTGCTTCTATGAAAAATGACAACGTTTTTTTAAAAAAGTCAAACAATAAGGAGGTATAAATCTGACCATACCATGGATTTAGGTTTGAATGATTTATTAATACAATATCAATAATAATAGGAGAAATCATCATCTGGAAGTGACACTGCTAACCATAACCCAAGCTTACAGCCATACCCCAAGCATGGGAGAGGAAAAAAAAAAAGCTGCCTGGGACTGAGGCCACACATGAAAATGTTATCCAAACTACTCCCAAGTCAGAAATCGATTTTTCCCGTGTCCTGACAGCATCGCTAGTTCCTGGCAGGTCCCCGTATTCCAGTAAGATGTTTCATGAAAAAGGATGAATAAAATCTTTTGCTAGATTTGATAGAAGATTCTTTTTCTCCAAAGTCTGCGTATCAGGAGAGTCAGTAAAGATGAGGTGGAGTGAGCCAATTTCTTTAATGGAGAGCACCTTCATTTCTACCTCTTTAGGATTTGCCTGGACACACACGAGTTGAATTCTCTGAGTTATTTTGCCTGTTGAGTATAGTGTATTTTAGTTACACATGTTGAGATTAATTAGTTAGCCCTTAGGAGGTTTTGCCTACAGCCTTCACCCCGTAAGGAAAAGTGTGAATACATTGAGACTATTAATTCACAATAAATGGCAGATCATAGCCCTTGCTGAGTAAATTTGTTTGTCTCTTTCCTAAGCTTTGCTAACTGAGTAAGCACACTATAAGGAAATGTCCTTTATTTTCACAAACTAAATTCCCATTTAACTTAATCTCCAGGTTTCAATGAAAATCGTTTTTTTTATTTTTAATTTTGCAGGGTGGGGACTCAAACCTTTTATGAAACCAAATTGGCAATGGGGATTTGGAAGAAGACGATATAAATATTGTCACTTTGCTGAAAATCAGCATAACCCTTTTTCCAGATAATCCCAATAATTGCAGAGAAATTGCTGTAGACATAACCACTGGAATGGCAGAATCTATTAAAAACCAGCAAAGCTAAATAGGCTATCTTAAGCAAAGATCCGATCTGCTTTCAGTGTTTGGTGAAATGCAGGCGAAGTTACGGTCTTATGCTTAGTTTTTAAAGAACAACATAAATGCACTGGAAATGTGATCATTTGATAAACATGTTGATGCCAATATCTTCTTGCCTAAATGCAATAAACTCACCAGTAAGTGATGCAAGTTGACAATGGGAGGTAAAAAGAATATCTTGGGGATGTTGGTGGGAGGCAACGGGGAAACAGCTAACGTTCATAATGTCTAGTGAATTCCTGTGTATTTGAAATGTCAAAGAAAATGTGATGTGTTTCTCTAAATTGTGTCTCTCTCTACATGTATAAATGAACAGACGCAGATAGAGCTCAAAAACATGGCATGGATGAATTTATCTCTTCCAACCCCTGTAACTTTGACCACGCTTCCCTCTTTGAGATGGTACAACGCCTTACTTTGGATCACAGACTTAATGATTCCTATTCTTGCCTGGCAAGTATATTCTTTGGTCTACAGCAATTTAAACATAACATTTTTTTTCATTTAAATATTTCTCTACCTTTATGTCAGAAGCTCTTTTCTCCATTACAGAATCCCTTTAACAATTATAAATGTGTTCCCGATTTCCTGGGTTGAGATAGTTTTACTTACCAAAGAAACAAGACTGAGCGGGAGGAAGTTATCAGTAGAAACAGATCCAATTCCCCAGCCTCCCTATCTTAGCTTCCCCCTTTTCAGCTGCTACATGAGAAATATTCCCAAGAGGGTAATCGAGTTTGGCACCTGCTTGTGGAGAACTTGTAAAAATTGCCTCAGTAGCTTAGAGTTTAAGATGCCCTTCCCTCCCCATCCCAGATCTGGTAATCCTATCTCATTACATGAATGTATTCTCTTTGTGTATTTTCTTAAAGGTTAAAATGATTTGTAAATAAACTTTATTTTTCATAAGCTAAATTGATTTGGGTTTGTTTGTTTGTTTGGATGGCTTTTTTTTTTCTTCACAATATTCACAGCATTTTTTCACCCTTTCAGGGAATTTTTTATGGTGCTTTAGTTATTTGGAAATTCAGCTATCTATCCAGCAGGAGTATCAATATTTCCTGAAATCCTATTTTAAAGCTAGATTTAAATGATTTAAATTCAAGGGAGTGCTATTATATTTTTACTGGATTTCTGAAGATACATTTTTGGCTTTAAACTATCAAATTCAAACGCCTAAAAAAAGACCCAATTTACTTCTTCCTCAAGCCATAAATTGTTATTTCATTTCTTAAAAGTAAATGCTATTAATCCCACTTTATAGATGGGAAAGATGAGGGAAAATGATGAAATGTCTTTATATAGAGGAAAATTCTCATCCCTGATTCTAAACACTAAAGTTGAGAAGAATATCTCTATGTAATATTTATACTATATAATAAGTAGGGTTAAGATATTATTGATACTAATATGTATAATGACAATCTTTCTTTTTTCTAATTTTTATTTTAAATTTCTTTTTTTGTACCAAAAGCCAAGATATAAAAAATTGTAGATAAAATAGTCTTAAACACAGAAACAGAATTATGTGGAATAATTTATTAATCTGTATCTCATGAAAGATTCATTGATTATCTCAGGTTTAGAATTCCTTCATCAAAAGGATCTGAACTTTGCCAAATTGGAAAGGAACACATCACTTTGACTTAAAAAAAAAAAAAGAAAAAGAAAAAGAAAAAAGCTTACCTTGCATTGCAAGGCAATTTTTCTCAAATGTGTTTTGTACAATTATGTGATTGTTCACATAATTATAAATGGCATTCATTAAACTTGTAAGAATGTGCCTCTGAACTTAAATCATTCCCTTTTATATATAATTACTATTCCCTTAAGGAATTTTTTTGAGGTATATTATTTCCAAGACTTTTTCACATTATCATTTTTTAAAACAATTTTCTTTGTTTTGAGATTCACTGTGAAGGAGAGTTTATAAATGCTCTCTAAAAAAATTAAACCAGAAATGAAATATTAAAACTTGCTTTCCATTAATTACTTATAGGCTTAAAATTATGGTCCAGAATCTAAAATTAATTATGAATAGCATAAAATAGCTTCCTTCCCCATTTGTATACCTGTGTATATTAGTCATTATTCCAAAATTTCAGAAAATAACAGAAATTAAAAAGGACCTTATCTCCTGCCTCTGTATATTCCATTTTCTCATTATTACAATCTTTTTTTCAGTTAGTTTTGGAGACCGACCAGCAGGGATACATAAATTTTTCTGTGTCTTCGACTGAGTTCCTAATTGATATTTCTTCAACTCTTTTCAAAGCAGCTATTTTGGCATCTACAAAAGACTTGGTGTCATCTGAGTCGTAGAAAATATATTTTAATCTTTCACAGCAGTGTTGTTTCTAAGATTTAGCATTTGGGGTAGCAGATGGAGTGGCAAAGAAGTTGCCTATAGGGGCAGCCCACTGCCTCGACTACTCTCCGCCCTCTGCAGTAACTTATAATTTGAAACAGGAAAGATGCCGTCTTTCGTTGGATGCATCACTGAGCTGCATGTTGTCAATTGAAGATTCCCAGATCCCTAATACAAGATTAGAGTGTTGCAAAGGCCTCTCTCGCTGTACTTCTGTGGCCTCTACCTGCCCCCTAGTCACTTTCTCTTTTTGCCTTTTCTCTCCCAAGATGGAGCAATATTCAAAAGATGACTCAGAGAAGACCCTCAAAGTAAAATTAAGTTTATATTTAAAATAGCCCCAAATTTCCAGCTTAGAAAGTATCACCTAAATTGGTTTATTTCTTGCTTTGAACAGACACTGAAACCAGAAAACACAATTTTATTTCAGGCTCTGCTTAAGGGTGACCTTGAGTGGCAACTCACTTGGCCTTTCTGAGCACCTGTTTTCTTAAGTGCGTAATGGGGCTAGCAATTTCCATCCCATCATGCCACCAAACCTGCTCTAATTTGCAGATCTGAATTCCCATTGTCTTGTATAGCAGAGTTTGGACTGGTCCCATAGCAAGCAAATAAATAATAAGAATACAAACAATTACCAGAAGAGAAAATAAAACTCTAAACCAGGACACAAGAAGTTCCTCTCAGTTTAATGGAATTACATCTGATTCACAACTTGAAAACTAAGCCATGCTGTTCTCTTTGGAGAGTTGCGTTATTACCTTCATTTGAAAAATTTAAAAAACACTCTTTCCAAAGTGAAAGGATTTATGAAGTCCTGGCATGTATGTAGATCAACCCTAAAATTTCTTCATGCTCTAGAGTAGAGAAAACAAGAAGACTTGGAATATGACAGAGCTGGATTTGAGTCCTGCCTCTGTTTTGTATTATCTGTGTGAGTCACTTAACGACCAGGATTTCCATTTTCTTGTCTTTAAAATAAACCTTCTCTGTCTACCTTACAGAGTTGCTATAGGGCTCAACTGAAAGTTCTCTGTTAAGTGTAAAGCTCTATATCAATGTAGAGCATTAATGTTATGATTTCCTCTTATCAGTAACCACGACTTTGCCACATCCCCACCCCAATACTCCTTTAACGTGTATGGTTCCGTGTTCAAGCAGTAGGTGAGACACTGTTTCTGGAACCAAGCTGTCTGCTAATCCCCCTCCATCACTCACTAGAAAATTTTATGCCCTTCTTGAACTCAATCTTTCCATCTTTATAACAGGGATAACAGAATGTACCTCATAGGTTCCACTGTGAGGACTAAACCGCAATATGCTGTGCACAGTGGCTGGCACATAATAGGCAATCAAGGAGTGTTAGCTCTGGCTATTTTTCAGTCCCCTTCTCTAGCCACTCCCAACTCTAGCAGCTCTCCAGAAAACAACCTGTATTTAAAAGAAAGTCTCTCCTTTATTCTTTATATAGGGCTGGTTCAGTCCTGGCCAGGTGTTTGTACTAGACGAGTATTGCGCCCGAAATGGAGTCCGGGGGTGTCACCGACATCTCTGCTACCTCAGAGACTTGCTTGAACGGGCAGAAAATGGCGCCATGATCGACCCCACCCTTCTTCACTACAGCTTTGCCTTCTGTGCATCCCATGTCCATGGGAACAGGTAAGTGTGTGTTCGTGTGTCTAGAGGTGATCCTTAAGAAATGGCACTGGCAATGGTTTATGGCTAGTCTTGCTTTTAGGATCTGCCTGTCTTCATTCCTTCGGTGGTATGTGCACACGTACACACACACACACACACACACACACACACACAAAGGGCACTAACTTTCTTCTCCTTTCAAGAAACTTAAAATAAATGGCAAGCAGGGCTTCTAGGGCAAGCTCGGAAGTTAGGCCAATCTAGGTTCAAATCATAGTTCTTCCATTTACTAGCAATAACCCTGGTTGGTAATTAAGCCCTTTGTGCCACGGTTTTCTCGTCTGTAAAATGGGATGATTGTATACCCCTGGGGTTGTTGAGAGAATGCAAGTACCTATAAAGGGCTCAACATAGTGCCTGAAACATGGCAAAAACAATAAATATTTGCCTTTGTTTTTGTTATTTATTTCATAATTGCTTAATAATTACTTCCTTAGTGTCAGTCACTCTGATACACATTTAGTATGTGTGGTGAGTAAAAGCCAGACATCAAACAAGGGCAGAGTTACATTCAGATTGATGCTCTGACTCTGAGGAAAGGGAATAAAATTCCATGACAAAATTTAATAAAGAAACATGACTCAGATGGAATGGCAAGATGGCAAGGAGGACCTCCCTGAGGAAGTGATGCTGGAGCTGAGAACTAAAGCATGTGTAGGAGTTGAGTGGTTCCAGGCAAAAGGAACAGCATGTACAAATGTCCTGCAGAAGGAGGAAGCCAAGTACATTTCCAGAGCTGAAGCAAGCTAGGTGAAGCTGGAAGGCAAAGATGATGATAACACTTTTAATTTAACCATAGAGCCTGGAAGAACTTTTGAGATCACAGTCTAATCAACCCCCTCATTTTGTAGGTTTTATATACAAGCCCAGAACGTCAAGTCTCCTGACTCTGTACTAAGTACTCTCTTTCTTTAGACCTTGCCCAGCTCCTGGAGGAAAAGATCCATGTTCTGAATAATGCAAAGCAGCAAATAATTTAAGAACATTGCCATTTGGCTCTGGAGACATGGAATAAATTTCCACACTGCCACAGCCAGTTTACTATCTCAATGTATGTAGCCTTGCATTAGTATAAAGACAAGCCTATATTATCCCAAAGCTCCCCAACCAACAGCCAGTGAAGCCACACCCAGGAAACACTAGGTGGCTTCAGAAACCCAGCCTCAGATGCAAAAGTCGCTGCTCTGGAGAAATCCACATGTGGGAGAATCCAGAATTGACTACATTTATTTTAAATCAGAACTGTGTCAGTCGTCTTCATCTTTGCAAGCTATACAACTAAAATCTCTGTAGGATTTTTTCTGTGCTTTTCCTCCTTCTAGCACTGATGTATTTTTACGAAATGCAACTTCAACATTTAGAGCTAGATAACAATAGCATCATAGGTTTGAATATTTAACAGGCAACAAGGTTATCATCACCTCCCATTGTTATGAGGTTTGCTAGCCCAGCACGTGACCTTTTATTTGCATAAAAGATACTCATGAAAACTCTGATACCTGGGGGGTATCTGTGCATAATTCTGCTTTTTATAAATATGTACACTTTGATGACTATCTGTTACAGCCTCTTGGACTGAATTTTTTAAAGAGAGAGAGAGAGAGAGAGAAGTTGCATTATATTCTCTGGGTTGTCACACTGTATTCTACATATGTTACTGAATAAGAAAGTGTTATAAAATAATGAAGTGTTTTTGTAAACTCCCTGGTAAACATCATCATGAATTATGATACACATTGTCTGGATTTCATATTGTAAGACTGCCACTTGATTCACAGTTAGGTTTATACATCTTGTCATGGAAACAGTTTTGGATTTCTTATTTTCTTTTCAGTTCTGATTTTCCTTATGCAAGTTTGCATCTTTTTTTCTTATTATTTTAGTTTGAATGCATTTGCGCCTGCTTTTTCATGCACCCTTCTTTTTCTTTCTTTTGTTTGTGCATGTGCGTGTGCTCTTGATTCTCCTATGGCTGGCCACACTCTGTGCATGCCTCATGCGACCACCCCCTCTCCAAAGTCAACAAATGCATGTGTACCTTAGTGGGCTGCCACCAAATACAGACCCTGAAGGGAGCAAAACTCCCTCCCCACCTGAACCAGAAGCTAAAAAAGATACCAAAAAGGAATCCAAAAAAAGAAAAGATTCCAAAACCCAGGCAAATCAAGAGCTGAAAAGGTAAGAAGTTATGTGTGTATTGGCTTGTGTTTGTAATATCTTTACCCTTTCCCCAAGCCTCCATCCATGCCATCACTTCCACTTTTGCAAGCTTTGAGTATTCCTAAAGTCTCTCTTTAAGCATTTTCAAAGGTGCAATTTTAAAAAAAAATTCTAGCAATGGGCAAAAATACCGTGTATTGGGACTAAATTTGAGTCAGGTGTTCAGTGACTTTTAAAACGTGTTCATATTGAAAAGACTAATTGAGCAATATGTAAACAGAATTGTGAGTCAGATTGCTTTTTTAGTGGCATCTAGTTAGGGGCCTGGTACCTTACCAAGTCATTCATAATAAGCAACCCATGCTTTATAATTTTGAAATTATGTTTAAGGAGCAAATAAAATAGATTGGCATAAGATAGGCCTATGCATTTATAGTAGTGCCATCATTTTCAGCAAATACCTATTAGTTCTACATTCATCTCATAAAAAGAAATTCATCTCAAATAATGATTTATAATAATGTCATAAGATAAATTCTATTACCAAATTAATGCTTCTTAGTAGAATCACTTATATACTGAGGTCACCTTTAAGGCACTTTTAACTTCTAAAATTTTGTTTATCCTGTCCTGTTTCCTATGTCCTTTCTTTGCGGGTTTATAAATTGGCGAATTGGTGAACTTTTTCCCTTTTAAATTAGGTTTACTAATTATTTCCAGTTTTATTCTGTGCCCTTCTTCACCTTTTATACCGTCACCCAAAATTAACACTGACATTTTAAAGTTTTTTGTTTGGTTTTAGAACTGATGACTCTGATCCTGGCATTGCCAAGCTACCCAAAATTCTCAAGCGTGTATGCTGTATGCTTCATCATTATAAATTTATTCACTGAATATTTCTAAGTCCTGAAATGTATACCGTTCACTTGTAGACAGGCCAAATGAAAATGCAAACTTTTGCTTTCTAGAGAATGTGGCAGGCTGTCAATCAGTATATGCGGGTCCAATAGGGAAGGTCAAAGAAAACCCTGATTCCATGTGGCCATCCATCTCCTTCACCGCAATATGTAAGGATAGAGGTGAAATGCAATTTCTGTTTGTGTTTCACTGTAAAAGTTAGATTGCAAGGCAACAGTAACTTGCAATTAGGAAGAAAGTGCATGCAGAATGTTGTAGGTGCCTGAAGGTGAGGTCTGACGGAATGACAAGGCTTCGGAGAGGAAGCCTTCCTGGCTGCTGTCCAAGGTGCTGCTTTTGGAAGGATCAACATCCAAGTGGAGCAGAGAACAAATGGCCAGTGTTGAAAGGCACACTTGCTTGAACCTGATCTATTTCTTAGGCCACGAAAAACTAACTAAAGGGATCTTGACTGGTCCTATTGAGGCTTATGTGTGTGTTTCAGAATCTTTGTTTGCATTGCATTTTTTTAATAAAGAAGAAATCATAATATTAAGTAGCAATTGTGTAACATTCTACAGTTTACAAAGTGCTTTTTTGTTTTTGTTTTTTTGAGATGAAGTCTCGCTCTTGTGCCCCATGCTGGAGTGCAATGGCATGATCTCAGCTCACTGCAACCTCCGCCTCATGAGCTCAAGCGATTCTCCTGCCTCAGCCTCATGAGTAGCTGGGATTACAGGTGACTGCCACCACGCCCCGCTAATTTTTTTGTATTTTTAGTAGAGAGAGGGTTTCACCATGTTGGCCAGGCTGGTCTCGAACTCCTGACCTCAGGTAATCTGCCCGACTCAGCCTCCTAAAGTGCTGGGATTACAGGCATGAGCCACCGCGCCCAGCCACAAAGTGCTTCCAAACATTTGCTATAAAATATTCAGATTAGCTATTTTTATGTTCATTTTGCAGATGATAAAGTCAAACATCTGTAAATTTAAGTAGCAAACCTAGATGTTCTAAGTCCAAAGCTCTTTCCTTTTGCACTACATCAGGACTGTACTTATATGCTGAAGACCTGAATGTTAGAACCTATTCTGCATAAATCTAGGAGTATCAGATCCCGTTTCTGTGCCTCAGTTTTCTCATTTCTGTAAAATGAGCAGACTGAATCATAGTATCTGTAATATCCCTTTAACATCTAAAATTATCTTCTATGGATTACAATAACAAGTGAAATAGTCCATCGTCAGGTTTCATAAATAAAAATGTTTTCGAAGGTGCAATTTAAATAATCATAAATAAAGTTTAATTAAAATAAGGATAATCACTACCATTTAATAATTACTTGCTATATTCCAGGCACTAAGTGAAGTGCTGTTGATATATGTTATCTCATTTTATCCTTATTACATTCATGTGAGATAAATATCGTTATTACCCTCACCCAATAGATGAGTGCTTGAGGCTCGCATAAATTCAGTCACTTGCCTGAAACTCATAACAAATAACTGTCTGAGCCTGATTCAAACATGGATATTCTGACTTTGGTGCTTGCATTTGTAACCACTCTACCTTCCTACCTGTCCAAGATTAGCACTTGTATATGGTGTGAGATGGCAAACCTGGCCGTTTGATATTTGTTTCAACATTTCCAGGTGAGATGCTACAGCAGTCATCTGAATTAAAGAGAAGCCTGAAGATGGCCAAAACTAATATGGCCTACCTGGAGATTTTAGCTTTGTGGGGAAAACCAGAATTTATCTGGAGTTTTATACCACCTAAGGGGAGAGTCTCCTATGAACACTAATTAATTGCCTTTGGGATTGGGGAAACCACATTCCAAACCTTTCACCAGCATGACCAGCATTTGGATGTGGAGATGTTATCTATTCTTTGTTCCAGATTTAAAAGCAATTCATGACTCATGAAAGCAATGGCCCTTTAACTGCCTTTAACTGAATAGAGCCCATTTCCACTGAGATCTCACAACCAGATTCGGATTAGGTAAAAAGATGTTTTTTACCTATTATTAACTCAGCATTTCCACCGGCAGAGGCAGAACCTTGCCCTGCTGCAGCTGGAAATCATTAATGACCACTGACGTGGCAGTGACCAAGTTTCTCCCAACTGCTCTGGAAACTTGTGCACCATCTCCGTGAAAAACTATGCTCTGTGAATCACAGTTACTGTAGTCAAGTGTAGACACATCTGGTCAATCAGGAAGGTGTTTGCTGTTCATAATTTCAAACACTGGGATGTATGGAACCATCCACATGTTTGGCATTTTTAGAATTACTGGGGGTAATCCCCACTCCCCCACCCCCCACCCCCAGCACACACAGAACATTTGGTAATATCTGGAGATATTTTTGATTGCCACAGCTGGGGTGGAGTGGTGCCATTTTTGTCTAGTAAGTAGAGGCTAGGGATATTATTAAACATCCTATAATACACAGGAGAGCCTCCTGAAAGCAAAGCCAAAAATGTTAATAGTGCCAAGGTCAAGAAACCCTGTTTTAAACCAAACTCCCTGGTGATGAGCTGCATTTTTCCTTTACATGGATTTGTTGTTTCTTTTACACAAGACTTACCCTATGTCTAAAAGCCTAACAGGTACCACCACTGATTTTCAGTTTGTACAGTGGTTCTCACACTTCATTGTGCACATAAATCATGTGGGGATTTTATAAAATGCAGAGTACTAGGTGGCATCCTCAAATAATTTCATTTGGCAAGTCTTAAATGGAGCTGGGAATCTGCACTTTTACTAAGCACCCCTCTCAACCATGAATCTAAAGCATTTGGTCTTTAGATCATACATATTTAGGATTTTGGTTGTCAAACTAGGCTGCCCACTAGAATCACTTGGAGAGGGTAAAAATGCTAATGCCTGGGCTCCACCTGCAGAGATTCTAATTAATCTGGAATGTGGCCCAAACTTCATGAGTTAAAAATCTCAAGTGATTTAAATATATAGCAAAGTTCAAGACCCACTGATTGAGGGAACATTAGTTTGAACTAACTTTTTAAAACTGAACCCATTTTCTGAAAAGAGAGACAGGAGAAAAAGGAAAATGTGAGTATGCTCAGCTGGTTGCATTTGGCGATCATAAAATCCACAGATGTAAATTGCTACATCTTCTAATTTTTAAATCAGCTTCTAAGGTTGCAGTACTTAATTCTCACCATAATATTTTTAGTATTCTTTCTAGATGACATTTAGATTAGCATCACTTTGGTCACTATCCCACAGTGACAAGGCAATCAAACAGCTCTGATGATTGCAAGTTGCGTCAATGTTCCTTGGATCCCTTTATTATTGGGATTGGAAATTTTTCTCATTTACATTATTATTTAACATTTCTTGAATGCCAGTGCTGCTCTTCACATATGGCCTGTGTAGAAAGTACATTGTATCAGCAATTAACAAATCTATAATGCCAACCGCCGCAATCCAAAGTAAGCTGCATAGATTAATGAGTAAAGCAGATGTAAGAGGGTATGAATCTTAAAAATCTCTGGCAGTGTGCTCTAAAGATTTCTTTTGGGCGATGTATTTGGAGCCAAGGTGCTGCCCATGTTCAGAGACCATGTGATCCCTTGTAGATTAAGATTTGAGTAACCAAACAATCAAATGGAACTCACTTTTCTCCTGTTACTCTGCCAGGATTCCTAAGTAAGTGGTTTCATCCTCCCGGTTGCCCAAGATAGAACCTCAAGAGCCATCCTTGACTTCTCTTTCTCCCCAGTGTGTCACAACAATTCAATTTCTATATCCTGACAATGCCCTTAAGTATCTCTCAAGTCCACCATTTCTCCCTCTCTTCAATGCCACTACCATAGTTTAGGTCTCTATCTTCTCTCCTCTGGACCACAATGATTGCCCTATTGACTGTGCCCTTGCCTCCAATGTTGGGTGGCCGTTTCAATCCATGTCACATAATGGTTCCTTTTATTTCTTTTTGGTGAATGCCTTCCTAGTAGTAAATGAGTAACACATTTTTTTCTTTCACTCTAACTCCGTCCTCTCTCTTTCTCATACCCGTGCATACACAGACACACAGACACACACACATACACACACACACACACACACACACATAATGACATTACATCCGGTGCTTCTCAACCCTTTTTCCCACAAAGATAAAGGGCAAAAACTGTGTAGTGGGGATAGCTCTGTTTTACTAACCTCTGCATGTAGCACTTTATATAGCAGGCAGGCACTGATGCGGTATAAAAAACACCTCCACATTCTTGGTCTCATGTTACACACTGAACACAAAGATTATTGCACTTGTGAACATGAGCATGTTGCTGGCTGGCCTTCCAATTCTGAGCAAGTACAGGCCTTGCACATGGCTGAGTCATGCTCTCTAAATTCTAAGGAGCCAGCTTTACTTAATAGGAAGTACTTGGAAGAGAAAGTGGGAAAAATTTTCAAACAAATTTTACGTATAAGTAGGCATCCCAGATGTCCAAGGAGAAATTCACTTTGGAACTTGTTTCCTTTTAACCCACGTGACTCTCTTTCTGACTTTCCCCATGAGAACAGCAGATTCTCCCATCGAGACATGAAATCTTGTGAAATATGCTAAATTACCTATTCCATTGGTGCAATCTTTCTGGCCCATAGCAAACCATCAGATAATGTGTTTTTCCTCTTAAAATTCCAACAATGTGTCTTTATCCCATAGTCATTGAATTAACTGGTACAAAAACATATTTTCAGATGTTACACTCCTTTTAGAGTGGATGTGATATCAAAAAGCCACACATACTACTGGTCTGACCACTCAGAATTTTGTATATGGTGTCTTCAGAAAGGAATCTAAAGATTAGTTGTCTGTATTTGTCTAGAAATAAAGAAACACATCCCTTATTCCTCAAAGGGAAAAATCTATGCAGTGCCAATTTTTAAAATTGGTCCTCTTGGGGGTAAAATGCATGCTTTCCTGCATTTTATACAATTTCTCTAATCATCTGATGTGTTCTTGCTTCATTCAGTACCTGGACTGAGCCTGAGCCACTTTGACTAATGTCCTTGTGCCCATAGCATCCATATTCTTTGTGACTGTTCAGTAGAGAGAGACTTCTCCACGACTTTCATCCTTTAATAGAGTTAATGACACCTTCTGATACTGTTAGGTTATAACCACATATTTAGGAGAACTGTAAATAAGTCAAGACAGTCCTCACTGGTGTATTTTTGCCCCTTCCAAGCCTTGTTTGGAGATTAATTATTAGCCCCAGGAAGCTACAATGCACACTTGTAATATTGTAGAAACTGCTTATTGTTGCTTCCTATCTTATTCTTTGTGATACAAACACTTTGATATATTTGTTTTAGCAGCGTGTCTGAGCCCCAGGGCATCAGGGCATAATTAGAAAAGGGCATGGGCTGGAAGGAAAGGAGAGGAAGGGGTGAGGCTGGCTTTCATAATGAAGCAGTAACTATGAGATGTGAGGGCCCTAATTATAATTTATAATTAACATAGGATTGTACAAACCATATAGATGAGCAAGCAGGGATATCTCCTTTTGAGAAGATAATGCTTTGGTGCTATCTTGAATTTGTGGTTATTAATCACTTGAAAGAGACAAAGGAAAACTTTCCATGCAAGGATTAAATTCAAAGGTATCATTCTAAAACTAGAAGTAATAAAGAGTTAGTTTCTGGGAGAACTCTTTTTCTTTTTAAGTCAGTGGTTAAAAGAGGATGTTTGGTCTAAATGTCCTATTTAGGGAGCACTGCAAAGAACATCTACTAAGATATTCTGTCCCTCTCTGGCCCTTTAAGCTCTCATGTTTCTGGGCTGGAACAATTTCGTAGCAAGTAGGATTCAGTTATCATGCTTGTTTAAGGACATTTTCATGGATCCATCATGCGGTCTGCAGGCATGCATCCATTTGGAGAGAGAGAATATATCATGTTTACGGTGCCTGCACCAGCATATGTGGACATTTGCATTTGGAGATGAAAGTATATTCCCTCTTCAGCTGGAGTTTTACCCCTTGTTGGTAGTGACTGGAGCCTGAAAGCTGGTTATATGCGGAGCAGTGGACCAGACACTGTTTCCTCTTCTGTGGAATTCATACATTTCTTTTTACACCTGGATTCTGCCCTTAATCACCAAATAGATGCAATATCAGAACATATAGATCATTGTAAGCTTTGAATTAATTTAGCATTCTGACCCTCTTGAAGAGACATCTTACCTTTCAAAAGAAGGTTTTTGTGGCCCAGCTTTTAACATAATATGGAGAACCATTCTAGAAAGATAATGAACTGCTAAAAGTCTGTGTGCTCACCTGGGTGTGTAGTGACAATTTAACAACACTAAAGAGGTAAATTCATTTCACAAAACACATTGAATCTTGAATTCTTTGACTACACTGTTCACACTTAATTTCAAATATTAAAATGTTTCACATTAAAAACTCAGTACTTCATTATATTAATCCTATAATAGATATTAGTTAATAAACTCCAGGTCAGAAGCATTTGGGAAAAAGAGAACAATTTGCATAACTAGTCACTCAAAGGTTGGGCAGCTGGGTTATGGTAGTTTCAATTTGACAAAAAAAAAGAAAAATGCAACTCTAGATGTATTATTATTTGTGACATGGCTCAAGATGGGAGACTGTGAGGAGAGTGAAGATGACAGAACTGGTGCTAACCACTGTGACAAGAACTTGAAGAGCAGCCGACATGACATCTTTCCTATCATGCTGCCGAAAATGTCAACTTTGTGAAGGACAGTGAGAAAATGGTTTGCCGAAAACTTGAAAGGTGGATTCCGGAGATGCCCGCCGTGTCAGATGCGATATAGTCTGCTGTGGCTGGAGAGACTCATTTCTGGCTCCAGTGATGGCCCGCAGGTGGGAGAGCTTCCAGGCTTCAGCACGGCTCCAAAAATGACTGCGCTTGACCTGCATATTGTCTCAAGTTTGCAGGATCATGATATAAAAGAAGCGAGTTGTTAGCCAGTGTGCAGTTAGGTGGAACCAGAGACCAGGGGCTATGTTCGCATGTGTATGTGCTCATGTGTGTATGTGTTTCTAAAGCTAAGTTCAAAGACATCATCTATTAAAATTTGGAACGTTGTGAAGGAAGAGATATGTGCTTTATGAACTTATATCGAGTTCAATATAAGTAACAAAAACTAACTCTGGGTAATCTAAGCAAAGGAGAGTTTATTAGGATGATGCTGGGGGCCTCAAAGACGGGGAAAGGAATGCTGGAATCAAGTGAGCTATGGAAGAGTAGAAAGCAGGACTGACACAGTGGTTCTTACTGTATGTTAGAGTAACACGGGAAACCTTAAAAATGCCAGTGTCAGGCTGGGTCCAGTGGCTCATGCCTGTAATGCCAGCATTTTGCAAGGCTGAGGTGGGAGGATCCCTTGAGCCCAGGAGTTAGAGACCAGCCTGGGCAACATAATGAGACCTTGTGTCTGAAGAAAATTAAAACAAAATTAAAAGATATGGTGGCATGCTTCTGCAGTCCCAGCCTCTCAGGAGGCTGCAGTAGGAGGATCGCTTGAGCTTGAGATGTCAATGCTGCAGTGAACAGAGATTGCGCCACTGCACTCCACCTTAGGCTGAATGAGACCCTGTCTCAATAGTTAGATAGATAGATAGATAGATAGATAGATAGATAGATAGATAGATAGATAGATAGAGCTTTGAGGATGCGACCTTTCACAATTCTAAGAAACAGACAAGATCAAAAACTACTGACCTGTAAGGACAGTCTGGTCAAGGCACAGCTGCTGGAACAAGCAAATTCCGTCTGTTTATTCTAGCCTTGTATCATTTATTCAACGTAAGGATTCCAGAGGAGGGTGTCCTGGTAGCTGAACTGAGGTCATAGTCCAGCTTAGATATGGAGTGGCTGTGAAAGGGAGGGGCTGGCCTCTAGGAAGCCCTTCGGCTTTAATAGTAGGGGAATAGGCACCTCGATTTACCCTCACACGAGAGTGGCCAGAATGTGGCTGAGGCCACTCCTCCAAATCCAGGGGTTAGAAATTGGCAATGGATGCTAAAAAGCCTGAAAGCAAGAAGACCAGAATATTCACAGTCAGGACACGAGAGCGTGAGAGAGTCAGGCTTCTAGGCAGGTGTTCTGTGTAGACACATCTCAGCCTGGAATTTTCTAGCTAGCAGTTTAAAATCCAGCTTCACCCCTCCTCTTCTCTCACTCTTTGTGTCTCCTTTAGTGATTTAGCATTGAGAAAGGAACAAGATGCAGAGCTAGTTTTAAGACAGTTGTAGAATCACCCCCAAATATTTTCAGAAAGACAAAACAAAAGCATGGCGTCTGAAAGATACCAATATAGCTCTACTATTTATTTTGCAACCAGCACTACTTGGAATGGCACCTTGTAAACAATACAAATGCCACTTTTGGAAGGGATTCATAGTTAAATAATACCATGTATCTCTTGCAGAATATCTTGGGTTCCAAATCCACTCCAACCTAAGAGAAATCAGGAACCCTGAATCAAATATACCCTCTCTGCCACTGGAAGAACCACCCACCTAATATTTTTTTTCTCTAGAACAGTGGCACTTAGAGTGTGGTCCTCGAACCAGCAGCACTAGCAGCACCAGTAAACTTGTTAGAAATGCAAGTTCTCAACCCCTACCCCCCAGCTCTACTGAATCAGCAACTTTAGGGGACCAACCAATCCAGGTTGTCACCAGGTGATGCTGAGGCTCATTCAAGTTTGAGAACCACTGCTCTAGAAAAAGTATGCTGTTGCTTCTGTGGAAAAAACAGTACTCTCCAAAGCATGTAACCTGAATTTTTCAGTTAATAGTTCTATAGAGATCTATCTAAACCTGTATAGCTAACATTGCCAAATTATAGGGGTCGATGAACAAGAAATTGATGTTTGACAGAATTTTCGAAAACAATGAAGTGAAATCAAACAAAAAAGGGATCCTTTTGCTTTTTAACTGACCTGGTTACAACCTATGATCTTTGACAAGTTGTTATTCCTGCATGTCTTTTCCTCACTTTGTAAAGCAGCATCTCCTGTTACCAATACCATTTCAGAGCAATTCTGGCAGTTACAAATTTACATTTTATGTCAAAATCATTCGACATCAAATTGTTTTATCACCTGTTTTTATTGGTGAACTCTGTACTTGTACCTTACAGACTTAGTAAAGTTAGTTTGTTTTATTTAAAATAAAAGTTGTCGCGCTGACATAGGTGATCAAGAAGCAAATTTAAGAGACAACACTACTTTTCAGTTGTTTACTTTTATTGGAATAGTGAGATTAATAGTGTTCAGAAAGTAGTACGAGGAGAGGTTATCAGCGAAGCAGAAGCTGCTATCTGATACTTTTAATAATTACAAATGGGAATCATCAGAACAAAAGGAAAAAACATAATCCATTGTTAGGTTTGTAATAATATCTTTTATAGTGAGAATTAACTGAGAAGGCCAAGCATACACTAAATGTTCAGTTTTTATCATCTCAGACACAAAGCAGAAAGCTGCCTTCTAATTGCCTAATTGCCTTAGAAGGCTTGTAGGGTAATGAATGAATGGTTTTATTCACAGAGATATTTATCTCCTAATAATGACCACAAATATCCTGGCTCTTCATGTTAAATAGTCTCCATACTTTTTGCTGTGATCAGTAAACCTTTTCTGAACTGTAAAATTATATTTAACAGCATTTTTCTCTGGGTTAATTCTCCACTAAAAAACAAATGCTTTAAATTGCTCCATTTTTCCCCCAGTTGAGTGTGTGCATGCACATGCTGATTACATAAACAAATGTGTGTTCAGTTCATTAACAAGCTGAAGGTTGTTTAAAGAAATTTAAAAACCACAGCTTAAGGAAGTTGTAGGTTGTAGCATATACACGAAAAGTTACAAACAAAAGCATCACATGTTTTGTGGAGGCCAGTAAATTCATCCTGTTATCTAACTGTAGATTCACGGACGTTTCATGTAAAAAAAAAAAATTTGTTTTTGTTAAGCATGGTAGCTTGCACCCATAATCCCAGCTACTCAAGAGGCTGAGGCAGAAGAATCACTTGAGGCCAGGAGTTCAAGGCCACAGTGAGCTATGATCACACTGCTGCACCCCAGCCTGGACAACAGAACAAGACCCTGTCTCTTAAAAAATTTTTTAATAAACTTTGTAAATTAACATTTGAGATTTACCAGAGAATTTGAAGGCAACCTACCTGTTGTTTATCATTTTGCCTTTCTTTGGAAGAGTATGAAGAAATGGACTGAACAGGATTTTACTGTTTGGGGGTATTTTTTATAAAGTGGGGAAGAGGAAATTTTCGCATATTTCAAATAGGGCATTTTTATTATCAAAAAAGAAGGAAAGCTGACTGATTAACCCGTAACAGGAGGTACATTGCTGTCATTTGCCAAGTCTTTTGTGCAGTCAGACTGGTCTAGTATAAAGGATTTTCCCAACTTATGCTGGATCCTTGAGAAGGCCTATAAATAAGACCATTTGTTTGGTCTCAAGATGACTTGCATTTGCAAACTGAAGAATGTTCCAATAGAAGTTTTATGGTGACACACCAATCTGCAAACTGGCTCAGCCAGTAGTCAAAACAAGTCACTATGAGATCTGGGAAGCTGAAGGCTTTGAATGGGTCAGATTATCCTGCATTTAGTTTGGAACAGATAAATTTGGGCTATAAATATGTATCCTCCCTTTATATTTTCAACTTGAATGGTCCATAACAAATAGAGTATATATGTATGCACCTAAAGATGACACAGAACCATGAGAATATGATGATCAAACTGAAATCATTTATTTAAGCTGGGGTCCTTTTTATTACAATGAGTAACAGTTTGCTAAAATTGGAAAACATGTGGTTTGTTCTTCAACGAATACATGAGCACTTAAATAAATCTGAACATCGGTAGTTATAGGCAAGAAATTGAGCCATTTAAGACGTCTGACACCGGGAAAGACAAACACTTACAAGTCACCTGATTTTCATAGGAATTTTTGTGCATAATTCAGGGACCCCAAACCCAAGTGCCTACAAGAGAGATAGGTAATACAATTTAGCAATGTGGACCAGGTGAGTGCCTGTCCCAGGTAAGGAAGAAGCTGTTAGCCACCAATTAATAATGCTAACTGTTCCAAATTTTCAAGAAAACAGAAATCAGAATCGTATTCTCAAACTTCCCTAATTTAAAAAAATGTTGGCAACTGGTTCAAATTTCTTAAGACGCTGTGAGCCAAACAGAACAAGTTCAGGGGCTGGACTTAACCTTCAAGCCACCAGTTTGTACATTTTACCATTTCACAAGAAAAGAGCTACAGCTCTGCACATGTTTCCAAAATGATAACCCAAACACAACCCAACGCCTTTGGAAGCTAGCCCTGAATAGCTGGGCTTCTCCTGAGCTCACATCGATCACTGTAGTTGTTTCTTCTAAAATGGACAGTTTCCTCCTGCTAGAGATTTGATTTGATGGTGTCAGCATATGAGGTTCCCGTCATTTCATGACATGTCTTCTTTCAGGCCTGATGGAATTGGAACTGTGACTGTTGAAGAAAAGGAACGTTTTGAAGAAATCAAAGAGAGGCTCCGAGTTCTGCTAGAAAATCAGATTACACATTTTAGGTAAGGATCTGGGGCTGGAGAGCTTTAATTAGGAGATGAGAGTGGGAAGGGAAAACTAAAGGACTTAATTTTCCAAAACTGTAAATCTACCAGAGGATACATTGGATATTTAGAAATAACTGAGTAGAACAAGCAAATCAATCAGATATGGTTCCGCAATAACCAGGAAACTTTGCATTCTTAAGTTCATGTTATTTCCACTTAAAGAACAAATTCTTCCATGTTTGAGCTGACCCTGGTCAACAATCTATTACAAAAAGTTGAATTTGAAGCTTCTTCAAGGTTCCTAAGTAAAAATGAATAAATAAAAAATCTTGTGAATCAGAACATGGTGAACAAGGAAGGAAGGCAGTGATACTCCTAGGAGAGTCTCCACTTTTTCCACTACCGCAGAAACAGCACTGGCTGGCAACACAGGGAAAGAATGAACCTTGCATCAGCCTGGGTGGATTGAATCTCCCCTGCATACTCAAGAGAGCCAGCAGATTCTGTGCTTGAGCCTTACATCACATAGCCCACTTCTCCCTTGGAGCACATTAGGTGTTTTTAGTGCTGTCCTGGTGGTTCTGGACCAGAGATCCTGAAATAGTAACTGAAAAATAATAATAGCATTTGTAATTGTTCCTATTTATTAAATACTTCCTATATACCAGATATAGAACTGGAGGCTGGAGAAGTATTAACTCGTGGCATAACAACTTTGTAAGGTAGTTATCATAATCCCCATTTAAACCAGGAACAAAGTGAGGCTGAGAGAGGTTAAGGAACTTGCCCAAGGCAATCCAGCTGGCAAGTGGAAGAAGTGGGATGCTTACATAAGATAGTCCAGGTTTAAGCAGCCATGCTAGTCTCTCTGTCCCATGCACAGTGTTCTGACGGGCCAGTGACAACCTGAAACCAGTCACTGGAACTTGTAGTGGTACCTGACATAGTTTTTTTCTGTGCCATCAAAATCCTCCTGGATAAATCTTTATTGATCATACACACTATATGTAAAATGCATTACCGGTAGCAGACGGTCCATAACAATAGGAAACCGCAAGCAGGGAAGGATAGCTAGCAGAATCATGAATTTGCTCTAAATCCACTTTTCTATTCCATATATTGATCTTTTGGGGACTTAAGTAAGTGTATTTGAATTTCAGCCTGTTCCAACTAATACTTTTTTAACGCCAGTCTCGATAATAACATATAAGGTCACATTTGAGCTAACAAATAGTTCTCCTTCACAATAGAAATCTAAACAGAGCCTTATGTCACCACTCTGAATATTCTTTTCTGCTGCAGACATTTGCAGAGTCCCTCTTTAGTCATTATTCACACATACACATATATACATTATATACACACATATATGGTGTGAATTCAGATTAACATAACACAACGTGACAAAATAAAAAGCATTTTCCATTCCTCAGAGAGAGTTGCTATAGGAATCAAATTGCAGCATATTTCATGCTAAAATGTAATAATTTAGGCAACCTGAAGAATTTTGTCTTTTTTAGGTATTGCTTTCCATTTGGTCGACCTGAAGGTGCTTTGAAAGCTACTCTCTCACTCTTGGAAAGGGTAAGAATGAAAGTAAAAGATAGATCACATATATATAAAAAGACATAAGCATAATTGTAATGAAATGTTTTGGTTGAATGACCTAGTTGTAATTTTTATAGGATTTGTTTACCATTCATCAAATATCAGAATAGAAGCGAGGAAACTGCCAAAACTCTTGATATTTTATCTTCAAACTCCCAAATAGGATATACAGAAGATATGTTCCTAGCCCTTCCCTGACTCATGGACGGCCTTTGCCAATGCTTTGCAATTCTGGTGCTTTCTCTTTAAGCATGGCTCTCAATCTTATTAAGTCACAAAGAACTGATTTTAAACTTTCACGCTTCTAAGAAGTATGGATGAGTGACACATTTGCTTGAACCTTCTTAATAATCCCTCTTTTTCCTACTTGAAGGTTTTGATGAAAGATATTGTTACCCCAGTGCCACAAGAGGAGGTAAAAACAGTTATCCGTAAATGTCTGGAACAGGCTGCGTTAGTCAACTATTCTCGGCTCTCAGAGTATGCCAAAATCGAAGGTAAGGCTCCCTTCTGCCCCCAGTTTTGAATTTAAATTTTGATATGCCTCCCTGGGGAAGTCTTTCTCTTTTCTCAAGGGCACCTGAAAACAGTGGTCCGTCTGAGTATATTAAGCTGAAACCTGGAAGCACCTGAAATGTCGAAGTTTCCTTGGCTGTGGCCAAGTAAATGAATTAAAAGACATTACAGGGGCTTTGTAATTACAGTTCCCTTTGTAAGGGAACAATATTGAAAACAGGATGTTATCAGATAACTAAATTCCTTCTGAGAGTCTGTGTTGGCCCTAAGTATCGGCTCTGTGGCTGATGTTTTCCTATGAAGGAGTTCTGTAGAATTGCCCCCTTCTTTAAACAGAGGAAAATAAAGCAGTCTGTTGTCCGCTGCTGATAGCATTGGAAGCAATACAAGAACTGAAAAGAGCAAGATCAAGGTTTTGCTCTTTCTTGCCCCCAAAAGTACCTTGTCTTTTGGTAGTGCTTCAAGCTCGATGGCAGGTTAGTGCTGAGCCATCTGTGATGGCTCCAAGTTGGCTTTAGATCTCATTCATTCTTGTTACTCCAGACCTTAAATGCTTGTTACCACTGCCCTCTCAAGTTTTAGGGAAGTGGTCACTGATGACCCAGTAATCACCAAAGGTGCTTTGAGTAAACTCTACTTGAGAAGATATGGTTCTTTGGGACCTATTCATCCACGAAGGTATTAATCACTTTTCATTGTTACCCTGTTGGCTGCTATAGGGTGATTTGAAAGCCACACCCAACTTGACCAGTGGTGTAAGTGTATAAATGTGGAAGTTCTGTGTGCAAAACTCGATGTGTCCGCATTCTGGAATCTGATGTTCTCTCACACGTGAAACATGACACCTGACTAAAACTAGCAAATGCGCATTGTCTGCCTCAAGACAACTGGGGGGAAAAGAAACTAACCAATCACTCAGACCCCATCACTTACTCTGCCAAAATCCTTGTTTCCTTAGAGAATTAGGTTAAGATTATGTCAAATTCACAGTGTTCTGTACATTACGTGTCCTCCCTCTCTCAATTTTGTCTGTCTGACAATGCAAATTGTGTACCAGTGGTAATGAATTCACTGTTATGCATCCAGGGAGAAACACTTAAGAATTGGGCACCAAAAGGATGTTTATCAACTCTTGACTTGGTAATGAGTGACAAAAATAGAGGAACAAGAGGTCGTTAAAGGGCTATATTAGCAAATAATTGTTCCAGCATTTACTGTCCCAGGACGTAATGATTGGTTGTATTTGGTAAAGTCAGCCAGGTACCTAACAATTCTAGGCAAGTCCAGAGATGGGATGGGATCAAGAAACGTTCTGTTGCCATGGCTGCTGCCTCATAGGTCTTGGTCTAGCTATTACTACTAGTCTTTTGGTAAGATCTGCTCTCTTCTTTCAGATAAATCTATCCAAAAACAAACTTTAAGATCTGTAAGTAAAAATGCATTCATTTCCAAAGTAGATCAGCTGGTCTGTAATTTCCTTTTGTGCCTCAATTCTTCTTGGTTGTGTTAATTATCTTTTGCACTGTGACTTTTAGGTCTGGGGATTCTTTGAAGAAACCAATTCTTTTTTTTCAACTCTCTTTTCAGAGAAGTACCTCATTCCACACTACCTGCTCTCTTCCGCTTCTCTCCTTCCTTGTCCGTGATTGGCTCAGCCACTTTAATGTGACCTCTGCAAAAGTGGCTGAGACACCAATTTCAAAGCATGCTGGGATTGTTAATTCAGACAACCCAACATCCTCTGGCTGCATGTATCAGGTTTTCTTTCATGAACATAGTCCACCATAGGCTGAGACATTGCAGCCTGAAAGATATTACTACCAGACAACTTTCTTTTACAAGGCTCTGATCCTACCCTCAGAGAAGAAATCTTTCATTTTTTACATTTGAGCCCCTCTGTGAGAATTAACAGCTTTGTTATCTGAGAATTCTGGAAAGAAGTTGTAGTAATATTGCTGGAGACTATGTTTATGAAGAAATACCTCAAGAGCCTTAGATACTAAAGTCTTAAATCCTTAGTATCTTGGAGCCTTAAATCAATGAAATTTTGTTTCCCTTTACTCATGATGTTTTGGTCATTGTATTCTTGCAAACAGCTCTAAAGAGACGTGTAAAATCATGGTCACAATCTCTCTCGTGACTCACGGCATGCTGAATGGTTAATCCAGTAGATCTCCAATTTTGAAGCTCCTTTTTCTTTTATCCTGTGTTTATCCCAAAATACTCTGTGGCTATTTTCCTTTGAGCTAATGTAACGTTTTCCTCTAACCTATGACCTTTAACCTCTTTACCTCTGACCTAAGCCTCTTGCATGCCCAAATCCTCTTTTATAGGGAAAAAGAGAGAAATGTATGAGCATCCTGTCTTCTGCTTGGCCTCCCAAGTGATGGATTTAACCATTCGTGAGTACCTACCACCTCCTCACCATGCTGTCTTCACTCTTTCTGTTTTCATTATTTCAAGAAAATCCAGATCCAAACCAACTCACTCTCCTTGCTTCAAGTTTTTTAGCATTGGCTTGTCTGTTGGTTCTGTCTGTGAAACCCAGTGTGAGAAGTCCAGTCACTTTTTATCAGCCTAAAACAGGTTAGACAATTAAGCCATTTGTTTGTGATAAACTCAGATTTGTCTGTAAGTTTTTCAGTTATTCTCTGTCTGTGACCTGAATGCATTTTTACTTTGCTTGTGTGTAACCCTAATTTGTAAAGTGCTTGTCACTGGTACACAATCAAAAGGTAGCAGCTAGGCTGGGGAGCAATGCGTTAGGTGTCAGATAAAGGATATTTGGGGCAAAATCATGCCTTCTTTTCCATGTTTAAGATGCCAAACTATTATGGGTATGAGACCACACCAGGTGGTCCATTCTCTGTAAAAATTAGATCTTATATGCCTCCTGTCTGTTCTCTATCAAGCTGGGAAGCTTTTCCTTGTTCCCTCTAGAGATTTTGACTTGTCCTTGTCCTCTAAACTTTGCCTAGAACATATGACTTAATTGTCACTTGGAGAGTTCATGTATGTTTCATAGCTTGATTTCACATTAAACTTAATTTTACTAATTTTCTATTTGTGCAGCATTTTCCACCTCTGTGAAGGAGCCTTTTTTGCTGGCCCCCAAACTTTGGGGCGGTGGGAACCCAAGGGCAACCTTTTCTTTCCAATATCATGTATCACACATAAGTGGGGGGCATTTTGGTCCACTTGCTCATTAATTCTGCATATGTGTTCTTGTTTCTCTCTCTTCTCTCCTTGTTGTGCTCTCTCTTTCAAATAGAGAATCAAAAGGATGCAGGTGAACCAATTGTATATGCATTATAAATTATCAGGACTGTTGAGTTACATTCAGTTTTTGTTTTTGTTTTTCAATGGCTCCTTAAGGTTTGTACTCCCAGAGAGCCATGTGGAGTTGCAATAATACTTAAGGAGTTAATTTGTGCTGTCTAAATACATCTCATGCCCATTTGATGTTGACCTTTATAGAGCAGAATTTCTGAAAAGGCATAAGCTTTAAAGGAATAGAATTCTGGTTTGCTGCAGAGCTTCATTTCATCCTTGGTTATAGGATTCCAGTGATTTGGCCTCATGTGCATTTTTTAAAAAGTTGTTTAACCAAATGAATCTTCCTCTTTGTTTTTCATTTCTTTTTTCTGTTTTCTGCCCTATTGAGAAGTTTGTGTTCTTTGATGAATGTTTATCAGCCAAGACAGAGAGAAGTTGTATCCATGTTGTTCTTGTATGTATCGCATGATAAAGCAGGAAGCATGGACAGGATGACCGAACAGGGGCTGTTGCTGGAAGTTGTATTAGAGGAAAGCTCTTGGAAAGTTCTGGCTTCGGAAATTTTCTTCTTGTTTGGTCCCAAAACTTCTGATCTTATTTTGAGGAGAAGTCTGACTTAAAACTTTAATAAATTAGAATAGGGATCATCATTTTTGTAGTCTAAAGGGTTGTCAAAAATAACTATCAGTTAATCCAAATTAACAGTTGAGCACATTTCAAAACATTTCAGAAAGCATTCCTGAGCACATTCCAAGCATAGGGCTGCAATAAGTATTTGAAGACTCATAAACCTGTGTTCAAGACACATGAACCTTTCTCTCTGGTAGGGAAGATATTTATTCAGTCATTTATTCACTCATTCATTCATTTATTAGACAAATGGTTAGTGGGAGCCTACCCTGTAGCAGGTACAGTGTTAAAAGCCAGAGACTATGTAAACAAGAGGGAAACGGCTATTAGCCTCATGGAGTATACATGCAAATGGGTCTATATATGTAAATCACTATATTGCAAGGCCTATTGGTAGAGTTATGTGTAAAAGGGATGGGGCATTGTCAGAAAACCATGGAAGTCTTCACGAGATGGTAAGGATTGAACTGCATCTTGAGAGATGAATTAGAATAAGCAAAGGGGAGCTAGGATTGGGAATGGAAAGTCATCCTACATCAAGAGAATAATATGTGCAAATATGTAAAGCCAGATAGCTAATAAAAAATAATGAATGCTTATTTAATGCATATCATGTTCCAGGTATGATTCTAAGCATATTATTAACTTATTTCTCCTCAAAATCCCTTATAAGAGGGAACTATTATTATTCCCATAGTAGAGATGAGCAAACGGAGGCACAGAACTTAAAAAAACACACATCCAGAAGTATAAGTGGTATAGCTGGAGTCAGCCCAGGCAGAAGCCACACTTTTAACTACTCTGTAATTAATTCAACGTAGCTGCAAAACAGAGTGAAATGATAGTAGTGGATGGGTGCTGATGATGGCAAGGTAGGCAGGGACAGGACTTCAAAGGTCTTTCTATGCCATAATAATGCTGAGTTCAGACTATATCTCATGGTTCAAAATTTCTTAACTTGAAAATCATGCCAACCTTGGCATGCATATGGATTTTTTCAGAAGAAAGATTCCACAGGTCTCAACTGCAAAGGTGATGAAGAGTCATTGAAGGCTGTTTATGCAAAGGGATGGGTTGGCGGTTTACACTGCAGAAAAATCACGCTAGCAGGAATTAAGAGAAAGGACTGAAGAGAGGGAATAGGGTAGAACTGGACTTAAAAGTTGAGGTTAAAGCAGAGATGGGTTTGAAGCTTGGTATAGTGAAGCTTTTTCTAAGTATATCAGGTCTCAATTGCAATCTTAATCATAATTACTTCTTTCCTGGCCTTTAAATGTTTTTTCTTTCTTACCCCTTCCCTCCCTTTTCAATTTTCTTAATGAGAATAGAGCACAAATTCATGGATAGGTCTACATAACCAACTGTATGGAGGTGGTAGGGCACCACCGGAGTTACAGGTGCAAATTGTAGGGAAGTGGGTAGAATACTGGGGACTGAAATATGGACAGCTGCTGAGTCCTTTAGTCAGACTATGCTTTAAGAATCTACAGGGCTATGCAGATGGCATTTTGGTGGACTTATGCTTTATGTTTGGTGGCATTATTAGAAATTAAATGTTCAATTTAATTACAGTACCTCCAAAAAAAGATGCAAAAGCCTGCTAGTCTATGAAAGAAAAGCTGTGACTCCTGCAAATGAATTCTATTATTTTAAATACATTTCCATGTAAACCGTCACACATTCTGAACCCAGCAAGCTCTGAGAAAGTCTACACTACTATTGCTGTTTTGCCTCAGTTCTTGGCTAAATACTTGCATAATTTTCTGAGCATCATAACGATTCCACTGGAATTTGAAATAAAACAACTTTTTCCTCCAAATATGGCAAGGATTTGCAAAATCAGACAGATGATGATTTGTAGACAGACAGCAGATAGATATAGACAGAAATAATTAGGTAGGCAGGCAGATAGATAGATAGATAGATAGATAGATAGATAGATGCAGAAATAGGTAGGTGGGAGGAAAGGAGAGGAGAGAGGAGAGGAAAGGAGAGGAGAGTAGGTAGATAGGTGGGTGGGTGGATGGATGAATGATGGGTAGGTGGGGAGAGAAAGAGAGAAGAGAGCAGCCACCTATGAACCTATGGGCCTTGGCCCTGTGCTAAGGGCTTCTGATTCAATCTTAACCTTAGACTCATAAAGAAGTCTTTATTTTTGCACCCTTTACAGATGAAGGAGCTGTGATTCAGTGAGGATAAGTAACTTTCTGAAGCAGGATTTGAACTCAGGTCTGTCTAAATTTAAATACCATGCATTTTTGTCTCTTTCTACCATGTAGACTTTTTGCCTGATGTGGTGAGCACTTAGACAATATCCATTCATTCAGTGGATAAGGTCAAGTATAATACCTACCACTTTTTACATAGGAAGACTACAAATTAACAGAGCAGTCCTTTCTGGAACTGGATCATTGACAAAATCTTTACATTGTAAATTCTTCCCGAGGGCAGTTGAGATTCCCCAAGGTTGTCCAAGAACTGAGGACTTTTCTTCTCTCCAATTGACAGAAACCTTCTAGATCAGGTCAAATCTATCCAAAGGACTTCCAGGAAGATTGTGTGATGTTGAGGTTTTGTATCTTTCTCTGTCTCCAGGCAAATTTCCTACAGATCTAAGGCTTGTTGAAAGAGAGAAAGAGAACCAAGCTGGCAAAACTCACCAACACATAGAGCCAAGCCACCACCCCACTGTCTTCCACAAGGGACCAATAATAGTGAATCTCATCCCCACAGGATGGCCATTCTGAGATGAGGACCATCTCATGCTTCATGTCTTATACATGAGGGACTAAGTGGTTCTCTTTTATTTCTTTCTTTCTTTCTTTCTTTTTTTTTTTTTTTTGAGACAGAGTCTTGCTTTAGAGTACAGTGATAGGATCCTGGCTCACCACAACATCTACTTCCTGGGTTCAAACAATACTTTTGTCTCAGCATCCGAAGTGGCTGGGACTACAGGCACACACCACCATGCCCAGCTAATTTTTTGTATTTTTAGTAGAGATGGGGTTTTACCATGTTGGCCAGGTTGGTCTTGAACTCCTGGCCTCAAGTGATCCACCCACCTCGGCCTCCTAAAGTGCTGAGATTACAGGCATGAGCCACCACACCCAGCCTTTCCATCCTTTTTGTTTCAGTGGTGCATAAATCAGGGTTTCCAAGCCCAGATTATTCTGTGGACTAGCACCTCATCTATACTTTACCATAAGTGGGGAGGACAAAGAGAAACATGTTTTAAACACTGTCACCAAGAAAGATTTTGGGAAAAAAAAGGATGTGTTAAAATATGCTGTGAACCCACAAATATGAAACCAGTGTCTCTCTCTTCTATCAGAAAAAAAGATGTGATGCTGCAGATTATGATAAAAATTGTTGTTTATTGAGAATTTAGTATGTGCTAAGTAGTTATACATATCTCATTTAATTCTCACCATGACCCTGTGAGATAAGTGTTTTATTACCATATTTCATTGAATCTAAAGGGCCATCAATTATAAGCTGCGCCATTCATATACTGTATTGTGACATGCTATCAAACATAAGATGCATCCGGATTTCAGAAATGTTACGATGTGCCTCTTACTTCAATGAAATAAGAACTTATGCATTCATGCATGGAAATCCTGAAGTAGAAACATGTTAAGTCACTCCCCCAAGGTTAAACATCTGGTTAGTTGTAGAGTCAAAATTTGAACATGACCCTGTTTAATTCCAAAGTCCCCATTTTCAACTTCTACACTATAAAGTGCTTGTGATTTGTTAGCAATGAAACTGTATAACACAAAAGAGGTTTCTTGGTCATTGACAGCTAGAAAAATCAAGGCCTGGAGAAAAGAAGCCAGGTTCAAAAAAAATGAGTAGTCAGTGACTCTCCAGTCTCTTGTCCTATGTGCTATTCAAGAGCCATCACCACCCCACCAGGCTGCCTTACCTTTCAGCCAAGATATAACGGCCCTATCCACAATCCATTAACTGGTCTGAGCTTCCAGTAGGACATTTGATGACATCTAGCATCCACATGTTAGAGTCATATACGTGCAGCTCTAAGAAAACACTACCTCAAGCCCAGCCTGAGCACTCAATGATTTGTTATACCCCAAATTCAAATCCTTATCTTGCCTCCACTGGGCTTTCTAACCTCTGTAACCTCACTTTTATTTTCTATAAAAGGTGCTAATAATGGTTCCTCCCCCAGAGAATTATTGCAAAGATTAAAATACATATTCTAAATAAATCGGTTAGCACAAATGCCTGGCACATAGTAAGTGCTCATTATATATATTAATTTATTATTTGTTTGAAAGTATTTAAAAGGATGTTCTTCCAAGTTGAAATGTATAGTATAATGATATCATTTGATTTCAGAAATGAATCATAAAACAGTGCTTCTTCAACTTTAATGTCCATCTGAATCACTGGGGATCTTGTTGAAATGTAGGTTCTGATTCAGCAGGTCTGGGGTGGAGCCTGGGAATATGCATTCTTAACAAGCTTCCAGGTGATGCTGAAGCTGCTGATCCAGGGATGGTACTTTGAGAGCCAAGGGAATATAAGAGGTATTCAAATTGTCTTTTATTATAAATTTCAAATACAACATTGCAATCTCCATATATATTTGTTAAATATCCACTAGGTTCCAGGAGCTATGCCAGACACCAGGGGAGTGTGTGATGAGCAAAAGCAGTCATGCTCCCTACCCTTGTTGAGCTTACCAAAAAAAAAAAGAAAACAGAGACATGAAACAAGCAATCACAATCTGATGATGATAGTAAAGGGAACAAGCAAGGTGTCACAGGAGTGCAGCACAAGGGAATTTTACCCAGGCCAGGGTCTTTGATGAATTGCAGAGCAGGGGATAGTGCCAGAGAAGGGCATGATGTAGGTCAAAGACTGGACCCCTAAGAAGAACTGACTGGGGTGTTCCCTAGCCTTGTTTCAGTGTTTGCCTCTATTCATCATCCCTCCAGATGCTCCAAGCTCCCGCCCAAGACAGCTTGTGGCAATGTACATAAAAGTTTATTTGGGGACTAAGTGGGTACTTAGTAGTACTACTGAATCAGAGAAAAAAAAGAACTCAAATAGCCTAAGCAAGAAAAGAGAATTTTTTGGTTCATGTAGCTAGGAAATCCATGAAGGAGTTGGTCTCAGAAATGAAAAATGTTCATGTGTTTTCATATCTCCAGCTGCTGACAGGCTTCTTTAATGTGACTGGAGCTAATGGTTGAAGTTTGGGAAGCAATATGGCCACAAATAGCACCAGCCTTTTATCCTAGCTAATGACTCTAGAAGAAAAAGAGCATTCCTCTCCAAGCAACTGTATACAATTCCAGAGAAGGGCCACAGTGGCCCAGCTTGGGTCACATGCTAACCCCAGAGCCAGTCATAGTACCCATGATGGTATGAGGTACTATGGTTGGCCAGGTGTAGCTCATGTGGCTTCCCCTGAAGGATACTTTCCTTGGAAGTCCCACCAAAATAACATGGAGTAGAGAAGGTAACTCCCCTAAGCAAGGTTCTTGCACATACAAGGACAGATTTCCAACACAATGTCCATGCAGAATTAAGCTCACTTTTCTTATATGCAACAGCTCAGCCCGAGGAACAAAGCCTGAGTTGGCATACAATACCAAATTAGAGAAGAAAAACCATTACAAGAGTGTTATATTTCTTTCTTTAATTTAAATTAATTTGTATTAAGTTAAATAAAATTATTTTTAATTGTCTTAAATAGTTTTTGTTTTTGTTTTTTGAGACGGAGTCTTGCTCTGTCACCCAGGCTGGAGTGCAGTGGGGTGATCTCGGCTCACTGCAACCTCCGCCTCCCGGGTCCAAGAGATTCTCCTGCCTCAGCCTCCTGAGTAGCTGGGAATACAGGTGCACACCACCATGCCCAGCTAACTTTTGTATTTTTAATAGAGACGAGGTTTCACCATGTTGGCCAGGATGGTCTGGAACTCCTGACCTCGTGATCCTCCTGCCTCAGCCTCCCAAAGTGCCGGGATTACAGGTGTGAGCCACCGCGCACAGCTGTCTTAAATAGTATTTAATTGCATTAAGAAACCTGATGTTATTCTCTGGCTTGGAAGTTTAAGTTATGATGTTTACTATTCAGAATTCAGCCTAGTACATTTGTTAAGTAACCAGAGACTTTGGATAAGAGATAAGAATTCCTGTGTAGTTTGTATGTATACTGAAAACACAGAGCATTTTATTTTTCATGAAAGCACTGCATTGGACAGGATCCACTGAGAATTCCCTTCTACCAATATTTGATGACCTACCCTGGCCCCAGCACTGCTCTAAGCCCTAGAAATACAGAATTCCCTGGCAGACAGGGAGATAGACAAATGTATATAATTTCCTATTATCCAGGGCCAGAAGTGCTCAAGTAGAAGCATCGACAGAGGAGCTGAAGCTTTGCTATGATGGCACTCTCTTGTTATGGCATATGAAGGCATAACCCTTGTCATGAAGGGAAGCTCTCAAAGGTTTTTAAGCAGGAGCATGACAAGTTCAGATGTGTGCTTAACAGAGATCACTCTGACTGCTGCATGGCAGAGAATGAACTGCAGAAGAGAAAAGGGACTGAAGGCTGCCTTGGAGGCTTTAGCAACAGTTGAGGTGGAAATGATGAGACCTGAGTCATATGCCCACCCCCTCGGCAAGAGTGTGGATAAGCACGTGATCTAGTACGGTGTGAGATAAGAGACATTTTGGAGGTAGACTGGACAAGCTATACCACCTAAGTCCTTACAGGGAAAAGACAACGATGGCTCCAATGAAAAGCATGGGAAAAATCCATGATCCATCCAACAGCCTGTATTAACACATACTTTAGACTGACCTAGAGCTGGAACCTTTTGAAAGGGAGTGGATATTGGAGAATCAAGGGGATCAAGTATACATAACAGACAGTCCCACTAAATAAATTGTATTAGATTTCAACCTTGCATGTTTTTGGCCTATGTAGCCATCATTTTAGGGAAGCTGGGTATTCAGGATAGTATGATGTGGCTATCTGCTAAGCTTTCTGTTGCTACTTGAGCTTTTATCTACCCCCACCCCCAGATCATAGCAAATTGCTACAGGCTAGTTATTTTCTGTAATTGCATAATACAAATACTAGCATCTTCAGCAACACATCAATAGGCTGGAACTTGGTAATAAGTGAGTTTCCATCAATCATATTCATCTCTCATATGATATTTCAGGGACTGGCAATTCACTAGCTAGAGCCAGAGTTGGTCAGGTTATTTAAGGGCTAATTGGAGTGTCTCTTGCTCCTGGATGCATCTCTTCCTTGGCTTAGATAAGCCTGCTGCGGAATTCTCTTTTTGTTTTTCTGCAGTCACATTTAACTCTCTCTCTGGAAGCCAAGCAGATTTAATTGTGTAAACATGAGCAATGGTAATTGGGTAAATGAAGTTGGAAACCAAGGTATGATGTTTTTGTTTTGCTCTTTGAGGAAAAAAAAATAGGGAGCTTGTTTTTCTATGGTGGCAAACCTCACTGTCAGAATTCTGGACAGACAGTTGGCAGGAGGAAATCCCTTTATGAATTTCTCATCAAGACCCATTTAGCTGAAATATGTATCTGCTGCCTCATGGGTGACAGATCAACCCAGAGGCGCCTTATTGTTTTATTCACCACCAGATCAAGTCTTTCTCTACCCAGGTTCAGTTAACTGGGTGAGAATGAGTCAGGAATTTCTGTGAGAACTGCACATGCAGGTAACATGCATTCACTGAAAGAGCCATGAGGATGGATTACCAGAAATGCTCTTAACTTTAGGCAGTGCTGTCAGTGGAAAACCAGATTTTAACAAAATATACAATATGGAGTACTATTTTTTATGATGAAAGGATTAGTAGTTGCCTCCTTTTAAATGGTTATCATTTAAAACTGAGTCTTCCAAATTCTATTTACACACATTTTTTTCCCAAACAATTTCAATAAGAGGAAACTGTTAATTTTTTTGTCCTGTATTCTAAACACTGAAATGGTCCAGCAAGAAGAGGATCTCATGCTTTTAATAGATGATTTTTGCCAGAATATTATATTTTATCCATATTTTTCAATCTTTTTTATTAATGTCACTAGAATTCCATTTCCTACATGCCTGCAGTAAAATTCATTTTCCCAGTTGAAAATTCAAGCAAACCAAGAAGGAAACTTGGCAATGGAGTATGTCCCTCTCACCATACAGATTGCTTTATAAACCAGAACTATTAGAAAGGAGCAGGTCCAAGGTTAATGAGACACTCATTAAAGAGAGAGAATTGCAGAAGCTGATAGTGCTCTGTGCCTGTACTGAAGGAGAGGCTATTGTTATAGGATGTTTGCTGTGCTGATATTGTAAACCACATGACAGATGGGTCAAGTGCTGATTACAGTATTCTAACATTTGGAATAGCAAGTAACATATTTGATAAGCTGGCAAGTTTTTATATATGATTCAACCCACAATATAAAAGCCACGAGAATTCCAAATTGAAAATAATTAAATGAGCTGGAAACAATCAGATACCACACATTTTCCCCCAAAATGACAGATTTTGACATGTTGAAATTCCACAAAGGGAGCAAGAATATTTCCTAGCTCACTTGAACTAATAACGGCCCTTCATCTGCTTTTGCAAAGCAATTAATTGCAGCCTTCTCACAATGTGGAGGTAGCAATAAACATGTGTAGGCATCTTGAGCTTTACAGAGATCAGTCCCATAGATTGCTTTCTTTGCTCTTATCAGCAGCCCTGTAACATATACAAGAAAAGATACTCTCAATTTATAGATGAGGAAACTAAAGCACAGAGAGGTTCAAGTAGCAGATGCAAGGTTACGTAGAAAGTAAGTAACATATGGGGGATGACAAGCCAGATCTTCCAACTATTAATATATCAAGTCCTATTTCTGGTCATCTGTAAAAAAGAAGCAGCTATTAATGTATAGGTGTTCTTCATTGTACGAAGTGTATCTTTTTTTGGTCAGTGCTGCTGCTGCCATCATTCATGTGTATCCATCTGGATAAAGCATCTGGTATTTGCATTCAGCCTCTGAGTGTCTCGGTGGTGGTGGTGGGTGGGGGTTGCTGGTGACACTGGTAAGAGTCCTTGTCAAACAATGTCACACCTCTGTAGTGTTGAAGAATTGCCAAGAAAGCAGCAGCTCTCCATTTGTGTTTTATCATTTTTGCTTATTTGGTTGTTCTTTTCAGAGTTTGTCATCTTACTTGTCACCCTTTGTTAAAGTCACTTTGTCTTTACTTTTTTACTGTCTCTCTTCACCTACCCAAGCAGCTCCCCTGCCACATCCTGGGCCTCCTCCTCCACCCACCCAAACACAGACCAGCATGTTATATCAGAGGCTCAAAGGCATGCCTAGGCCAAAATCAAGTACCGTAAACTTTCATCATTCCTCTACTTGGCAGCTTTCTAGTTTAGTTTGCTTTTCTGTTCACCTTTCTTCTTGAAATTTTGTTTCAGTTTGGAACACTAAGCTGAGACTCGGGCTCTCAAGTATAATTTTATAGGTTTTGAGATACTCAAAAGAGAGCATTTATTTCCAAATGTCCACATATTTTTTGTCTAGCTATGTCTGACATATGCAACATTTTCAAATCTCAATGTCAGCACAAAATAACATTGTTGTTGCGTAACATTTTGCATGACAATTTTTTCTGTGTTATGAGCTTCAATTCTATTGTATGAAATGGTTCTTAAGTATACTATATTTTTAGTTCCATTTTATCAGTGCTCCAGCTAGCGCAAGCTTGGGGGATAGGAATATTGTAATTCATCTGAAGACAGCGTTAAGTGGCCAAAAAAAAAAAAAATCACTTCTAAGCACAAATTTCTCCTTGACCTCTGTTGGGGAGAGGGAAGAAGTGCTAAAGGATTTTGCACAATATTTTCTTTAAAGACAACATCTTAGGGAATTTACTTTTAGTTCCATTTTGCCATTTAGCTAGTAGTACAGCAGCTATGCAAACAAACAGGAAAATAGTGCAGTGTCTCACTAATGTGGCTTGATCTACAGATGATGGAATCACAGCTAATTAATAGTAAATGAAAGACTGGCTACATGGGTTAATTGGCAGATCAAGTGTTCTAGATTAAAGGATCCTTAACCTGCTTACTTTAATGGTTTTATGTTCAAGTAAAATTGCAAAGGGTTTTATTAAACATACTGTCTGTATATATACATCAGGCATACACATATCTGCGTACATGTGCACACACTCATAGAATGGCTGCATGCACATGCACAATTTATGTGTATCTATTGATATCTATTGTAGTCAATCTAAGAGTACTGCCTATTAAAACAAATCTTCAGGTGGTCCTAGCTTCAACATCTTGGATTTTTCCAAACATAAAAATTATTGACTTTTTTTTAAAAAGTGCATAAAAATATTGGTATGAATTATTTATTTATCCTATGTCATAAACAGCCAGAATTCCCCTAGATTTGGGGAGTGTTTCACCCAAAAGGACAAAGCTCTCTATTTTTAAAGCAAGAGATTTCAAAGATGTGCCCCAAGTGGGATTTCCTGAAGATTTGTATTAATGTGCAGGCTTGTCTGTTACTAGAAAATGTATGTAAGTGTGTGATGTGTGTATGTGGGTGTATGTGTCGAATGGGTAATAAGCATAGGATGAGGAATTTGCAAATTGATGTGTAAATGTGAATATCAACGAACAAAAAATAGTAGCCTGTGCATATTTACTATCAAAATGCAAATACCTCACTCTACACATATTACCCAAAAATATATACACAGTATGTTTGTAGAAATGCCTGAAAGTCTACGAATGAAATTATGATAGTCTATTTATCAAATTACTAACAGGTCAGATGCCCCAAAAGCACAGAAGTCAATCTTGTCATACACTCTTTCTCTAAATATATGTTGCTCTAGACCAGGCAATGGGCTCTCAGCACCTAAGCTCCCACATCTACTTATTCTGAGTGTTGGTTGTTCTCTGCCTAATCCACATGTTTATGTTTCCCACAGCCCCACCTTCAGGCTCTAACCAGATCCAGCCACATTTCCATCTGGGTTTGGCAGAGATAATGGAGCTTTCCATTGACTTGAATCCAGGAAGCCCATTTTCACACTAGCCCTCAGGCCCTGTTAGACTGAGACTTTCAACACCTGGCTAGTCTTACCCTGTCCCACTAATCACCTTACATCCCATTTGCTAGAACACTCTTCTTGCATAGTGTCTCGCTGAATTTATTTTTCATTATTAAATCCTAAATTACTAATGACCTGATATGTTCATTACGTAAGAAATGCATAAAAGAATATTAAGAACCTTTTTTTTTGTAAATTAGCAATCTCTTATGATTTTAAGTCTGCCTACTTCCTCCCACCCACTGCTGCCTGCCAGAAACCTTCCTATTTAGTAATAGGTAATTCTTTCTAGCAAGAAACATCCTGAAGCCAAAATATACCTGTTTCAGATGAAGAGATGAAAAGAAATTTTGCCAGTTCTTTTGCAAATGTATGTACCTACTTGGGGAATTCTACTAAATGATGTTTATTTCACTATATCCCATGTGCTCTGACTCTGAGACTTCAAGGTTTGAAGGGGGCTAAACATGAAATACAAGTTCCCCTGGAATTCAGACTGGTTGAATCCAAGCAGTTTCACTGGCCAAGAAAACCTTTATGTTTTGGCCGGGCACAGTGGTTCACGCCTGTAATGCCAGCACTTTGGAAGGCTGAGGCGGGCGGATCTCCTGAGGTAAGGAGTTTGAGACCATCCTGGCCAGCAAGGTGAAACTCTGTCTCTACTAAAAATACAAAAATCAGCCCGGCGTGGTGGCGGGTGCCTGTAATCCCAGCTACTCAGGAGGCTGAGGCAGGAGGATCACTTGAACCCAGGAGGCAGAGGTTGCAGTGAGCTGAGATCGCACCACTGCCCTCCAGCCTGGGCAACAGAATAAATGAGACTCCGTCTCCAAAAAAAACAAGAAAAAGAAAAGAAAGAAAGAAAACCTCCTTTATGTTTTAAATATTACTGTTTTCCCAAAGGAAAAAAGTTTGTAATTTTTGGAACATAATGACATTGTCAAACTCATGAACTCAGCTCTAAAAAGAAGGCAACATAAGCCAGGGTTCAGATTCTTCTTGAGCTGGGTAAAAATACAACACTTTCAGTTTAAGAGAAACTAAAAACAAAGAAAACAATTAAGTACATTGTTTCAGTTTAACTGATAAAATTTCAATTGTAACAACCAGTAGCACAAACTATCACAACCCATTCAATAATCTACTCCTAACACCCTTTTAAGAATTATTATTCCTGACTAATGGCCCAGGCATATCCAATTTTTCTTTTCTATCTCCTCCCTGGACAACTTGAAGCAGACATTTGAATCTGCATTTTCAAAATGAGCGTTCCAACATACGCGAGCCTGCAATGAAAAATTACGCTGTAGCATTTAATAACTAATCTAAAAAACAAATGTAACAGCAATCAATATTAAACTTCTGTTAATCTTCCCACTTCAGGTAGCATAATTACAATCTAGAGAGTGGTATAGTACATTTATGCTGTCTTTAAAGAACATGTGTACAAAATGTCACTAAATTTGATATGGGCTGTCATAGACTTAATATAGCTTCATATGCAAATTTGAAGCTGGAGCACTGCTTTTTTCTAATATATATTATAATAATGGTGATAATAATAAAATGGCTTTATGGTTTGCTCACTACTAATTACATGGCACTTAACATTTGCATGAATTTTTTTTAAAAAACTGATAACTATTCTCAATTTCTTATCCACTAGTTCTAATGGCCATAAAAGTAGCCTGCCACTTTCGCTGAATTTTAACACAAACTCTTGTACTACAGAAAATGTAGGCCGGTTAATCACTCCTGCCAAAAAGCTTGAAGATACAATACGTCTTGCTGAACTAGTCATTGAAGTTCTTCAGCAAAATGAGGAGCACCACGCAGAGGTGAGCAGGCTTGGTGGGAAGTGTATCTTACTGTCCCTTAGCTGAGCTTGCAGAGCTGATTTTCCCAGCCAGATTGTGAATAAGATGCCTTAACACCCATTTTCTTTTAACTGGGATTGCAAAGGGAATGAAAGTGGAAGTTTTGCAAGAAGTCTTTGGAAGGTTATTTTAACCAACCAAAAAGTGGTTGCATGTTGTATGTTTCGGCCTAAGTTTTCAGATGTTTCTAGCGATGAACAAATGAGGTGAGTGCTTTTTAAAGTTAATCATTCAAGCAGCATCTGGTTACCATTGTCCAGAACACAAAATATTTTTTGGTTTTTTGTGGTTGTTTTTGTTGCCACCACTGTTGTTTTTATTAGTTATTTGGTATGAGAACCACAGACCTTCTTTCTCAATTTATCTCGGTAACTTACTCTGCTTGTACTACAGTCTTCATTTTTTTTTTCATCTTAGATTGCCTGGGTTGTTAAACACAGTGACAGAAGCAAATTATTCTGTGTCGTTCAACTTGTCGATTCTCCAACATACATCTAAATAAATATAGCTTACTTTTTTTAAGAAACCACTGTCAAAATGATCCTTTTGATAATAATTATAAACCAAGGGATTTCAAGGCTAACTAAATCCCAAACCTATAAGGACTTAAACAACCTAACACTTCCAAAAAAATTCCAAAATTTCATGATGGTTAAATGGTTATATCAATGCTCATCTCAAAAGTGAGATTTAAAATCATCTCTCTTAAAATAATCTTTTTGAAAATTGCATAATTCTCCCCCTTTCTCTACATTCAGATTTACAGCAAAGGGGAAAAATGACATTTCCTAAAAGTAATTTCTCAAGTACCTAAAATGGTCATTCCATGACTAAATGGAAATTGCCAGTATAGTTAAATAATATATAATACGCCATAAATCCAGCCGTCCCGACTAATGCCTGATTGCATATTTAAATTTCCTCCCTGTTTTTCTACTATTTTATTCAATCTTGGCTGATCATGGCAGGGGAAAGAGGTATGTGACTAAACCGAATGAACCAGCCACCTGCTGTCATACTTTGTGCATGCCCTTCCAGTACCATGTCTTCTAATGGGACTTTTCCTGGTGCTCCTGCTTTCTAACACTGACCCAAGGAATGTAACAGCAACTTCCAGTGGACTGCTTGTGGAATGGGTGACCCTCCACGGCAGGGTCAATGTGGGTGATTCTCTTGTGCGTGCATGAAGCAATTGATATACTTAACAACGACTGCAGTTACATCCCAACACAACGCCTCCTACCTGCCTTGATTCTGTCCTTAGCCTGGTGTAGTTTCCTATGTCTGTCTGTACTTACCTTTATTACAGCAGATGAGTATCAAACTTAGTAACCAGTAGCTCACCGGAGTGATACTAATCTTCCTCAACAACCGTCTCTATGTGAATCATATATACAGTATTTATATATAGAGAGAGTACTGAAGAATTTTTTTCCCTGAAAACCCTTAAAGAATGGGGGTAAGACCCCTTGAGGCAGGTAGAACTAATTCATGCAGCATCTATCCGCAACGCACAGCCATGAGTGATAGGGAAAAGCAAATCGATAACCTCCAAACATGTAAACAATTAAGTGGGTTAGAATATTTTTCCTACGCTATCCTATAGGATGTTCTTTTCAGATTGCAGGCATCTGGGGTTCCGGCGATGGTAAGTGTGTTCTTCCCACGTGTCTACAAAGTCATCTCCAGAGGCATGGAGGGGCTCCAGCCTGCCCTCCTCTGATCTGAGTGGTTGAGGCTCTTCCCATGATGCTGGGCCAAACCCACACATTCTTGAAGACATAAATACAAAGAGCACAGTTTTCTCAGTCACAATTGTGCTTTTAAGTGAATCAGAGGAGAAGAAAAATGACAGATATACTTGATTTATAATCAAGTTATTTTTGGAGGCTGCTACGGGCTAAGAAAGGATGTATATTTTTCTAAATTGCTCAAAAGAAACACCAAAGGAGGGCTTATATGCTAAACAAGGCACGTTTCACTTTTCCAAAAAGCCCTTTCTCGCTGTGTTAATCCTTATCCTAAACTGCCCTAATAACCATCATCACAAAATATTTTAATCTTGTATATTCAAAAGCCATTCAAATTAAATAGAGTAGACATCAACTCAATTCCCATTACCAACTTTAAAACTTAGTAATGAAAACTTCAGCATACTTTGAAGTGCCTGAGACCAAATTTTCTTTTAGATAAATGTACAGGATTCTTTCCAAAATTAAAAATTTTACCCAATCACAAAATCTTCTCCATCAATCAAAAGCTACCTATTGAGCGTCTTCCATCTTCTGAGCACTGAGGCAACTACCTTGGTGCTTTTTGAAAGACAACTAGGCATAGGACAGCCTGTCCTTCAAGCAATAGAACGCAGGGTGTCCAGGAGTTTAGGCTCTGTGCCAGAGAAGTTTGGCTTTGAATCCTAGCTTTGCCTCTTCTCTTCCAGTATAACTTCTCTCATCCTGTAAAGTGGAGATAACAATAGATGGTCATTGTTAGAGTGGAAGGCCACATTCATTAAAGCATCTGGTGTTATGCCTGGCACAAAGTGAGCACTCCACAAAGCTTGGCTCTTTTGTTATGAGGAACAAATTGCTAAGGAAACAAAATATAAGAATATCTGATTATCAAAGTGACAAAACCTGTGTGGAAAGTACCAAATGAACAGAATAAACAGAACGTGTTGAGAGCAGATTCATTTCAAGGTACAGTGGGCCAGAAAGGCACTACCACCTGTTCTCAACTTTTACTTACAGATTGCAATCACGTGGACAGCTCTTGAAAATTCAGATCTCCAGGTCTTGTCCCAGCTCAATTTATTGAAATCTTCCAGGGAGGTGCTGAGCATGGGTAATTTTTAAAAGCTGCCCAGGTGATTCCAGTGTACAACCAGGGTCAAGACTGGCTGGAGTACAGTGGAAGAGGTAGCCTTACTGCTGGCACACTAAACATAGGGTTTTTCTTCCCCAAAAGAAAAAGTAAGACAATTATGTTCTACTGATCAGTACTCACTACCATGTTCTCTGGGTGCTCAGTATATTAAAAAAAAAAAAAAGAAAAGAAAAGAAAAACAAAAGACTAAATCCTAAGCTTGGATCTTGGCTGTGTGGCCATGCTGTTTGGTGGTACCACTCAAATCAAAGTGACTAGTAGGCTTGCCTCCTCCACCTAAAATAAAAACAATAATCCTTAAAGGCATTTTAAATTCCAAGATAAAGTAATTAAATGTCCCAAGAAAAGAAATCTCACCAGCTAAGAGTACATCATATGCACACACATGCGGTATATGGTAGCAGTGGTCACAGTTATCTCTTAATTGCAGCTAAACTCTGTTTCCAGAGTCTAATCTATTCACAAACATACACACACGAATTATGCCTTCATGTATGGTTGCTACACCTTCCCAATCTCTCTCTATGTATACGTATGTATATGTATATATGTATTGTGGTATATAGAGGAGTACATATATACATGTTAGTTTGTGTGCAAAATATACAGTGTGTTTGATGTAGACTGTACCCCTAAAGCACACATCTTTGTCTTTGAATAACGAAAAGCTCTGGGTAAGTATTTAGTAGCCGAAGTATAACTCCTTATTCTCCTTATTGTCTTTGGAAAAGGTTTATAAGACTTTAGATGCCCATGAACATTGTGAGTTAGCTCAAGTACAAAAATAGCATTCACCTGTATGAGCAAGCATAAAATAAATATTTTTAAAGCCTGGCCTTTCCCAACCCGGTCACACAGATTCTGTTCATTTAATTGGAATTACACTTTTGCTTTCTGGTTGTTACTGCCCTTGCTAGAATCATTTTGTTCTTCTTGGAGAGTCAGGTTTGATTATAAGGTTTTGAAAAGAATTCCCTTGAATGTACAAAAATAGCTCTGGTCCTCACTTACTCTACAGTCCCCAAATTTAAATTCTCTTGGTTCACTAGATCCCTAAACTGTTCTACCAGACTCCAATAGCAATGATTCATGCCACAGTAGTCATCGTTCTTTGCAGGGCTATTAATATCTAAATGATTATTAATGCAAGGATGGTAAATATTTGCTCAATAATATATTAAATTACAATGAGGGATGAAGTTCTCTATAGATCGTAGAAGTGGCACTTCTTATGACCTCTGGTTTGCAACTTTTAAGCTAAAAAGCTGGTAAGAGGCCAGGTGTGGTGGCTCATGCCTGTAATCCCAGCACTTTGGGAGGCCGAGGCAGGTGGACCAGCTGAGGCCAGGAGTTTGAGACCAGCCTGGCCAACATGATGCAACCCCGTCTCTACTGAAAATACAAAAACAAACAAACAACAAAAAAAAATTAGCCAGGTATGGTGGCAGGCGCCTGTAATTCCAGCTAGTCAGGAGGCTGAGGCAGGGGCTGCAGTGAGCCAAGATCGCACCATTGCACTCCAGCCTGGGTAACAAGAGCAAAACTCCGTCCAAAAAAAAAAAAAAAATTGCTGGTAAGAGCCAGGTATGAGGTTGGGTTAATAAACTTTTAATTGCAAACATTTGAGCTTGGTTTTTTTGTTTTGTTTTGTTTTGTTTTTTCCTGTCATTCTAGGGCAAATTATATCTGGGGAGGCAACTCAGTCTTCCCAATAACTTTTCTTGGACTCATCCTGAAGATGTAAAGTTAGTTGAATAACTAAAGAATAAGTACTAGCCAACATTTAGTGTACCTTTGTGAATTTTTCAAATGTCTGGAATCAGGATTGATGAGAGTCAGCCTTCCACACAGGGGTGGAGATGGAACTTCATCCAGCAAGTTCCAGGGTTTAGATGGTCTCTGCCTAAAAGGCTGGTGTCTGGGAAAGTTCTGGGGGTGGCATGGAGGGTTTCTCTATCTACTGGACTTAGCTAGGTAGTCAGTGGAGTAAGCCCTAAACCCCAGGGCTCTCATCTGCAGGTGGTGAAACTACAATAAAACCTCATCGGTTCAGACCCAAATATTGGAATCTGTGAAAATTCAATTGCAGATGTGACTCTTTCTCTTATGTAATATATTTAACTTGATCTCAACTTTCTCAGGAAATTCTAAAGACTCTTCTTACAAGTTAGAGGAATCCAATACCCTTTTTTCCATCCTAGGATCTATGAAATTAAATCTACTGTTTCTTTGACTTCAATTTATAAGTCATCTTATCTATAATTATTACATGCTTAAAAAACGTTTACACTTATGTTGCATTAATAACTAATGTAAACTTAATGAATACTTTTTACTTTAGTGTCCAATTATAGGCTACATTCAAAAACAGTAAAAGGATACCTCTTTTTAGAAAGTCCAATAAGTTAGGCTTTTTTTTGCTGACAGGCCAGCATCTCCCCTCTCCCATTAATCTGAATCAGTGAGGTTTTACTGTAAATTAAAATGGAAACAGCAGGTGTCTATTTCCAGCCAAGCCAACCTTGCAGAATGGTCCATGACTTGATTTTTTTCATTTAATTTGCAAACCAGCCACATGTTGATAAAGGAGAAGTAAGTAAAGTGAAATCTCGTGAAAGAAGAGAGGTGGACCCCTATTCTGCCTCCTAGTGGCTGTTAGAATATCCCTCTAATAACTAATAGATCACAGAAGAGCTTGGCCATTGAACAAACCCTTTCATTTATGGAATTTTTCCATAATCATCTTTCATATTTTCAAATGCCTTCCCATCTTTTTTTGGTGAATGCTCCGGAAAGTGTTTCCAATGTAAATACTTTGCGGCATTGAATGGGGATGTGGGGGACCAGAAGAGGCTGGCAATTTGTTTTTGTTTTTCTGCTCTCTTTGAAATCGGCAAAACAGGGCCTGTTGACACTGCCACTCATTCTGCATGCTCCCTGCCAGAAATGATTAGTCAACATGCATGCATGCCTTTGAATTGAATTCACATCTGGCCCAGTCTGATGTGAATGTCACCCCCTGAGACCCTGCACAATGATTTCCAAGGGCCCATGTGCATGAAAATGAGTTACTTCACTGATATTTTTTGGTTTTCAATGTACATATGTGTCCAACCCCCAGAAAAGTAACTCCTGATCTTACTCAGTGTTTTCTAGCCTAAGCCTGATCTTTCCTCCAGACTGGATACAAAACCAAAGCCTCCTTGCTTAAAAAGATTACAACTCAAAAGTTTTGTGACAATTGCAACAATGGTTTTCTTTGACTTAGTATGAAATAGGAGTAACATTTCCAATGTGTAGGGAAACATGAGTTCTTGAGTTTTTGTATGAGACCATAGACAAGCCCCAGATATGTAGATATAAGTGAACAATAATTACAAATTTTCAAGTTAGACCAGCAGAAAACCCATAAACACAGTGAAGAAACTCCCAGATTTTAATACCTTAGAGCAAGAACTAGCCAACAACAATGACAAAGAGCATGACTCAAAATGTACTGAGTTATTGTAAATTGAACAGAAGTTCCACGTCTGTCATTTCTACTGCAGCATCCTCTGACCCATAGGTCAGAATAAAGGCTCTCTATGGCAGGCCTGGAATAACGCAAAGCACTGCCTTAAACACTTAACACCCCAATTGTATCAAAAATTCTGTTCTCTTTACAATAAAATTACCAAACCCTGCTGGATGCACCATTAATTTTGAACAGTGAGGGCTGGAATTCACGTCTTATGTCCGAGAAAGAAGCTCATCACTTCTTTGTCTATTGTTTTTCTGCCAAATTTTAAAGGCCTTTGCGTGGTGGTCAGATTTAATGGTGGAGCATGCGGAGACGTTCCTGTCACTCTTTGCAGTAGACATGGATGCAGCCTTAGAGGTGCAACCTCCAGACACATGGGACAGTTTTCCACTATTTCAGCTGCTGAATGATTTTCTCCGTACTGACTGTATGTATTACCTTTGACTGTTTGACTTTCCTAAGTAGTGTGCAGATAAACAGATCACTAAGATGTCTTTATCCCAAGCAGACTACAGGCTTGACATAGCTCTTCATGGTTTTATTATGATTAACCCCACCCCCCAAAAAGAAACATACAGCTGAAGGGTATTCCCTTTCTTCCAAAAAGTATCCTGTTCTAGGGACGCTCTCTCTTAACTAGACAGAATAACCTGAGAGTAATGTGAGAAGAGGTATCCATTTTTTGTGTGTTTGATTGTCTCTCAAATTAATTAACCTCTTCATATTTTGCAATTTTTATCAAAAGATGCTTTCTAGATGAAAAAAAAATTTCCAGCTGACTAACATGTCAAGCATTTCAGAGTATGTTATAGTGACAACAGCCATAAAATAGACCTTCCTCCCCAGGGAGGGTGATGAAGGAGGGCAGAGTATGAAGAATGTTCTTTCTTCCTAGGAACTTAATGGGAAGAAGGGAAGTGGGTGCAAGAAAAACAGAAAAAAAAATAGTGTGGATTGTTGTTTCTGTTGTTTCTTAAAGTAGCATGATCGTTTTTCCTTTTAGAAGATCAATACCAAGGGGTAAAGTGTTTTTGAATTCCATTTCAATGCTTTTTATGTACTTTTTTCCTTCTCTTCTCTTTTTGGCTTCCTTAGAAGCAGTATATTTAATGTAGAAGACAATCAATCATCTGTGTGTGTGTGTGTGTGTGTGTGTGTTTGTGTGTGTGTGTGTGTGTGTTGTACGTTGATAAAGTAGCTGTGGGTTCTTAACAAGCTTTTGCTTATCTGTTCTAGATAATTTGTGCAATGGAAAATTTCACAAACACCTGCAAGACCTGTTTGCCCCACTTGTTGTTAGATATGTGGATCTGATGGAGTCCTCAATTGCACAATCCATTCACAGGGGCTTTGAGCGGGAGTCATGGGAACCAGTCAAGTAAGGAAACCTTTTTTGATACCATCGGAGTTTGGGTACAAATGGCTGGAGAGTAATACAGAAATGGATTAATGATGTCATATGGGTTTCACTGTTATTGTGGACAGAGAGAAACACCATACATTTCTTCTACTATGATGCTCATAGCTTCTTTGCCCAAATGGCAGGAGGGTCGGGGATGGAGGAGGTGGGTAGGGTAGGGGAAGAGGCTGAAAAAACGTTTCATGAAATGAAATCTCTTATTGCACAAGATAAATAAGGAAGAAGGAATATAAACTCGGCTGTGATATTTGTGTGGTATGTCTTACTCCAATGGTGTTATCTCTAGGATTCAGTGTTTCCCAAAGTGTGTTCGGTGGGGTTCTAGGCAGGGAGGTCAGCAAACTTTTTCTATAAAAGGCCATATACTATATACTTAGGCTTTTGGAGCCACATAATCTCTGTCACAACTCAACTCTGTCATTGTAGCATGAAAGCAGTCATAGACAGTATGTAAATGAACGAGTGTAGCTGTGTTCCAATGAAACTTTGTTAACAAAACAGGTCCATAGTTTGCCATTGCCTGGTCTAGGCCTTTTAGATGCACCTTTTTAAAAAAAACCTTTATGGCCAAGTATGTTTAGGAAACAATACCTACCCCACTGACCTAGAATTTTGTGTAACTCTGTTTAACCCGGATTTTCCTAAATGTATTTGACAACCGTGTGCTTTTTTTAAAATGGGACATATACCCTGCAGGATAAATTATGGGAAATCTTGTGGGTTGCAAGTTTGTCAATTTCCACAAATGTTTGGCAAATTTTAGGTCTTATTTGAAAATGTTTGGCAGGCTTGGTGCCATCTCCATTCCCCAAATGGGAAGAGGGCTTGACTTGAGGCTCCAGAGGGTCAGTCTCAGACTCCCCTTTCTGAAAAAATAGAGACTCCTATATGGAGAGTTTGATGGTTATGGTTTGATGGTTTGAAAAGCTCCAGTAAAGCCTACTGCTGGATTTGCCTTGTTAGTTTCTTTCTTTCTTTCTTTCTTTCTTTTTTTAAGGAAATCATTTCGTTCATGCTAGTATTTTACATCTTTGGGATGCAGCAAACAGTATGGAGCAAAGTAGAGGGATGTTACAAGCACATTTTAGGAACTCCAGAACAAATATTCATGAGGCCTTTCCTCAGTTTGGAAGCCTTGACTTGCAGCCTATTTTTAAGCAGTTTTCTGAACTGAGACCCTCCTCTAATGTTATACTGTATAAGGCTCTCACTGATAAATTAATGCAAAATAGGCTTTTCTGCCCCCCTTCCACATCTGAGCCACAAGAGGAGTTTCCCTATTGCAGGGAGGTTAATAACCAGTAGCTCCTCCTTTGCAAATACCAAGAAATTTAAATTTTAGTTTGTTATTCTCCAGTTTATAACAGTCTCTTAATATGGCCCTACTGACTTTTCACTCATGAGGGTAGAACTGGATCCCTTGATGGTAAATTATTGAGAGCCTCTATTTTTTTTCAATGTTCAATACAATGAAGACAGTTGTGCTGGAGAATAGCTATTAAGAGGAAAAGGTTAAAATGAGTAATATTTACGTTTTAAAATAACAATGGTCTTGAAATAACATTTACTTACTTGCACTTAAATACGGAGACTACTACTACCAACACACATGGAAGAGAATAATTGGTATCCTTCACTATTCCTTGAAGAGCCCTAGATTTAGTGCCCATTTACTAGCCAGAAGTCAAGGGTTCAAACCTCTATGAACTTGTTTGCTCCCCTGCAAAACTGAAGTTTTAAAAATGTGCCTGTCCAGTGTCTGAGAATTGTCATGGAACTTCGTGATAATGTCACTAAGTCATTTTATAATCTGTTAAATTTCTTAAAAGTCAAACACGGCCGGGTGCGGCGGCTCACGCCAGTAATCCCAGCACTTTGGGAGGCCGAGGCGGGTGGATCACAAGGTCAGGGGATCGAGAACATCCTGGCTAACACGGTGAAACCCCGTCTCTACTAAAAATACAAAAAATTAGCTGGGCGTGGTGGTGGGCACCTGTAGTCCCAGCTACTCGGGAGGCTGAGGCAGGAGAATGGTGTGAACCCAGGAGGTGGAGCTTGCAGTGAGCCGAGATCGCTCCACTGCACTCCAGCCTGGGTGACAGACCGAGATGCCGTCTCAAAAAAAAAAATAATAAAAGTTTAACACATGACTGCTACTTCTTTGGGGGCATTAAATATTCTTAATACCATCAGAAATAAAGATAGACTCAAAAATCATCTTCATACCTGGAAATCTTAGTCTAGGGATGTTTTCTTGGGAATATTTTTACCAATTAAAAAAAAATTTGAACTCTTGCATGGGCAATTTAAAGGTCTGCAAATTGTGAATAAAGGAATAATAGTTGCGAATAATAACCTGAGAATTATGCAGATACGTGTGTGTTTTTTAGTAGCTTTTTGCTATCTAAAATTATGCTGTTAGTGAATATGATTGTGGTTTGTTCAATTCATACTAAATAGTATATGCCTTTCAGAGTCTGTGGAGATCTTTAAAAGTGCCAACTAAGGGCTGGGTGTGGTTGTTCACACTTGTAATCCCAACACTTTGGGGGGCCAAGGCGAGAGGATCACCTGAGGCCAGGAGTTCAAGACCAGTCTGGGCAACATAACCAGACTCCATCTCTACAAAATAAAAAAAGTAGCCAGGCATGGTGGCACAGCATGTAGTCCAAACTACTCAGGAGGCTGAGGTGGGAGGATTGCTTGAGCCCAGGAGTTCAAGGTTACAGTGAGCCATGATCCTGCCACTGTACTCCAGCCTGGGGTGACAGAGTGAGTCCCTATTAAAAAATAATAATAATAAATAAATAAATAAATAAATAAATAATAAAAACAGTGCTAACTAAAATACAAGCTACCACACACACTGTATCAGCCGATTTTTAAACAGAGTGTGGATGCCACGGGGCAGCTTTGCAGAATGGAATAAAATGGAGTGTAAAAAAGAGCTTGGAGACATGTTATGTGCTAAGAGGAGTGACTCTCTCCATGTTTCCTACAACGTGAATAGAAATAAAGTGTGAACTTCCATCTGACTACTTATTGGTGGGTTGATGAAGAAGCAGATTCATTTCTCTTCTTAGATTTTTTTTCCAAGTGAAGAATGATCTTTTTGGCATACTTCTCATCAAGCTCACCCCAAAACAAGAAACTAACTTAGGTAAATAGATTTAGTTTGCTCAGTCTTTTCCATTTTTGCCACAGAATCTTCCAATACATACATACACACACACAGCCTTTCTTTCAAACAATTGTTATCCTCAAGTAGTTCTGTTCTTCTTCTTTTCAAAATTTATAAGCACCTCGTTATAAGTAAAATGAGAAATGCATTGTAATGAAATGCAATGTAATGTTCAAAATAATTAGCATGCAAAATGCTGAAGAAAAATAGCAATCTGACAAGAAAATGCTACCAATGTATTGAGTTTGCTAAAAAGAGAATGAAAAATATCCTTTATTCTTCAGATTTTCTTATTTCAAAATATGGCCCTGTAAAAGAAAATAGATATCATCATTTAGGCTTGATACAATTAAGGTTATTTAAGATGAACAACAAAAACAACAACAACAAAAATAATTGAAGTTATTTGACGGAAAGGGTAAAATGGCTGAGTCCTATGGCAGCCTTTCCCTAGAAAGACAGTCTTCCATCTCTTCGAAAAGAGAAAAGGGAAGCTACATCTCTGTTTCCGTTAAGCCAGACACAGTCATGGTTAGAATCTCTATGAATTGGTGGACAATGTCATCTCTTTGCTTCTAACCATAGCTAAAGATAGTCAGCTTCTCAAAGACAGTCCCAAGTTGTCAATAAAATCTGGAGCCCATGGCCCTCTCATGGGTTTCCATCAGGACATGTAGTAGGGTCACCACTCACAGTTGGGCAGGTTGCCCACAATCCTTCTGGCAGCTGTGAATATGAGGTTTTGGTCCTAACAAGAAATGGACAACATTTCCATCAGCTCTTCAGTGTTAGCTCATTGGTAATAAGCCATGGTGGCCTTCAATATGAAAGAAAACCTAGAAAACAACTCATTCAAAGTCTTACCAAGTCTAGTAGCTCCACCACCCTTGCCTACTACCTTTTCCCTGACAGATGGTCACTCAATCTTTACTTAAACACCTCCAGGCATGGGGAATCCTTGGCTGCATGGTTGCCCACTTCAAGTTAGGACTGTTCTGAGGCAAGAGCCAGAACTTAACTCTGGAGGTGGGGTTCAGAAACCAGACCAAATTGGGAACTAGCTAAAACAAGGATGGGGCAAAAGTGGCTTTCCATAAGACATTCCCACCAGTGTGCCCTGTCAGTTTACCATTGCCATGGAGTTACCACTCATTTCCATGTCAATGACCTGATGACCCAGATGTTACTACCCTTTGCCTAGAAATATCTTGCATAAACCTCTCCTTAATCTACATGTAATTAAAAGCATGTATAAATATGACTGCAAAACTGCCCTGAGCTGCTTGCTACTCCAAGCACACTGCCTGTGGGAAAGCCCTGCTCTGCAGGAGCAGTCACAGCACTGTAACACCACCAGAGATTTTACACTACCACTTCAATAAAGCATTTTTCTTCCACTTTACCATCGGCTCACCCTTGAATTCTTTCCTGGGTGAAGCCAAGAACCCTCATGGGCTAAGCCCTACTTTGGGGCTCTCTTGCCCTGCATCAGCTCTGAATGGTAGAACTAAACACTGCTTCTTAATATATGCACACTGTAAAATCTGGGATTCTCATTTCTCAAAATGCACTTTCTCACTCTGCCTCAGATATGCATATAAAAAGTATTTTTTAATGTCACTTTCCAAATAGTCATAGATATCAATATCTTTTTTTTTTTTTTTTTTTTTTGAGACGGAGTCTTGCTCTGTCGCCCAGGCTGGAGTGCAGTGGTGCTGTCTTGGCTCACTGCAAGCTCCGCCTCCTGGGTTCAAGCGATTCTCCTGCCTCAGCCTCCCAAGTAGCTGGGACTACAGGTGCCTGCCACCACGCCCAGCTAATTTTTTGTGTTTTTAGTGGGGCAGGGTTTCACCGTGTTAGCCAGGATGGTCTCGATCTCCTGACCTCGTGATCCACCAGCCTTGGCCTCCCAAAGTGCTGGGATCACAGGCGTGAGCCACTGCACCTGGCCATCAATATCTTTTTTGAAAATAGGTTTTATTGTATATATTTAAGATATAAAACATAATGCCATAAGATACATGTGAAGTAAAATTGTTACTATGGTGGAACATATTAGCATATCAACCATCAGACCAAAGACACCTTAGCAATATGCAGGTGGCCTGGTGTCAAATAGACAAGTAATGTACTTGGTGTCAGATCTCATGATTCTGCCAATAATTTGCTGGGTGACCTTGGGCCACCAAGTGTCCTGAGTTGAGATCCTCCCTCAGTTCACCTCCCTGAGGCTCAGTATCCTACCTTGTCAAACAAGGACTTTGAATAACCAAAGCTTTTCCAATGCTAACATTCTTGAAGATATCACTGTCCATATTCAGACACATATACACATTTGATCATCGCTGCCTCCCTAACACCTATAACAGGGCCTGGAACATAACAGGTGCTCAATAAATGTTTGTTGATTAATTGCCATATTTGTTAAAGAACCCACACAGGCTGAAAATGATAAGGATGTAATGGGAAAACTATGGGGATGTTTCCCCAGATGAGGGTTTCAATCTAGTTGGGTCTGAGCAACATACACACAAGAAAAATGACTTTATGAAATGTCAAAATTATCATGAAAAAGGAAAAACGACTCTATTTGCCAATGTAAAATCTGTAATTTACAAATAACATAAGGAAAAGTTATGAGGACATAAGAATAGAGGGAAATCAATTTCCACTAAGGGGTCATGAAAAACGTAGCTTGAGAGCAGGATTTCAAAAGGGGTAGGGATGCTGGGAAAGATGATGTACAAAGGTAGAAATACAAGGGAGGGAGAGCATGCAAACGCTGAGTTTTCGCCAGCATGGATTATAACAAAGGCAAGCCATAAAGTTGGAGAGATGTTTGGGAGGTTCTAAAGTCCCACAAAGTTTGGAATTTTTTTTTTTTCTGTAGATGATACATTCTCAATGGGGGCTTTACAGCTCATAAGTTGAGAAAATTGACTCAGGTGGGAGGGTGGCGCTTAAAAACGTCTTACTCTTTTTATATATATAGCACAGATCTACATATAATACATAAACAGATATTCTATATATCTGTTGTATTAAATTTTCATGGAGAAGGAAGTTGTGGGGCAGGGTGATAATGAGTAAAAGATTGTAAAATACTGCTCTAGATTCTAGGAAGATATTAGAGAATGCCCCTGCCCCAAAGTAGGGATTAGACCTAAGAACAAACACTGACAGAGGCTTCAGTGCTCAAAGCACTAAGAAAAGACAAGATGTGCTACATATATGCATGCAACAACTGATTCATAAAAGTAGAAGGCATTTTGTATCTTAAATACAACCCCATCCATAAATCTAAAGCCAAAATCTTTGAGAAAGGTACAACTCTATCCCTTCTGCATGGAGTCAGTGTCTTGATTAGAGTCAATTCTAGAAGCAGGAATGACTTCACCTCCACTCATTTCTATCCATAGAAATGATGAGACGTGCACACATCTGTGACATTCATCCATGTAAGAGTGAGTAGATGAGAATGTTTCTAAACCATCCACGGATGGGCACTTTGGCCTAAATGGAAGCTATTCTTTTTCAAGAGTCCCCAAAATGAATGAAAGAGTGTAAATTTTAATGCATATAAGTTGTTAGGATTGCAATTCATACTTCTTGTACTATCCAGAGATATCCAATTATGATTCTCTCAGAGATGCATAACTAACTTGTTTTAAGGTAGCTGCTAAAAAGGCCCTCTTCAAAGTAATAATTCATTATAGTCATCAGCAGTTCCAGGAGCCTGATTGGAACTAAGTGCTACTTAAAAATTCCCCCTTTTCACATGTATATTAGTAAAATATTATGCTTAGAATTACCTCCTTGATTCTTTATGTTATTAATATCCAAATGAAATATTAGTAACACTAGTAATACACTACATTATTTTTCTAAAAGCAGAAATATCAAGCATGTTTCATCCTTTTAAAAGTAGAGCATTATAAAATTTGAAAGCAGAGCATTAAAAAAAGAGAAGGAAATGTTTCTATGAGTCCAGTGCAGTAGTCTAGCTGAAATGTCATATTTTACAAATACAATATGTTTTGATTAATAGAAGTATTTTTTTTATTTTTGTGTGCAAAATGAAGCTTGCTTCTAATTTGTGTACCCGCCACCCGCTAATATGTTTAAATTAAATTGCTTTTGCATACATTTGTATGTTATGCACTCCTAGCTACTTTTAATTTGCTCAGAATTGACATTTTAACTTTCCGGGCTGCCATCTCTAAGATCTTCTAATTCCTTGATCATTATTCAGTGTGTGTATCATTTAATGATCACATTTGCTTATATAGGCTTACACATGTCTCAGTGGAAATCGCCAACGGTTTTGTTACATGGCAGTGTTTAAGACTAAGAGCCACCAGGGACTGAATTCAAAGGCAAATTCCCCATTTAAACAGAGACACATAAAAGGAAAAGTTCCATTTTCCCTTCTGTTTAATAGTCATATAGTTAATCTTTTCTTGACCATTCCCACAAGAGCACCCTTTAGTTCCAAGTAGAGATGTATAATTGGCTTTCCCAAAATGTGAGGTGTAAAGGACAAATTTATGAGACACCTGTTTCCCTTACAGAAGAGAATGCCAGGTAGACAATTTTGCATTCTAGGTTTTTCAGTCTATGAGCTGGGGCTATATTGCCATTGTGAAAGAATAATCTGTTTCTAGAGGGAGACAGGTATCCAGGTGATCTTCAAGGTCCAGAATTTCTGACTTAGCAGAAGGCATGTACCCACCTCCACCCCCCCACCCCCTAACTTCCCCCTTCCCTAACTCCCCCACTCCCCCACTCCCCTACTCCCCTACTCCCCCACTTCCCCACCCAAGCAAGCCCAGAGGCAGCTCCAGCTCTTGCAGGAGTCCTGTTAGTCAAACACAGCTTGCCCAGGGCAGAGCTGCTTTGGCAAAACTTGCTCTTCTCCTGCAAGATCCAAAAAGAGAACCTCAAGTCCTTTGCCAAAGTGCTGTCAACTTCACTTAAACAGGAAGGCTCCTCTCAGATGCAGAGTTAGGCTGGGCTCTACCGTGCCAGTGACTTTGGCTGGATGGAACACCCTTAAAATGCCACTACTGAGACACACGGTGCCAGCTTGAGGAGCCGTGTATGACACCGTCCTTCCAAAGAAATACAGTTGATTCAAGTTGGGGGTTTTGTTTTGTTTTATTTTCTCCCTCTACTTATAAAACCATCCATCTCTCTTCCATCACGTCAGTTGATCCATCTTTGTCCAAAAACAAAAGGCTGGTATGAGGTAACATTTTTAACTTTTTAGTCACTTATTTTAACTTTTTACAGAAAAATACAGAGCTTGATTAATTTTCACAAATTGAACACACACCCATGTAAGCCATCACACAGATCAAAAAGTAGAATCTCCCCAGAAGTCCCTTTCATGCTTTCTCCCAGTGTCTGTCCCACTTCCAAGGGTAACTATTATGATATGAAGCCACATTTTAAATCCACTTTTGGTCAAAGAGTCTAATACAAGAGCTGAATTGGGGATTGTTTTCATTTCCTTGGTGTCTGTTTCTGTGTGTAAACATTTCTGCATTTTTGTTGAACTTAGTTTGAGAGAGAAAGTTTCTATTTTCTTTAAATGTTCTATAAAATTATTCAAATCTGATCTTTCTTCTTGATACAATTTCATAATTTCACCATCAACTGACATGCCATTGCCCATACACCTGTCTTTAGAAGCAGCAGTTAGAAAGAGCTTGGTTTCTGTACATCACCATTAGGTGTGCCTCCAAGTGGGTGAACTTCCTACTCTATTTGGTGTCTAACGTCTGATTGAGAAATATGCCTCCATCAACAGTAATTTGTTTTAAAAATAAGAAAATTGAAGTGCTCCACCATTTCTATCAATCCCAGTGACTTCACAGCAACCCCAGCCCCAGCCACACCAAGAATTCCAGGAACTTCAAGTTCTTAGCATGAGAAAAGTTCTAGACTCTTATGGCAATGGATATGGAAACCAAAGGCCCCTCCCAAAGGCATGTGATCATTGTGTATGGGTGCACTTTTAAGTCACTGTGTGGTTAATTTTTCCATTAACTTTTGTCATTTCTCTGGATACAGAGCCACACCACAGCTTCCCATCTGTAAGCTGCTTTCTGAAGTGTGTCGCTTGAGTTTTTGCTGTTGTCTTGCTGTGGACTTGGTCAATTTATTTACAATTGTCGTGTGCTTCTGCCACATCTGCATTGTCACTGTGATGGTATTTTTTCTTTCTGTCTGTTTCTTCCACAGGAGTTTAACCAGTAACCTACCCAATGTGAACCTACCCAATGTGAACCTTCCCAAAGTACCAAATCTACCAGTTAACATCCCTCTAGGCATCCCACAAATGCCTACTTTTTCGGCACCGTCATGGATGGCTGCTATATATGATGCGGAGTGTGTATTCAGTTCACATTAGATCTCATTTAAATTTAAGTGATCTTGGCATGGATATGTATTGTTTATTTCTATACATCCTATATAACAGAGATGGAGATGGATAATTAGACATATTTTGCTGATCATACAGAGACAATATTGTTTATTTCTGGCATGCATCATGTTTGTAAGATGTTTGCTATATATACAGCACTAACAATTTGTCTTACGCCCACTGAATGCTGGAGGACTATGTTTCACTTCCTGAATTCTTTTGCAAAAGGATTCTACCCTTTTTGGCAGGTGACATGACTTTAGGAGCTAGACATCCAAAAATAGTGGAGGAAACCTCTTTGGTGGGCTGGCCAGTCATCTCTGGCCTGATCCAAATCTAAGAAGGAAGCACACCTACCTAGAATCTGGGGTGTTTTCTTTAAATAAAAATAAAAAATTCCTAGAGAATGTTTAAACCATAAAGCATATTTCTGGTGTCAGCAAATGGCAGGATATAGTAACAGTATGTTCAGGGCTAAATGAAAATTTCTGAATGGATCAAGCCTTAGTCACATAAATGTTATGTAAAAAAATATATTATGTACTTTCCAAGGTCACAGTACAATATGGTGCTTTGAGAGCTAGGTAATGAGAAGTTCAATAATTCTCGAAACACAAGATTCAAACAATAAATAATTAAATTTGTGGTAGCCATATCATCTGAATATAGGGCTATGCTTTATACTCATCCACATGAATGTCAGAGTTGCATGGGCCACTTCTTGAAAGCCAGCAGTTTGGGGGAGTGAGGGTTGAGAAGCCATTTCTTCTAGCTTCAAAAATGAATCTTCTCTCCTTTTTTAGTTAGCAAGAAGATCGAGCACCCCTAAATTCTACCTCAGGGAAATTAGAACCACGTGCATGATTTAATAAGTGAAATAAGGTTTAGCGATTCTGTACCCTTCTTTGATCCTTTTCTTAGACCACAGCTAATTACGGACCAGATAAGCTTTTTCTTGAAAGAATAAATTGGCACGTTTTCAAAGGGAAGTGTTATTATCAAAGGAATAAAAAATGGTCTGAAACTGGCAGTGATGTTTTGAAATCTTAGAATCACATTCATCAAGACGGCCCTCAGCATTTTTATTCTTGCAGTAATCCAGGTGGAGGACAGACCATTAAAATGACTGCTCTAGCTGGCTCCTCCAAAGCTGCCTGATATTTCTACAACCTACAATTGCTCACAAGTTCACACTAAAATCATATGGTCAATGTGTCTGATTCTCTTTTAAAGGCAAATTACAACCTCCAAAAATTTATATCTGAAAAAAAGCTTCTAAAAAAGAACACAAATCATATTCATGCTAAGATGACTATATGAAAAAATTAGATTAGGTAGTATCTGTGAAAAATTTAAAAATATCAGAAAGCTTCTCTTATCTTCCTCTGTGCATGCTCTGTGACACTGTTTTTGAAAAGATATGAATCAAGACATTGTAATAAAGCAGATAATGGTCTCCGTTCAATTAATTAAGGCATGAGTGGGAACACATTTTGGTAACTGCTCAGCAATCAAAATAATCTTGGTGCTATTGCCTTAACATTAACAGTTTATCTTAAAAATAAAAAGAAAATATTCTTTTCCTCATGTCAAAACTTAATAATAAGCTCTTCAAAGAAAAAAAAAACCCTACAAGAATTTTTTGAAACTCTGAAACCAGATGGGTGTCAAAATGTTGTTGTAATAAATACCAATTATTGCATTCATATGTACTTAATGATTTAAAACATACAACCATGCAGTTCCAAAACGGGGCTTAGACTAGACAAAGTTGGGGTTTCTTTTTCCCAAGCATAGGTTGGGGCAGGGGGAAGGCTGAACTTTCACGGAGAAACAACGCATTCCCCCACTTTTGAACAATGCTCACGGCAGTATCTGAAAAGAAGGCGTGGATTCTCAATCACCCACCAGGAAATGCCTGATTCTATATCTTTTCATAATTCCAGTTTCTTCCTTTGCCACCTTTCATTTTAAGGGCGTGTTTATATGTTACCTGCTCCATCGTGTCAGATACGTCTACGTACTGACCTCAGACTGGTCTGTCCTTGAAAACATTACCCTGTTGGTCCAGGCCGTAGGCTCCCTCTCAGCATGCTTGGGCGTGTGCCCCCTCCCCGCCCTGCAGTAGCTGTGTATGCATTTATGCACTAGCTATATTTCTCTCTGAAGCATTAATTCAATGCAGCTGGCATCTGTCACAATAGAAACACCCACTCTCATCTGTTTCTATAGACGATGTCAGAACAAGTGGTAATGCATGGTGTGTTGGACATTTTATAAATTACTGTGTTAGCATTAGTGGTATGCGAGGAAGTGGGTGGGGGGGAGGACACCCCTCAGAGCTCCAAATGGGATTGTTACAAAAAAGACAGCCAGCCAGAAAAGGGCAGGAGGATGAGAGATGGAGCATTTTTCATACACAGGCTTTTTGTAGATGCCCCAGGTAAAAGTTTCTTAGACGTCATCGTATAGAAAGGCATCAAAACCAATTTCCCCAACTGCACACAGGACTGGGTAAGATGGTGCAATGGTAAAAGAGCTCAGGTTTTGAGCCCTAAAGCATTGACAATATCCCTTGTCCACTAACTTCCACTGTCTCGACTCACCTCATCCTGGTGAGGACCCTGCCTATGCAATGGGCTGGTCTATGAAAATTGGAACAGTAACCAAACTGAACTAGAATTTTGGAATCAAGGTATCCAGGTGTACCCCTCTTGATCTGAGTCACCCTAATTTCTTTCCAGCTCTTCAAGAGAGAAAGCAGGTCCTCGCTCACCACTTTGTTAGCACTGTCCTTTGAAAACGAAAAGTCTTGTGCAATCTCCAAGAGGTCTCCACTCTGGAGGGGAGCTGGGGAAATGCATGAAACCCTGAAGTTTAATAACTGCATGTTGCCATGTAGTTATTATCTGTTGAGACTATTTCTCCCCCTGGTTCGTGGCCTTCATCTGAATCATCACATGTGTTAATGTGGTTATTAAAAGAAGGCTGATTTTTACCATACACCATTCTCCTGGTTGTTATGGGGCAACACCTTCCCCAGACTTCTCACTGGTCTGGGGTAATTGGCTGAGCAAAGCACACTAAGTCATGTATGGTAAAACTCAAAATCTGCCGGTGGAGACTCGCCCCCGCCTCCACCGCCAACACACGTTGTTTTGTATGTTGAAGCTGCTGTTTGCCTTCTAGCCCCCAGTTGTCTCTGTGTTAGTTTTTGTAGAGCCTGAGGCCAGTGGGTGACTCTCATTTTCTAATTTTTGTCCTGCCAGTAATGGGTCAGGCACCTCAGAAGATCTGTTTTGGAAACTTGACGCCCTTCAGACCTTCATTCGGGACCTGCACTGGCCTGAAGAAGAGTTTGGAAAGCACCTGGAACAACGGCTGAAGTTGATGGCAAGTGACATGATCGAATCTTGTGTCAAAAGGTAAGTATAGGTGGCTGGACAGGTTCTGCACACCCTCCCCACCATACACAGACTCAGGGAAGGGTAGATGGCTGCTCTTTCAATTGGCTGTAGTTTGAAACTAATTGGAGAAGGGGATTGCTTGTCAAAGTCAGCTGGAGTAGTGGCTGTCAACGTCTAACTTCCATTCACCTGCCCTCCATCTGTCCCAAACCCAAAATAATCTGGCTGCCAATTTTTTCATGGTTGTTGGCTTTAAGAGGAAAAGATCCCTGTCCATTCTTTTTTGTATCCCTGATATCTAGCAGTGTCTGGCACAAAATACTTAACTAGTAAGTATTTGTTAAATGTATGAATGTGTGCCTGAGTGGACAATTAGAAGGGAAAAAAAGAAGAATATGCAATTCTGGAGCTGGCGTATCCAGTATGGCTAGCAGAAATCTAATGGTTTTCTAACAATGTGGATAGGGCCTTAGCATCATCATTCACTCCGTATATAAAAGATGAGCATATATGTGGGCCAACTTGTAGTTGTCTTGTTGAAAATCTAGCTGGATTTCAACAGCGGGGCATGAGACATGGAACATTACATTTTGCCTGCACATAGATTCCCTGTTTTGTCACTGTGGCTTTTAGGACTAGGTTAGGAATGCTGTACTTGAAGTTCCCAGGCAGACTGTTCTGAGAAGGTGAGGGAAAAAAATGAGGACAACATTCATCCATTCAGCAAACATCATTTGAGCTCCTCCCATATGCCAGGCACAGGGCTAAGTTCTTGGCATACAATGAAGAATGAGAGTAGTAGAATCCCTTTCCTCATGGAGTGTCTCCATATCAAATATAGAAATAAAATTCCACTGAGGGGACATCATCATCATCACTCTGTCTACCCCCAGATACACATCCAAGTTCCTTTTCTAGTTCATAACTGTTGCATTATTTTTCCTCATTCAAAAAAAAAAAAAAACCCAGATTGCAAGCAGCACAGGCTACTCCAAATCTCCAGATGTTGTGTAGCTTGGTTGATGGATCAATTGTGGGTGATGGGGGCCGGGTTTGTCTGGAAGTTCTTTGAATTTATTATTTCATATCTTGGAAGAGGAAAGGTGAAGTAATATCATCAGAACTGGAAAGCAAAGAAGCAAAAGAACAATGCAATCTCAGGTAGGTGAACAGCATCTCAGCAGGAATTGAGAAAGGAACTATGCACTATGGAGAATCTGGGCAGGTGTTTGAGGCCACTTCCAGAAGCTTAAAGTTGTAGTGATCCAGATTTTTTAGTATTGCTCTTTTATTCTCTCTCTTAGAACTGAAGGCAGGCCTACTTCTCAAACTCAAGATCAAAATATTTCCTTAGGGTCTTGAATTCCACGATCTCCTAGATAGTCTATATCAATTTTAGGAAAAGCAATGCTTTTCCAATGGCCAAACCATTCCATAAAAAAACTTTTTGCGTGATCTGTCCTAGGGGTGAAATGCATTACAGTAAAGGCTTACCAGTTCCTAAACTGTGCACATAATTGTACAGAAAGACATGCATGTCCTTCATGGAGAGGCCAGTCTGGGTAGGGAGCAAGAAATGGGAAGATGCTCAGAGAAAATGGACAGATATGAGGATGTCACAGGTGGATAGGGACTCTTATCCCTTACCATGCTGTAATCATGTCTTCACGGTTCAGACACCTAAAGAGGGTGAGCTGCACAGAGCCAGGGAGTGGATCTTTTTCATTTGGCGTTCCTTACCCTCCCCAGGTCTCAGCACCATGCTTGGCACACAGTAGCTGTTAAGCAACCTTTTACTGACAGAAGTTGCTCCACTGCACATGTATGGCTGGCCTGGACACTTAAATTTCCTGATGTCCCTTTTAAATCAGCCCAAAAGCAGACAAGAGCAAAAATGGGTGGAAATACCCCCGGACCTACAGATTCAGAGGACAGAGCATGGACGAGTTTTTGAATGTTTTAATACATAGAATCTACATTAGAAGAGCCTAGAACCGTTGTTCTCCTTGGTAGAACAGATTCTGTGTCCCTTGTTCTAAGCCAACATAGCAAGGACATTGTTTCATAGGTATAAATATGCCATGACAAAAAGTCAATAAGGCACTCCTCATGTTTCAGTGCTCCAGAAATTTAATTCATCAATTTGACAGACATTTACAGAGCCTCTAGTCTAGTCTATATCAGGTTACTTGTGCTGAACACAAAACAAGGCATGCTGTCTTTTGCCCTCAAGGAGTCAGTTGAGTTAAATGACCTCTCCTTTTCTGGCGTTTTGGTCCTACAGAGCCCTCTCAGTCATATTAATTTTGCATTCAGCTTCCTCTTTTCACAGCCCTGCACTCCAAGGGCTATGAACAGTTCTCCTGTGAAAACTGAAGACGATTACTTCATTGGAAGGGAGCAATTTAGCATTTCCATTTCTCAAATTGGGCCGGAACTGGCACACAAGCCTCAGAAGATCAGCACAGGGACCTGTCCAACTCAGTCCTCATCAGGCCTCCTTTTCACAAAACCGGCAAATGATGTATTTTCAGCGTAGCTTAAAATGATCATCATGATTAGAAAGCTACTTGAGTGCACTGAATCTTCAGAAGCCAAGATACATTTATCTTTAACATGATCATATAATATATAGGGGTGTTTTAAGGGTTTGGGATTTTTAGGTGTTTTTTTTTTTTTTTTTTTTTTTTTTTTCTTAAGAACTGGGCTCCCAACCTTAGAAATTATACTTGGCTTCTCTGCATGCACTCAGGGTGTGTTAGCAAGCTGGCATCCTTTCCTGAGCTAACTAGCTGTGTGGTCCTCCTATGCACTGTTAGAAAACTGCTACAAATTCCTCTTAAAGTAATGCTTTCCTGGTGGCTGTATGATCTCCAGAACTTGACAGTGAACAATGCCAAAAAGATGCATCAGGCAAATGGGGCCTTAATAAAGCCACTTACTAACCAGGTGCTTTTCTTTAAAGACATTTGATGATATCACCCACTTCCCTGAAACCTTTTAAAATATAACTAGGCCCCTTTTACAATGCTGATGTCAAGGATAAGATCTCCCACCTGTATTACCAGCTGGCCATGTCAGGCTAGGCTTTTTCTATGAGTTGTTAGCACATTGCTGAGATCCTAATTTGACCAATGTCAGAATTATGTTACTTTCAGATTCCACCATCACACAATTCTTGAATTTGTATATGTATATTAAGCGTACATATAAAATAGTTGTATATTATGACATTTTAAATCATAAAATAATGTATTTTATTGCAAAATAATACATTGACATTGAAAACAAAACATAGTGGAAGTCCCCCAATACCACACCTCCTAATTTCCCTCCCCTCCTCAAAGGTAGCCATCTTTAACAGCTTGATGTATTACCTTTTTATGTCCTTTAACAAGCAAAATAAATTTTGTAGTCTTTAAAGCAATGTAATACACTTGCTGGATTTTAAATTTTTGTCTCTTTCAAAACCAGAAAGGGGAAAATAAAAACCCACAGCAATAAACATCATTTAAGATTTTTTTCCCCACCACGAGGTTTTGAAGATTAAAAACTGCTTTGGTTTTTGTTTGTTTTGTTTTATTAATGAAGTAATTCAAGGTAGGCAGTTGCCAATGTGAGAGAACTTACATATGCTATACTGCTATAATCGAGTTTTTGTGAATTCATTCATTCTCCTGCAATTAAGGTTCTCCATAGCATGTAAACTATAGAGAGAAATACGCCAAGCTACAAGTGTTCCGGGTACTGCCGGAAAGGAAGGGTGTGCATGTCTGTCTCCGTGAATAGGCCTTCCTTAGTTGGGAAAGTCATTTAAAAGGGAACACATGTGAAGTCATTGTTGACTGAAACTGATTACAGCCTTCAATTTTCTTTTTCACTGACCTCTCAGAAAATATCTCCTCCACCTGCTGCCATCTGAACGCTGAATTGGTCTTTTCCTACTTTGTTTTAATAGAACCAGGATTGCATTTGAAGTTAAGCTGCAAAAAACCAGTCGATCAACAGATTTTCGAGTCCCACAGTCAATATGCACCATGTTTAATGTTATGGTTGATGCCAAAGCTCAATCAACAAAACTTTGCAGCATGGAAATGGGCCAAGAGGTAAAAAAAAAAAAAAAAATACAGATTTTTTTTTCCCTCTTCATTGATCATGTAGAAGAAAACTTCACAAATTCCTTCCATCTACCCTAGTCTGCTAGTTTCAGAAATACACTCTAACATTTGTGGATTAAGCCATGGATGAGTGTTCAGTATCTGTTTGTCAAGTAGATTTCTAAGGCATGTGCTGATGAGAATGTCAGTCACTTGGAAGTGATTCTTGGCTGGAGTTGGGGTGGCCATATAGTTCTCTAAGCTAAATGAAGTTTGACGACCTTATTTATTAGGCTGGTGTCTCGAACAGATCTGTGTTTGCCAGAATGAAAGTCATTTTCACATTTGAAGTGCATTTTATCACTTTGAACATCTGGACAGCAAGAGAGGCCTTTCTTGCATCAAACAACTTCCAGGATGTATAATGTTAGATCACCCTGCTACCCAATCCCCAGCCAGCAGGTTCTGAATTTCCAAAAAAAAAAAAGAAAAAAAAAATTGCAGACTTTCAATTTTCCTTAGACTGAATTGATCATGAATCTTTCCTGACCAAAAGTTTAGTCCTTTGCTAAGTTTGCAATTCCAAAGCAGTATTTAAAATGTAAAGGAGAAGGAAACAGCAACTTGGGCTTGATTAAAGACTATCATGATCATTTTTCTCTGATGGCCTTAAGCCAGCTAGATATTCATATACCAATTTAGAATTAATTCAGAAGCATTTCTGGCAACTCTATGTTGTTGCCAATTGGCATAAATTGCTCCTAAATCAGATCTTTCGATACCAGCCTTACATGTTCAGAATTTTTACTAAATTATATTTGCTCCTTATTCGTTATTTATTTTCTCTTTCAGCACCTTCCATTTTTAAATGTGGGTTGGTGGTATTCTCTTCCTGGCAAGATCATCTTCAACCTTGTTTCCCCTACAAGTCAGCTTCCTCAGCCCCCACCCCCACCCTGGTTAACTCTGTTCCTGACTAATTTTCTTGTCGAGGACCTTTTCCTGGGGATTAAGTTCTAAGCACTGGAGTCAAATTCAGGGTGCCCTTGGTTCTCTGTCCCAGCATCGTGTGCTCATATGAATGATCTGGGGCAGTGGTTCTCATGTTTCAGTGTACGTTAAACTCACCCAGAGAGCATCTGAACACCCAGATCATTGAGTCTCACCCAAGAATTTCAGATAGGTCTGCGGTGTGGTCTAAGAATTGGCATTTCTGACAAGTTCCGTGGCGATGCTAATGCTGCTGGCTGTTCCAGAGACCACACTATGAGAACCACTGATCTGGATACTCAGTATGTAAACCTGACTTCAGGGGAAGGACTCAGGTAGGAAGGATAGCCCCCCTTGGGGAAGACCTGGGTTCGGTGTTCAGAAACCTAGATTCTTCCCCTGGCTGAGCTGAAAGCTGGAGTTTGACAAATCACTCAGCTTCTTTGGGCCTCAGTTTCCTCATCTGTAAAATGGTAGCACTATTCTAGTTTTATTCAGGGTGTTTTTAGTGGCACAATCTGTTTTTCAAAGCAAATCAAGAAGGCCAGCATGTGACACAAATAAAAGTACAGCTGCTCTGGATGGAGAGGGGAGGAGGGGGCCTAGAGTCCAAGCTGCCAGGTGGCCCTCTGCTCTGCACCTCTTCACTGCCCACCACCCACCTAAGCTGCTCTGGAATATTTAAACAATCTCTTAGGCTTCATCAAGCCCACTTTAAAGGCCCTGTTTTTGGTGATCTCAAAAGTTCATTGAGATCCCTTTGAGTTCATATTTTCCAGAATCCTGTTCCTCCTTAATTTTTCTCCCCTTGGAGCTACTGTTTTTAAAATTGAGATATAATTCACATACCCATAAAATTCACCAGTTTAACATGTACAATTTTGTAGTTTTAGTGTATTCACAAAGTTATGCAGTCATCACCACGGTCAATTTTAGGACATTTTTATCACCTGAAAAACTGAGTACCCATTAATTCTCACACCCCTCCCTTCTTCACAGCCCTAGGTAATCACCAAAATACTTTCTATCTCTAAGGATTTAACTATTCTGAACATTTCATATAAACAAAATCATACAATATGTGGCCGTTTGTGTCTGGCTTCTTTCACTCAGCACAGTGTTTTCAAGATTTATCCATGCTGTAGCATGTATTGTTCGCTCCTTTTTATGTATTTATTGACCATTGTATATTTTCTTTAAAGAAATGCCTATTCAAAATCTTTTGCCCATTTAAAAAATTGGGTTATTTGTCTTTTTATTATTGAGTTGTAAGAGTTCTTTATATGTTCTGGATACTTGACCATTATCATATATACGATTTGCAACTATTTTCTCCCATTCTGTGGGTTTTCTTTTTCATCTTCTCGATGGGATCCTTTAAAACATAACAGGTTTCTTTTAAATTAAATGCAGTGCAGTTGACCTATTTCCCCTTAAATCTTCTTGAGATGTACATTTTAACTGAGTTTTCTAAGGATGGTGCTAGGCCAGGGTGCAGAAGGGTTGATACAACAGGACTGGTCTTGCCTTCTCCTCAGCAGCTTTTGCAGTCCCTCCCCAGCTTGATTCAATGACGGCCATGTTTCAAAAGCTCCCACATACCTGGTCAGATGGTTAAACAATTCTTCCAAACAAGCCAAGTCACTTTGATCTGGGCTGTTTTGCTTTTGAGCTGGGGGTTTAGGGAGAGTAGTGGGAGCGTGGGAGTTGCTGTCACAAACTTCACTGAGAATATAAAAAAAGGTATGGAGCCATTTCTCAGGGGAAAAAAATACTTTCATATATTATTACTCTACAATTTCAGACGACCTGGGGACCTTCTTGACCAAACCATAGACCCCAGTTGGAGACAGAGGATGAGAAAGACCAAGTTGACTTTTATCACAATGGCGGACCCTTCTTTTCTCTTTACCACTAATTGCTTCTGGGCCAAGGTAGAATGACCTTAGCTTGACCTGGGAGTCTGGTTTTATAGAAGAATAAGTTGCCTTTTGGTTTAATCATGACATCGTATGGACTCCATACCTTAGCTGCCAAACGATGTGTCATCATTTGCTGAATGAAGAACATAGCATGCAACACACAACCTTTGGGAAGTATGTGGTTTGTTAAAATTGGGTATTAAATAAAGTCCCCTAATTCTGGATATAAAATCAGAAAGTTGTCTTGGACTTGCAGTAACATTTTTGACATGAAACAGCAGTGTCTATTTCTTTCTAGACATTGTTCTATTTGATAAAGTAGAAAAGACTACCCATACTCTCCCCATGTGACTCAACATAATTTTTTTAATGAAAACAAATAACCGAGGCTTGTAAACATTTCTTGTTTCTCCCAAAATAGCGCGCACACACACACACACATCTAGACTGAATATCTTTATTAAGGGCCCATCCAATAATGCATCCTAGTCTATGATTCTTATTGTAAGACTGTTGGTTTTTTTCCCAAGCCATCTTAGAGAGATCTTTCGTGACATTTTTCCTTAGTATAATTGAATCTGAGACACTTAAATGACCAGCTGTGGGAAATGAGGCTTCTTTGAATGCCAAGTGGCTGAGAACAGGTGAGAATAAAGCTAGCTTGACTTAATTGTCTGTAAATATGTACTTCTTCTAAGTGGTCTAGCACAGTGGCTGTAACCTTAATCAGAACTTCAATGGAAAGTCATATGGAAATGTTTCCTCCTTGATTTTTCTCACTTTGTAGAATGGGAATATTCATCTCCAAAGTAAAGCTGAGTTGCTAAAATGAGATTTAACAAGAATATCTGGAAACATCCTGGAACTGGGATAAGAATAGATGAAAGTCCAATGTTTTTATGTAGTTTGTATTTCTGAGTATGGGATATGAAGCCCATATTATAGACCTAGCTACTAATACCAGCCTCCACCTGGGTCCCAACTCCCTCAACCTGCTTTAGATTAGATACTGGCCAGGTGATGAAATCTCCATTTTTAAGATCGCATCCTGGATTTCATCATTGGGTAATATCACATGTAAAGGCAGCTGCTGAAACATTTGTTAAGCATAGTTTTCCATCTTAAGTATTTATTTTTTTCATTAAAATTTGTGAAGTACCAATAGAAGGGAAATTGCGTATTAAATAGTTTCTCACTTGGTCTAGTGTGTTTTCATCTCATTTCCAAGGTCAGATGGTCTTAACAGAAAGACAACATACACACAATCTGTTCTATGACAAGGCAAAACGTGTAGCACAGGAAGTCAAGTGGAATGATTTTCACACAGTAATTGTGAATTTGCACCTCAGCCCATCAGAAGCAAAAGTGAACTGACCAAACTTTCCAGGCCATTGAATATTAGTAGTTCCCTCAGGATATAATTTTGGAGTATAGGGCAAGTTAATCCAAGAAGGCCAGTAGAGGCCGGACGTGGTGGCTCACACCTGTAATCCCAGCACTTTGGGAGGCCAAGGTGGGCGGATCACGAGGTCAAGAGATCGGGACCACCTTGGCCAACGTGGTGAAACCCTGTTTCTACTAAAAATACAAAAAAATGAGCTGGGCGTGGTGGCGCACACCTGTAGTCCTAGCTACTCGGGAGGCTGAGGCAGGAGAATCACTTGAACCCGGCAGGTGGACGTTGCAGTGAGCCGAGTGCTGCTGCACTCCAGCCTGGCGACAGAGCAAGACTCCATCTCAAAAAAAAAAGGCCAGCAGAGAGGACTGGAAAATGGGAAAATGGTAAAGCTCCCTCTTTGTACCGTATCTGGATAGTCGATCAGACTGCAAGGCATTTTATAACAAAATTGTCTAGTAGGAATGTTTGTTAATTAAAAGTTGCCCCACTGATATATATATACCCCTTCATGGAGCTTCACATCTGCACAGAACAATATATCTCCCAAGAAAGATCAAGGAGTGAAAGCAGAGTACTCACTATTACTCCAGAAAGCAAGTTAATCCAATAAGTCTCATATATCAGGGAAAACTAGCAAAAGGGATTCACGTATTCTGTAATTACTTGAATAGGAATAGGGGCTGCTTTGATATTTACCTCTTTGCTACATGATAAACAGAGTAATTATTACCCTGCTCTGCTATCTTCCACAAAGAAGCTTATATTTAAATTGAGGCATAATTTACATACAACAAAATATAGAGATTTTAGGTGAGTTTAGAGAAATGTATATACACATGCAACCACTATGTTAATCTATTAATCATAGTAGTAGTAGTAATACTGCCACATAGCACCTCTCAGTTTCTAAACCACGTTTCCATGCATTGTTTCATTATTTGGTTAAGTGAATATGATGTCTATATTCACAAGTTATAATTCTAGCCCCACTGCAAAAATGAGGAAATAGACCAACAGAGATTGACATGATAAAGTTTCCCCTGGATGGGAGAGACAGAATAATCATATCAAAATACTTTGTTTTATAAGCAGAAAAAAAGCAACGTTCATTATAACAGAAGAGGAATGGAGATGATCATATTTGTATGGAGTGAAAGGGAGAGATAGTGGGACTGCCTGGAGAAAAATTAAGGCGAAGTTTGGCATGGAAAAATTGAAATGGGAAGAGGTTCCCATAAATCATCATATTTCCATAAGCCACGATGTCTCAACCATGTCTCCTTATGAAAGGGTTTGAAGTTTCTAGCTCCTGAAGAGAAAGCTTGTTTCTCTTGGGAGAAAGAATGACATCATTAACTCCTCAGAGTAAGACCCTAAATCTTTGTTGGTGTGTGGAGAACAATTACTCTAGTCTCTATTTGCCACTTCAGCCCAGTTTTTCAAGAGAGTGTTTTGTTTCTCAATGATGTTCTTCTTTGCTTGGTATATTTCATATTATTTTGCACACAGCTAGCTTTTCTGATTTAGTTTACTCCCATAATTAATAAATGTGAATCATTTATAGCAATGCAAAGAAAACCTAGACGAGTGAGGCAGTCATATGAGGAGGAAAAGTAAGCATGTGATTCTGGATCTTATCTCAAGACCTAAAAATGAATTTGGAGCCCTGTCAATTTTCCTGAATTCTTTTGCTCTGACATCTTTCTTTGTGTTTCTAGCAAAGAATTCTGCAGATAAATTTTTTGCATTTAGCTTCAGGTTTATGCCACTTAGGAGTAAATTCCTTTTTGAATCTAGCAGTATAGCCAACATGGGTTCTGATTCAACGGGACTACAACATACAAGCCATTAGCTGTATTATTTTTCCTCTAATCAATTAAAATGAAACTGGAGGAGATGACTAAGTGATAAGACTGTCTCTCTCTACCCTTATCTAATACTTGATGAACTTGAACAACTAACAATATTTGAGTCACGATGACAGTTGACAAAATATTTTCACATCTAGACTCTCACTTGATCTCCCAAACAGAGACTTATGAGTCTGAAGGCATGACTACAGGAAAGGACTCGGGCACTGGTTTTTAAAATAATAATACTAGCATAGACCCGCTAAAAATCTTTATACAGGGTTGGCTTTGTTCCCGTTCCAAAATCAGAGTTTCATACTGGTTTCTCCCTTCTCATTGGTCCAGGATGATAGTATTATTATCTCTTTTGTTTGTTTTTTACAGATAAGGAAACTGAGTTAAATTTTCATAGGTAACATGACTTCCCAACTTTGCACTGGGACTTTATCCAGGTCTTCCAATTACAAACAAACCTCGCCTATGATTCTAAATGGATTTACCTAATTCACATCCCTTTCCTCACTCTCAATAATTCTGATTGCCAGTTATCAGAATATTAAACCACATTACTATGGCTTATTTCCATATGTTTACATAGACTTTTGAATATTTTATTTAATTTTTATTTTCTCATGTGTCCTTTTGTCCTAATTTGTATTTGCACTGTTCCTTTTTTTTTCTGTTCCTAATTAATCATCCTTCTGAAAGTTTGCTAAAATGTGGGTAAGTGCATTTTCCTTTTCAAATAACAATGTCTTGCATTGTTATTTTTTGTTAGGGAAATATGGGATAATTCAAATGGATACTAAAATGATCTAATAAATGTCAAGGAGCTGGCATATAATATTTTGTGTTAAAATCACTTTTCCTTTTTCCCTGGCATTTACAGCAGATTTTTATTTGTGTGGGGGTTTGTCTTCACATTACTATTTAAATGTAATTGACAGGCACAGTTAGAGAAATTTAAAAACTTAGCAGTGGTCTCAGTGTAGGCTCTCATACTGGGTCTGTTTATCCATGTATGGAGGAAATGAGTGGCTTGCCACAAGAGTTCAGAAAGAGACACTTTGCCTTTATACTGAGTCAAGACTTGGAGACAAAATGAGGAGTTCTGAGGTATTAACCCAAAGAACCTGAGGGTTTCAGAACAGTTTTTGCAAAATTAGTCACAGTGTCTTCATCAAATTCCCTTTGGAAAGGGAATCTACTACCTAAGCCACAACCCCCAGCAGTTTTCCAAAGATAATTTTTAATCTCCTGTGTTAAATTATTACAGTATCCTGCTTTGTAAGATCCAAATCAACACACTGCTGGGTCATTAAGTCATTCATGTGTGCTATTTGTAAAAGTGTTTAAGTGTCTACACACATTAGAAGCATCGAAAGCCTTGAGTAAGGAACAATGAACTTGGTAATATTTTTAAGAGCTTCAGATCTCTCTCTATCAAAGAACTGGAGTCAGGATCTTATAAATATTTCTGGGACTAAGGAAATAAACGGGGTCCGCAGGCCAGGCTTTATTTATAAATTAAGTTGTCTAAAAATTACTGACGGATGCAGTGCCATCACCTCCCAAACATGCTAATATTTGTCTTTCTGTGTTCTTAGCATCAATACCATTCAAAAATAGACGAACTAATTGAAGAAACTGTTAAAGAAATGATAACACTCTTGGTTGCAAAGGTAACCTCCAGCTTCAGGTGAAATGTTTCATTGTGAACACTGCTTTGTTATGTCTCCATTTCCATTAAAATGTAACACATTAAAAAGTTGAGCTGGATACTTGTGTCTCTCAGGAAACAAGATTGTACATCACCCAGCCTCAGCTCTAAATGATTTTCCGATGATCTCGAGCCGTGTGAAGATAAATTGATGAAGTGGCATATGTTAACTTAATAAGAATTTGTCCCCAAACGTTGCGCTAGGTTATATGAGAAATGTTTGTTTTGTTTTTCAGCTCTGACAAAGTTAGATTTTTAAATACAGAAAGTTAAACGGTAATAAGGAATTCTGCCATCATGAAAACCCCTTTTCCTCTAGTTTCACATGCAGTGAGAGTCATAATAAAACATAAAAGTCAGATAAAGCTATTTCAGTCACCCTCATGAATTATAGAATTTTAACTAAGTAATGCTGAATGGGAAGACATTTATATTTGCCAGTGCTAAACTTCTGTTTCCCCCAAATTACTGATAAAATACAAATAAAAATAGATTGGATTAAATGTAGTGCTAATATGTAACGTAGAAACTGCTTTGCGCAGTTTTGGATTTTAAAAAGTGCATTTAATATTATCGCATGCTATATGCAACTCAATAATATTTTGTCACTTTGCACTTCTGTAACACTCTATATTTGCAATCACATAATAATGAAGAGAAAGCCGGATAAGTCAAATATTTCTATGTAAAGGCAGTCTATTCCTTTCTCCGAAGGCGGGAATCAAATAATAGACTGCAGAAATGAACGGAGGGCTCGATCCCAGCCTTTATGTGGTGGGGAAATGATGTGCTTTATGGTGAACAATTATAGTTTGAAATAACATTTTTTTCTTTTTTGCTGTTTTTCTAGTTCGTTACTATCTTGGAAGGAGTGCTGGCAAAATTATCCAGATATGACGAAGGGACTTTGTTTTCTTCTTTTCTGTCATTTACCGTAAGTAAAGAGCTTCTTTATTTCCTGGCTTTTGTTTTAATTTTTGGTTTCGGCTTGGGAGAGGAGTTATGTTGTGTCATTTTGTTTTGGGATGGGTGTGTGTGTTAATTATAGTCAACTATTGTATAATATTAACACTATGTGAAAAGCCAAACATTTAATAACAGCAGGTAATCCAACATCATTTCTATTTCATTTGTAAAGGTACAATATGTGTGTATTTTTTATGAACACACACACACATTGCTATTTGTATGCATCCAGAGATTTGCCTACCTAAGCCCACCTTAGCTAGCTCTGGCAAATGACTTAATGTGGGCCACCATTTCCTCATCTGTAAATAAGAAAAATTAATTTTAGAGTTTTAAATGAAGACCTGCACTCAGTCCTGGAAATATGTTTTATATGGTCCTCACTGTGTCAAGTATGTTCTTCTTAACTGAATTGCCTACATTTAAAAATCAGGAGAATTCACAGAAAATTCTGTATTTCTGGGGGTGCCTGCATAGCATTCTAGGTGCACAGCAACTCTGCTGGAGCTGTGTCTTGGGGGTCTTAGACTGGACATGTGTTTGCAGTTTGCTGTAACCCCCTCCTGGCTGTTTCACTCATTCACATACCTACCTGGGCTTAGGAGCCATTTAAGTTTACAACTTCTGGGACATATGATCTAATTATTTGCAAATTCCAAGAGGCCCTGATTCTGTGCCAGAATTAGGCAAGGCCATAGAAATGAGGTAGCTAAGTCTGGGCAGAAACCAGCCTTATTTTCTATGGATAAATGATCAATGAAGATGGTTGCTATAAATGGACTGCTTCGGGGGCCCAGTTCTCCCACTCTTCCTGATGCTAGGCAGACACCACAGCTGCATGCTTCCCTGCCATTTCTGACAGCAGGTTCCTGCTGGCTCTGAGACTAGCTGTTTTCCTCTGACAACACCATAGGAAAGGGAATCAATTTAGGACCCACTGCCTGTGGGTCTTTAAAACAGCCTCACTGTATGAAGAATCTCCCAGATAGTGACTGAATGCCAAGACAAGGCCCAGCACAGGGTAGTGGATGGCACATTATTGTCCTTGGAATCCAACAGATCCAGGCTCAAATCCCATTGCCAATGTTAACAGCTGTCTGATCTTAAGCAAATGTCCCATCCCCTCAGAACCTCAGTTTTCTCATTTGTAAGGGAGTGCAGGGCAGATAATATGTTCCCTAATGAGCTATCATGAAGATAATAACGTAGGCAAAAGAGCTTAGCATAGGCCTAGCTCATAATAGAGTTCAATAAATGGCAACTATTATTTTTAAAAAGTAACTAATATGATTATTGTAAAATGCAGACATACATGCACACAACTTCTTTCCAAATATGCCCTACTTTGATCTTTCCCCAACCCATACATTAATCTTCCTGGGAACTAAGGGAAATATAAACAGAACATTTAAAACAGTTTCTTCTGATATGCAGTTCTGACCTTCCCAGGTACGAGGATTGAATTCAATCCCAGAGGTGCGATGGCCCCTATCCCTGGAGCTTATTGGCAAAGGTGAGGTGGGAAGGGGATAATGACAGTAGGAATTCCATCCAATTTCACTTATGGAACATTCCTATAATGTGTCACAGCTGAAAGGAAACCTATCCAACCCACTCCTTTGACAAAGCAATGAAGGCCCAGAGAGGGGAGTGATTTGTCTGAGGTCACACAGCAATGGGCAGAGTGGGGACAGGAACCAGTGTGTCCTGCCAGCTTTCCCCCACCACTGAATGGCTTCCTGGAGAGAGTGGGATTCAGCTGGCAATTGCCTGGCACTGGAAGGCAGATGGGCAAATGAGTGGGGAAGATTCATAAAGAAGGATTCAGGGCACATGAGTGGGAAATATTAGACAATGTTTCATTCCTCAGTGAAGTCCTGGAAATGGTGAAAAGAAACAGAATTCAGTGCAACATTTCTGGAAAATGTTTCCCTGACACCCGTAGAAGACATTGCTTTCTTTGTGTCTTCACTTTGAGCAACTGTTTTTGTTGCATTGGACTTGAACCTGTGAAACTCAGGAAAGCTCCTCTACTCTTTACTGAGCAGAATTCAATCCACCAAGGGCCCCACCCTAATTACTGGCCTACCAAGAGGACTATGGGAAGGTGGTCCAGGGGCAGCGATATCAAGAACAGGGCACCAGAGAGTCTCACAGGAAGATTAGAAACAGGACACCCAGAGCATCCTATGCAGAAGTGTTCAAACTGAAATTCCCATCCTCTCATCTCCCTTTTCAGAGACATTTTGCAGCCTCACAGCATGCCTAGCAAAGGCAGTGTAATGCAGAACACTTCGGTGCCTGTTGCTGGGCCCGTAACTTCCCTCCTTAGTGACACTTCTCCCACACACTTGGCCACCCCAGGCCAAAAGCACCCACTTATCATTTGCAGCCCGTGTTCTCATCTCCTGCCAGTATTCCAGTATTAGAGAAAGTGAACTGTGTTTAGAGGTGGCAGGAATATCTCCACACATGGATTCTGAGTTCCTGCCCAAATTCCAAATGGCCTTTGATGGCTTCCTTCGGCCCAATTGTGTTAATTCCCCAGGAGTGGAGTGGAAGTAAAAAGGATGAGCAGAGGCAGCAGGTATTGTGCAAAGAGCTTGAAACCTGTGAAAGAACCAGCTGTGCGTCCTAGGACCCTGTGCAGAGGCATAGAGATAGTGCCGACGCTCTGGCATGAGTTTCTTAACTCCACTCCCATTTCTGATTCAATTCCTTAAGTATTACTGTGCACTTACCACGTCCCCACCTCAGCAGAGCTGCCAAGGATGAGCCATGTGCTCTGCCCCCCAGAAAGCTGACGAGTATCGACAAATATGCCACCCTTTCCCCCTCTTTCTCCCGCTGAGCGCCTCCTTTCCTGGGTGGGCTTGTTTCATGGTCCAAGCCAGACATTTTGGAAAACGTCTGCAGTGGCACGGAGCAGGCAGGAATATTTATTTCTCGTCTCCATCTGCATTGCTTCCTCTCTTGGAGAGGAGCTGGAGGGAGGAGGGAGGATGAGATGTGGCTTCTTCGTGCCAGCCCGAGAGGCGCCCAAGCGCACCCTCCTCTCCTCCCTCACCAGCTTCAGCAGCAGTAGCAGCCTGGGATTTATGGAGGCAGGCGCCTTTCGAACTTTTGAAAGATCAGCCCAGTTGGAAGACGCAATTAGCAACTATCTGCCCATTTCCCTTGACTACAAGATGTGCTTTTGCGTGGGATGCCTGTTTGGAAGGGTCCCTGTCTTGTGGGTAGCCACTCGCTGTTCTTTTAGGAGGCCAAGAAGAGGGCAAGCAGGTACCCAGGTTCCTCCCACAGAAAGTGACAATGCTTTCCTCTGTCCTCTGCAAGTGTTAACAAATATGCTGGTTCTGGAATTCATTCATTCATTTACTCAACTTCTATTTACTGAGCACCTATGTGTCATGTTCTGTGCTAGGTGCTAGGGACACAGCAACGAGCTAGAAAGGTGTGTTCTCGGCCCTTTTGGGAGCTTACATTTAGTAAAGGAGACAGGCAATTAAAAATGAAAGAAAATTATCCGGTGGGAGAAGCATTTCCACAGGACATAAACTGGAGAGCAAGAGAAAGCGGGGAGGTGATATTACTTTAGTCAGGATGCTCAGGCAAGGTCTCTCTGCAGAGGACATGAGCGACTTAAGCTCTCAAGCTTGAAGGAGTCAGCGATGGATACAGAAGAGGGGAGAATCTTCTGGACAAAATAGCAGCTGCATTAGCCAGGAGGCAGGAAAGCAGGAGGCACTTCTGTGGATATTTTGGAGGCCACATAAACACGGTTTAGGGATTAAGTGAATGTTGGGGGTGGAGACTTGACTGGAGAGGGCAAAGGTGGAAAGCCCGAGAACTATGATATACCGGAGAGCTCAGCTGAGCTAGGAGTCCTGAGAGTCCATGGAGTACAGTAAAAAAGACAGCACAGGGTAGGGAGACTGGGATGGTAACCCAGCTCTGCCCCTTACCAAGGAGCTGTGTGACCTGGAACAAGGTACCACATCTTGGCTTTTAATCTCCTTCAGTGTAATATGATGATGGTTATATTAGATGAATTCAGAAGTCTAAAATAACTATAAGAGCTACAGCTCCTATTCCTTAAACACTTGCTAAGTGCCTGGCACAAAGCTATGTGCTTTAAATGTATTTTTCCTGCTGAATCCTCAGAACAATCCCATTCCAACAACACTCTTCTGCAGATGTTGAAACTAAGGCTTGGAAAGGTTAAGCTCCCCCCAGCTCACGTGAATTCTTCCTTCACTAAACCCTGGGGCCCCTGCAGAGGAATAAAGATGTAGGAGTAGCCCAGGCCCCATCTCAAAGCAGACAGAACCTTATCAAGTTCTGTCTGAACTTTATATCAAGTCTTCTCAAGTCCCCTAGAATTCAGACATCCTCCTCCGATCAAATAAATCCATTTGAGGTGGTCACAACACAACATGGAAGCCACTCACAACAGGAAGAATAAAGCCTATCTTAGGGCTGTCAAGGGCCTGAAACCTACCGTATGTCCAGTCTTCTTTGTCTTAAGTTACTCTCATTCACCCTGTTTTCCTTTTGCCAGCATTTTGATTGTCTTGCCACCTGGAAATGAAACAAAACAGATATGTTTCTCCCCACTAGAATTTGCGAGACGTTTGTGTAAATCAGTAGCATTGACTGCTTTTGTGCAGAGCTCTTGATGCCATGCCTTAGAACGAGAATGCCACCTGGGTCTAAAGCCCAAACTGAATCAATGACATTCACTTCTGTTCACAGAACATTTTTGTTAAGAGGCAGTCTGAATTCTAGAGTGGGGTGAATATTCCTCAGAGTTTGTTAGTATTTTCTCTGATGGCATTTCACTTATGCTTTGGCTTCAGGGAATGTCCAGGGTAGGAGAGACGGCTTTTTACAGTGTGGGTTGATGATGAGTGATGCAGACAGAGGTTTTGGTTCACCCTCCAGAGGGTAACATCACCAGATTATTCACTGCCAAATACATGTAATTTTTAAGTCAATTGGCTTCTATATTTCAGAGTGGAGGTGTCTGCCTTGGACAGAAGCACCAACTGTGGTAGTAGTAGCTGGCGTTTATTGAACACATACTATGTGCCGGACACTGTGCTAAGTGTATGCATGCATTTTCTCATTTGATCCTCACAATCAGTCTATGCAACTGATTTAATTAGCATCCCCATTTTATAGATAAGTGATGGTGAGTGATTTGTCAAAGTCGCATAGTTATTAAGACTCTACCCTAAATTGCTCCTTTATTATTACAAAAATGTTATTCCCCATATATACACAGAAATCTGTAGGTGAAGTCAATTAGTGACTTTTCCAGAAACTATCCACTAGCTGATACTACTTCTAAGGGAAAGAGTCATCTATTTTTCATATATTACCAGCAAAAATAATTTATAAAGATTTTACTCACCAGCCAGCTATTTTACCGTAGTACTGAAGTAATAGACATTCAAAATTCTCCACTTCCTTTGTGCTGTCCAGATAATCATTCATTTTACATTAGTCCTTCATTCTATACCTGTTTATGGAGTGCCTACTATGTGCTAGACACTGGGGGGGTTAGCAATGGATAAGATGGACAATGCTGTTTATTGGACATTTGCATGAGGGAGATACATATTCTCAACGGGTAGTTTACAAGCATGGTGATTACTCAGAAAGAGAGAGTAGCCAGTGCAGTGTAACTATGGACCAAAGGGACCCAACCTCATCTGGGAGACCATTGAAGGAAATGACATTTGGGCTGAGACCTAAAAAATAAGTAGAGTTTTGCTTGGCAAAGGAGAGAACAAAGAGTATTCCAAGATAGAAAGACCTGGAGGTGAAAGGGAAGATCTAGTAAATTTTAGGAACTAGACGTTCCTTGTGAAAGGCCAGGCCAGAAGGAGAAAAATGACAGGCATGGAGTTAAAGAGCAATCAGTGCAGGAGCCTGATCATGAAGGAGCTTGCCTATGGTACAGACTTCCAGCGTTTTCAGCAGGGAATTTAGCAAAATCAATTCAGCTGGAGAAGTTAAGCGAGGTCACAGAGAGACCAGCTCCCTGTTATAAGCCAGCTGGGTTTGTGGTCTTCTGATGCTGGAGCTGAGGGCCACCTTCCAATGGAAGCCACCATTTATTTTTTCTAATGTATTTTGTTCATATGGGCCAACCAAAAAACACCGCGCTTTAAAAAGTTAGAGAAGTCTTAAACACTGATCTGCTATATCTTCTATCAGTTTCTTTCATCAGCCACTCCCTAGTGTTTCAGAATTTGACATCCCCTTTGGGGTCTGTGACAGATCATTTTATTGCCTACTAGGACATCCTTATTTCCAGTTGATGCCATGAAAATGGAGTTAACAATTAACACACTTGCTGTCTGAAGCAACCCTTCAGAAGCTTTACAGAAGAGAAAAGATAAGTATCCAAAGTTAACTATTTCACTTAATATTGTGTAGTGAACAGCTGAATATCATTCAAAGCAAACATAAGACACACACAGTATTTTCTCCAGACTGTGTGGTCTAAGTGACCAGGTCACAGAAATGCTAGCTACAAAAGAAATACCTAAAGAATATGGGTATTTCCCAGCACTTTGGGAGGCAGAGATGAGTGGATCACCTGAGGTCAGGAATTTGAGACCAGCCTGGCCAACATGGTGAAACTCCATCTCTACTAAAAATACAAAAATTAGCCAGGCATGGTGGCAGGTGCCTGTAATCCCAACTGCTTGAGAGGCTGAGCCAGGAGAATTGCTTGAACTCGGGAGGCGGAGGTTGTAGTGAGCTGAAATCGTGCCACTTCACTCCAGCCTGGGTGATAGAGCCAGACTCCGTCTCAAAAAAGAAAAAGAAAAAAGAAATACCTAATGAATAGGTACATGGCTTCAAACAGGAAATAGTTGTCATGAAATTAATTATAGATTCTATCCTGACCTCCAAATCACATGCAGTGGGAAGTTTATCGCCAGAAAGTTAGAGAGTGATTAAGATAAAGGTGTGACTGTGAAGCCCAGACTAACAGAAACGTAGGCAGGCTATTGACCGTTTCTGAGCCTTGGTTTCTTCATCTATACAGTGGGAATGCTGATAGCTGCCTCAGAGAGCCACTGGGCTAATAAGAGATAAACAGTAGCCCTTTCATAACACCTGGTATATAGTTAGTAGGTGCTCCATAAATAGCCATTCTTAGCCTTACTGTCAAATTATTCAAAACTGTAAGAAAGTTTACATGACCCTGGTGCTTTTTTAAAAATTTTTTTTTAAATTATACTTCAAGTTCTGGGATACATGTGCAGAATGTGCGGGTTTGTTACATAGGTATACATGTGCCATGGTGGTTTGCTGCACCCATCAACCCGTCATCTACATTAGGTATTTCTTCTAATGCTATCCCTCCCCTAGTCCCCCACCCTTCAACAGGCCCCAGTGTGTGATGTTTCCCTCCCTGTGTCCATGTGTTCTCATTGTTCAACTCCCACTTATGAGAAAACGCGGTGTTTGGTTTTCTGTTCTTGTGTTAGTTTGCTGAGAATTATGGATTCCAGCTTCATCCATGTCCCTGCAAAGGACATGAACTCATCCTTTTTTATGGCTGTGTAGTATTCTATAGTGTATATGTGCCACATTTTCTTTATCCACTCTATCATTGATGGACATTTGGGTTGGTTCCATTTTCTCACCAGTTCAGTCTTAGCATACCAATCATTTCTCCTGTAAGCAATCCAAACTATTACCCATGACAAGGTCAATCAAAACTCTTGTGACTTATATTTTAGCATATTCTTTCATGCAAAAATTTGATTCATCAAAGTCATATTCCATTATGTTTAGTGTATTTTAGCATTTTGTGTTTTATTTTAATGCCAAAAGAATTTTTCGTTTTTACATAGTCTCTAAAACACCTCTTTATTAATCAAAATGTTTGCTTAACTAGAATTGAATATCTCATTCTCCAAGCATATTTTGGTTTGAATCAGGTTTATTTCAGTGTGCACTGGGGTTTCTTATTTTTCCAGTTCTGCCACTTCCTAAAGTATAATCTTAGACAGATTGATTAATCTCTGACCTTAGTTGCCTAATCTGTAAAATGGGAACAATAAGACCTACATTATGTGGTGTGGGTAGAATTAAATGAGAAAATGGTGGATTGGAGTAAGTATTTGACACTTGTTAGACATTGTTATTATTGTAATTATTAGTGTAGTTCTATCACTGAGCACAAATGTTAGCATCAGCTACTCAATCAGCCACTGCTGTATGTAAATTGCTGAACTAAGAGTGGTAGAGATAGGTTTAAAAAAAAAATCTTACTCTACTGTCTGGAAGTTAGTGTCTAGAGTGCATTCAATCGAAGGAACTTTCTAGACTTTCTGGTTCAATGTTTCCACTGATATGCTAGAGTCTGCTTGGCTCCTACCTGCTGGTGAGAGCCGATCTCCATTTCTCTTCCTATGTTCGAAGTTAGGGATGTCACATTGGTAGCCTAAAACTGACCACAGCAGGAGCATTTTACTGAAATTGGCAAACACTATCTTACTTATATTTCAGTATATTATTATATTGGGTTTTTTTTTTTTTTTTAGACAGTGATAGATAAAGAGAAAGGGAAGAGAGAGAGTGTGAGCTTTTCAGAAACCAGCATACCACTGAGTATATCCCAAGTGCAGGATATGTACCACATGGGACCTCAGATGCTACTGGTGTTAGATGCTCCAAAAACTCATCATTAAACAAGACCAATCACATTGTGAGAGGGTTATTATTTTTCTAATTCTCTTTTCATCTTTATCCTTATGTCAAGAAGAAAGTTTCCATTTGGTGCTTGTTTGTCTTTCACACTTTTCTAAAAATCTCAAATTTTCATTTGTAACAGAGGACGGGGAGGCTTCAGGCTCAGGACCCTTAGCAGGCAACCATGTCTACCCAGAATTTACTACCATTATTTTAGTTATATTGTATTTATTTTCACCCTGGCTTTTTTCTTATTGAGAGTGATATTGCTTTTTCATTTATAGTAGAAACATGTTTCCCTTTATAATTAAGTATTTTTAAAGTGAGCTAGTTTAAGGAGGAATAATAAGTAACTATAATACAGATGGTTCATGGGTTGCAGCCAAAATCAGGAAGGTGTATTGATGCTGGAAGTCTGGGAAGTACTGATACTTTCTAGCCACTCCATTTTGCAGTTGCGGAAACTGAAACCAGAGAAGGAAAATGACTTGCACAGCTAGTTTAATAGAACTCAGACCTCTTAACTCATCCCTTGAGCCTTGCAAAAATCCTCCCTGGGATTGCTTGTTTTCTTCACTCTTTACCTGAGAAAATGAAAACAAAAAAGAGAGAGAGAGAGAAACCAAACCACTGTGTTACAAACCCAGGCTATGATAGATAAGTTGTCACTGGCAGCAGTGACATAAATTATACCTTCAAATTCAGGCTAAAGCAGCCTGCAGGAAAAGTCAAGGACACCAGAGGTCACAAGTGACCCCTTCGTGCAGAAGCATTACTATTCAGTAACAACAATATAGCCCTCACTTGCTCAGCACCAAAGCCATGTGGAAGCCAGGGACACAAGTAAGACATGGCCCTTGTCCTCTTCAAGCTTGCATTCTGTCACCCTTCTTAGTGTTGAGAGATGTTCAAAAGGCAAACAAAACACAAAAATGCCAGAAGGGGGCAGGGGCCCCCACTTAAAATCCGCAAAAATAAGCTTACATGTCTGCTTGGAGATTTTACAAAATTAAAACTTTCCAATTTGCACTTCCAAGTTTCTCTTAAAATAAGATCATGTCACAAAAATCAACAAAATGGAAAAGCATACAATGTGGCCATTAGGAGGGCAAACCCTGGAGTCCAAGGAAACCATGCTTCAAATACCAGCTCCATAATGTCACTAGTTGTGGATCTTTTCAAAAGTCGATTAACCTCTCTGAGCCTCAGTTTCCTCATCTGTAAGCAATGAGAATTTCACGCCCACCATTGTGAGGGTGAATTCCTTATAAATTGCTTAACCTTGTGCTAGGCAAAGAGTAAGCATGCAACCATTGTTAAGTATCAGCAGTGTTAAGAGGCTGGGTCTGAGGGAGCCCTTGAGCCTTGGAAAAATCCTCTCTGGGAATGAGGGATTGGGACAGAAATGAGGAAAAGGAAAACTGGAAGGAAAAACAGGTCTACTTCAATCAGGCATCTGTTCAGAAGCCCCAGGGGGTGGGGGGTGGGGGGAGATGAGAACATACACTTCCTGGATCTAGTCTCGGAGCACAGTACCCTGAACAACAGGAGATGAGAACAATTCTCATCGTTAATGAGGCTGCGGCTCCTAATCAGAGCATGGAATAGAATGCGTTTGCTTAATAGAGATCATTTCCTTGCCTCTTGCCCAACTCCCCAGCAGTGCCAGCAGCCCTTTGTTTAATAAAAGGTAGGGACTTTGAGGAGTATGGTGGGATGGGCTGTAGGAGGCATTACTACCCTCATTACTATGATAATAGTTTAATCACAATCAATATTTATGAACATGCACAGAAGCCGTACAATCAACCAGTAGCCCTGCAACTCAGTTTTCATGTTCTTGCCTAAGGATGCTTTGCAGGAAAACCTCGGCTCTCTCCCACTTTCCCATGGCCCTCTGTGAAGCTCTGCAGTGGTTCACAGAGGTCATTTCAGAATATTATCCTTGATGGTTACAGTTTTATATATGAGGTCTTATTTGCGGTCAGTTAATATTATAATACATTTTGTTGTTCAAAATACTTCCACAGTCATGGTAGGACTTTTCCCTTCAAACTTTGTTAAATTGTCTTGTGAAAAGGCAGTGTAGGGACAACCTGATACAGTACAGAATCCTTTGAAGTCAGGCCCACCCATTAGGGTTCAAATCCTAGCTCTGCTACTTCTTGACTGTGTGCCCTGAGGACAGCAACTTAACCTCTCTGAGCCCAGTTTCCTCATTCATAAAGGAAGAAGACAAGTCCTTAGAAGACGTGAATAAGATACTGTAAATTAGGTGTTCAATCATTGGTAAATGCATCCTGATTTTATATATGACTATCAGTTATTAAATATTTCTGTATTGTTCATGAGAAATCTGAGTAGTTCATTGCTTTTCCCAAGGTCACATAGACACTAATTGAGAAAGTAGGAGTAAGAGTCAAGACTTGGTCAGTATTCTCTTTTCCATTATCTGAAATGGTTCCATTTATAGGCAACTTAGAGAAACCTTATTTTTTAAACATCTCAAACTTTAACTCTTTTCTTTCAAATGGGAATCAAATTTTGAAAGCCAGTGATCATTTTTCAAGCAATGGACATCTGGTGAGCTACTTATGAGAAATTTTTGGTGTCACAGTTCCCACCTCTGTAAAAATGGCATTTACAAACTCTGGCCCTCTTATAAAAGGAAGCAACGGACAATGGCCTCATGATGTATATGCATCCATGTAGCATTTGACCCAGTGCTCACATGGAAATAGTGCCTCCCAACTGGCCCAGCACAGTACTGACGTTCGGTAAGCAAAGAAGACATTTCAGGCCCTCTGGTGACAGAGCCCTGGGAATCCATCATGCTGTCTATGATTCCAGATATACTTTAAGGGTTGTGTTTTTCTCCAGTCCTCAGAAAGTATTGGAAGGGGCTTTCACCGTAATTGTCACTTGGCCCCAGGCAGAAGCCACTGAGGTTTGCTCAACTGCTCACCCGCACACGCAGTCCCAGTACATCCGCCCACTCACACATTCTGTCTCACCCAAGCAGTCAGTCCCTCAGTTGGCACTTAAAATTTATTCATCTTCCCAAGATGCACTTAGAGCATCCAGATTATGTATTGAGTGTTGGTTCTGTTAGGTTTTGGTTTTGCCTTTATAGAGGACATACCTCTAAACCATGACTTCATCAACCAAACACCTTGAGAAGGTCACCCTGAGAAAGATATATTCTTCCTGCAAAATCCCTTTCTCCACTAGAATTGAAAATTGAAAATTCTATCACTTTTGTTCCTTTTTTCAATAATTTTTAATGAAAGTCATATCGGCACATGGCTAAAAAAAATGAAACAGTACAGAAACATTCATAATTTTTTTTAAAAAAACACAGCTCTCTGTCCTAGTCCTTTCTGCTCTCAATCCCTTCCTTCAAAATGAAACTTTTTAACAATTTTTTAACCCCTGGAGTGCTAAGTACTATTATTATATTGTTTATTATTCTTATTATTTAGAGATAGGGTCTCACTCTGTCTCCCAGGCTGGAGTGCAGTGGCATGATCACAGCTCACCGCAGCTTCGAACTCCTGGGTTCAAGTGATCCTCCTGCCTCAGCCTCCTGAGTAGCTGGGAATATAGGTGCACACAACCACACCTGGCTAATTTTTTGTTTGTTTGTTTGTTTGTTTGTTTTTGTAGAAACTGAGGTCTCCCTATTTTGCCCAGGCTGGTCTTGAACTCCTGGTTTCAAGCAATCCTCCTGCCTCAGCCTCCCTGAGTGCTAGGTTTATAAGCATGAACCACTGCACCCAGCCTTTGTTGTCATTTCTTGATTGGTCAATCTTAGTGATTATTTGACTCCCTACTGTAATAGATAGAGCTTCAGCTCACTTTACATCATCCACTTCTCCTCCACTCTCCTTCTGTTACAGTTATTACAGTATTGTTCTTCCTGTCTTGGTACCATTATAACTTTAAGCTGTACCCATCCACCTTTATTTCCTGTTTCACCCACAAAATGAGACTATGACACCCATATCTTTTTTCTTCTCCTGCTTCCTCCTCCAATTAATTTCATTTTCTAACATAGAAATTCTTAATTCATATCACTTAAAAATGCAATAACCTATATTTATGAATGTCCCTTGCGTCTAGACCAGCACTGTCCAATAGAACTGTCTAAAGTGATGGCAGTATTCTGTATCTGAGCTGTCCAAAATAGTCACTAGCCTTATGTAGCTCTCAAGTACTCTCAACTGCGACTAGTGCAACTAAAAAGTTGAATGTTACTTGTATTTTCTTTTAATTTATTTAAATTTAAAGAGCCACATGTGTAGGGTCAGACCAACCTTAATATACAAGTGCAATTCACTAAAACAACCTGACTTTCCAGCAGAAATGACAATGATTTCTGGCACATAGTTCTTACTATGCCCAGGGACTATGCCTTTTGAACTGATCATGCCTAGTGGTACTTTCTTAGTTGTCCTATAAGAGTGCTACAGCTCAAACACCTACTGTAAGAAAGTGCTAGAAACCTCTAACCTCTGCCCTGGGTACTGAGTAAAGAGTGCCATTCTCTAAAGTTCATTCATTCAATATATTTTTATTGAGCCACTACTATATACCAGGTAGTGTAGACACTAAGGAAAGAGAGCACCTACATTCTAGATATGAGGCTGGTGAGAGATGAAAAATCAAACCAACAGGAGACGAAATGATTTTAGGCATGGCACTGAGTAACATTTTTACATACTGAATTGCCTTGACACACAAAAAAATCTACATTTCTAAATTGCTTGGGTTAGGGAAGTGGAAAAGGGAGCAAAACAGCATCATTAACCTTGCAGCAGAAATTTCAAAGGCCAAACATTGAAGTAAATTTTGCTAGCCCTTTGACGTGGTGGTGTGGTCTGCAGTATCTAGGCAAAGGACAAAAAAAATTAACTCAGAGCTCTTGTGAAGTCAAACAGGCGGGGGTGGAGTCAGCTCATGGAGAGAATAAATCATTTCCTTGATTGTTTTTTTCCTTTTTTTTTGTGAGAGATCATGGGGCGCTCGGGCAGTCACTAATGCGGTGGTATCTGTTCAGACTTCTTTCTTCTTCCATCTTTGAGTCTTACCCACCAGACTTCTGTTTGCAAAAAGGGCCTAATCCACTTTTTTTTTTTGTCTGTGCATTGATTTAATAGTATCAAACCCTGAGGTCCTCGTGGTCTGCACCTGGGTTGCTTTTTCCCCTAATGAAGCAAAAGAAGTGGTTTAAGCCCCTGCCGCGCTCCCTATCAAAGCTGCACAATGATTAACTCAGGTCCCCTTTTTAGGGCCAGGCAGAAGAAAATCCCTTAGTCATCAGCATTGTGAAAACCCCAGAATGGTGAGTGCTCAATGAAAAGATTACCTTGGGCACCTGAAAAATAATGGAAGAGCTCAATAGAGAAACCATTAAGCCTGTCTACACTGGCTAAGTGAGGTGGAGGGTCGAGGTAATTAGCTGGGACATTCAAGCCAGAGAAACTATTTTGGACCTTCTGCACTGACTCAAATGTATTCAAGTCCCTCATACATTTTTTTTTTGAGAAGCCATTTAAGGTTACAAGAAAAAATTAAGACTTAAATATAGCTAATTAATAAAAGTGGTTTCATAGTTTTTTTAAAAAAAGAAACTAAATAATAGGATGATAGGCAGCTTAGGGAATGGGAGGTCCAAAGCTGTAACTTATTAGTCATGTGCCTTCAAGCCAAGTTGCTTATCTCTTTTAGCCTTGGTTTCTTCAACTGTAAAATGGGAATATTAATAGGATCCCCCTCAAAAGGTTGTTGAGGCAGAAATCATGGAGCAAGCACGTTCATCCTACAGCTCCTAATGTGGTACCTGTACATAGTAAATGTTCTTTGTTTCAGGCACAGGAAAACATGAACAATTGCTCACTGACAGCGGCTCTTCCCAATTTTATCCTTAGCCTCCGTCAGCCTCTCTGGATTTGTGTCTCTTTTTCTAAGCTTTTTCCAGAACTGGCTCTATCTGGAGAGTCGGGGACAAGAGGGTTCATGAATGCTGCTAGAGAAAAGATATGGGTTGTCCTACCAGAGGGGATGGTCAGAAAGCAGGGAGTCCCAGGAGATGAAGTTCTGCTGAAGTCACAGTTCTTGCCTCCCTTTGAGGGCAGTTGAGAACCTGCTCAGGAGGGATGCCAGACCAGGTATCTGGGGCAAGCCCTACCCCCTCCCCTTTGTCTCCTGTGCCCTAGGGTACATGGCTATGGCTTGGTCCTGGAGAGTAATAGATTGTGTTGTTGATTATAACCCAGGGCACTGGCCTGGGGAACTGCCCTCTCACTTATGCCCACACTCAGTCATACTTAGCAAAGAGAACAGGTCTTTGCTGTCAGCCTCAACATTTAGAGGGTGAGTTCTCAGTGCATAGGGTGTCACAGAATTGGCAGAAAGTATGCCAGACTGAGAATCAGCTCAGATACCTGTTGGTAACCTGGGGAGATTCCAGAATCTTTTTTATAGCAAGAAATTGCCCGTGGGCCAGAGGTGGGGAGTGAAACTGACTATCACCACCAGGCTGAGGAGCATGTGCTTTGTCTACACCGGTAAGCCAATATTACCAGTAATGATGATAAGCACAGCTACATTTAGTTGAACCCTTTGAGTAGCGTTATTACTGTCCCATTTACAAAGGAAGCTCAGAGAAGTTAAGTAATGGCTAGTCACCAAGCTAAAAAATGGCAAAGCCAGAGTTTTAACCTAGCTAATCCTGAACCCATTCTGTAAGCCACTTCTCTAGATTTAAAGTTAAAAAAGAAAAGAAAATTACACACACACACACACACACACACTCTTTTAACAACCATTGATGGAAAAAAATACACAAAGACAAAAAGCTACTATATTATATAGTGCTTTTAAAGAAATTTGCGTTTTGTTCATCAAAACAATATCTTATTATAATGTAAAATAGCCTTGTGTAGATGGTAAGGGCTGTTGGTTATTTGATCTAGATACAGTGCCTGGTGCATGCTTGGATTTTCTGGCAATAATTCCAAAACTCTAGTGGGTTGGGAGGATCTGATCATTCCCTTCTACCTAGAGTATAGCTGGCAAAAAGACATATTCCTATGGATATGGATATGGATAACTTAAGAAAAGGTGATCCTTAAAAAGGGAGCACTGCTGACATTGTACAGGAAAAGATTCTCATCCTGGTTCTGTCAATTTCTCCGCTCTGCTACATTTATCTACTGTAAAGAATGTAACTGGTGACAACTTCCTACCTCTAAGGGGACTTGAATCAGAGAATGAAAAGCAGCCCTAGAGATAAACTCTCATGTAGGTAAAGAAACAAATCCAAAGAAAAGAAAAGAAAAGAAAAACACGTCCAGAGCCTTCTACCTAGCCTCTGTTTGAGCTTCTCCAGTGAGGTGGAGGTCTCTATCACCAGAAATGGCCAGTTCCTGGCTGGAGTGTGATAGCTGTTTAGACCTTTTTCTAGGGCCCTGTAATTTTACACATTCATTCTGATTCTATACTCTGGAACCATTGTGAACAAATTCAAACCTGCACTGAAGCTCCTTAATTAACTACATGAATATTATGGTTTTCTTTGCAATTAGCCCATCTTTTTCTAGGCAAGATGCCTTTTCTTTCACTTTCCTTATAGAATATACTGCCAGAATCCCCCTTTTCCTCATCATCAATGTCCTTCTTAAAGTTCAATATCCAGCGGCCGGGCATGGTGGCTCACGCCTGTAATCCCAGCAGTTTGGGAGGCCGAGGCAGGCAGATCACCTGAGGTCACAAGTTTGAGACCAGCCTGGTCAACATGGTGAAACCCCATCTCTACTAAAAATACAAAAATTAGCTGGGTGTGGTGGTGGGTGCCTGTAATCCCAGCTACTCAGGAGGCTGAGGCAGTAGAATTGCTTCAACTCGGGAGGCAGAGGTTGCAGTGGGCCGAGATCGCGCCACTGCACTCCAGCCTGGGTGACACAGTGAGACTCCATACCACCCCCCCCCAAAAAAGTTCAATATCCCGAACCAAAAATGATACACACATGTCTCTAAATAATAATAGACCACAATTTACCCTGGGTTATTTTTTCCTGTTATTATGGGATGGGAGGAGGATCAATAAGACTAAGTGCAAGTCATCATTTATTAAATAAAAGAACAATCCTAACAAACCGAGGGCTGGTGCATGAGGGAGAGTGGATGATTTTCATTTGTGACAGAAACTTGCCTCATCTTCCCAAACTGCCTGTAAAGGAATAGAATTTGGTGTCATTCTCCGGATTGTAACTGCATGTTAGTAGTAAATGGTAAATGGTGTGTTTAAAGGTTGCTCATTTCAGCTGTAACAAAACCCCTACCAACTGCTAAGCATCAACATCACAGAGTACAGGAGGCAATTTCTAGCTGAGAAGAATTGTTCTGCTAGCACCTGCTCTGACCACCGATGCTTGAATTCCTCATACTTTTCTACCAATATTGAGGAGATCAAGAGTTCCAAGGGAGAAAGTTGGGCTCAGATGACCGCATAGGAGTCTTGGCTTCTCTGCCTCCTGTCTGTGATCATGAGCAAATAAATTCCTTAAATTCTATGGGTTTTACGTTCTCGATTGTAAACGGATCTGATTGAATCACCCCCTTTTTGCAGGGTGGCTTAAAGAAGAAACTGTTTGTGGAAGTGTTTTGCAAATGAAAAATATCACAGAAATGTTAGATAATAGTATACATGGGGGAGACATGAAAAAAAAAGGCAAGCCACCTTCTTTCCTGAACTAAGTTCTAGCATAGCAATGGCGAGGAAAGATTTGGGGTTTAGAATCTTTTAGTAGAAATGATAATTGTGCAAAATCTGGAGAGCCTGCCTCAAATCCCTTTAAGGACTAAGAGTATTCTCCTTTACCCACCAGCCTCTGCAGGCAGTCACCTTTCTATACAACTATGTTGGTTTTCAGACTGATCAGTGACGTGGCTCCTTGATGCAATCTTGCCTCTGCTTACTTCTCAATCATCCTGAGGCCAGAACTGGTCATTAGCTTTCTCTCATTGCTTCCCTCTATAAATTTTCCCTGAGTTTCCTTTCTAAGCTGGTACCAGGTGAATCAATGAGGAGACAGCCATGAGCAAGACCAAGATAGCCTTTGCTCTCATGACATTATATGGGAGGTAGACATTGCACAAAAAAAAATTTCGGCTGAATTGCAATCAATGCTGCAAGAACAAGTGTAAGGTTCTAAGAGAATCTGTAACAGGAGACTCCAGGAATCGTCTTGGGGGCTGGCAATGATTCAAGAAGATAGAATGCATTGCCCTCTCGATAATTACCTAATTGATGTGTGTTCCTTGCTTTAAAGTTTACAAAGCACTTTCTCATGCGTTTTCTCATTTCACCAAGCTTTCAGCCCTGCAAAGTACACAGTATTGTCACCTTGGTCTAGAAATCTGGAAACCAAGGCTAAGGAACTTGGCATGATTTCCCCAGGGTCAACGAGTTCTGGCACTGAAAGAACTTTTGACTCTATATTCTGGGCTCTTTCCACCCCACCCTATTGGTTCATTGGCTGTTTTCTCTTGAGAGCTGACATTTTGGAAACTAGCATTGAGAAAAGAGCAACAGAGGAAATCACTCCCCTGGGTACTTTTCTGGGAGACATTTGGGTGAAGCTTGATTCCTAATATTGATCTCAGCCAAATTGCAGGAGGAAGCCTGGCTGAGATGTGAAAAGACATCCTAACTGCTTTTTGTGCATTGCAGTCTTTGTAGTTCCCAGTAAAAACAGGAAACCCTCTCTGACCCCAAATGTAGCTCCTTAGTCTTAATTGTGCCTAGAGAAACATGTGTGACCTGAGTCAAAATGAAACACACAGAATATTAAACATACTCCCATAGGCTTTATTTCTCAAACCCAGCTGTTCATTGACTTTTCACAGTACTCAGAACTCACCCACATTTGCTTATGAATTCATCGTCTTAGCTGCCATTTGTTCTGTATTTACATCCTGGGGCTAAGTGTGAATTCACCCTTATCAACCTGCGGAAATAAGCACTATTACTAATAATAACTCCATTTTGCAGATGAGGTAACAGAGGCTCAGAGAGATGAAGCAACTTGCCCAAGGTCACACAGCTTGTAAGTGGTAGAGTTGGGATTCGAACTGAGATCTGACTCCAAACTTCATGCTCTCAAACATAACACTCTAGCACGCTACCATACTCCCTCCCCACAAAACTAAAAATTTTATAACCACTTCCTGCACTTCCCATCTGGAATTTTTAGCACGTAAAAGCAGGAGACATAACGGCAGCCTTTGGGCAGTTTTGAAAGGTTCTCATCCCCCTACCCGCAGACACCATCTCCCTCTGGGTTGAGGATGTCCATCTTCCTCTTAAAAACCTGAGTTAATGAAAGCTGAGAACTGAGGTTTTTAGTTATTTAGTTAGGACAACCTGCAGCCAAATTACACAAAGACCCAAGGTACCAGAAGTAACAGCAATCTTAGTTGCTTCTCTAGACTGGTAAGCCCCGGACTAATCCATGTGGGTTTAGCTAGTCACTTTACTTTTTTTCAGAGGGAGGGAGGAAAATGTAAAGCTCCCGCTCCAGCAACAGAATCTGAATCAGTAAATTTGCGTGTGCATTCTCTCTTTCTGCAAAGCAGTGGCTATGGCTTGAAAAAATAGCAAACAGATTTTATTTTCTAGTACCTTTCTGTTTTTCCTGGTCAGCTCCATGTGCCAGCATGTTGTTTTGATTCTGATGGGGATACAGCATTGAGCAGTGAACAATTAAACATAAACACCAGCCTCACTTCCATCCTCTTCTTTCCTCTTTAGGTGAAGGCAGCTTCCAAATATGTGGATGTACCTGTGAGTATTTGAAAATTGTTTCTCATGGGGTTTTTTTGTTTTTTTTTTTTTTCATTTTTACTTTTTGTTTTCATGAGAATTTTGATAGTGCTACTCATATTAATTGCTGCTAGCTAAACTGTGTGTTGCTGACTTGGATCATCAGAAAGAAGCCAAGAATATTTTGTAGTAGAATTTTTTTTTCAGATAAGAAGACGGTATGGTTTCTTTCATCAGGAAGAAAGGTCCTGTTTGAGGGTAAACCCACTTCACTTTCACTTTCATTTTCATTGGTTTCTCTGTTGTTTCATTCTGTTTTCATCATGTTCACCAACCCTCCTGTGTGCACACCTTCAGAGGAAAGCCATGAAGCTAGAAACTTGCACAAGGGTGATAGTATTTTTTGTTAGGTTGATGAAAAACTTAATTGTGGTTTTGCAATTAAAAATGTGGAAAACATAATTTCTTTGCACCAACCTAATAAAAAAAACAAATAAATTCTAAATTTGTTCATTTTGGGGTCAATTCTGCAATTGTTTTAAGGAAACCTCATAAAACTGCTTATAATTTAGTGCAGGCCTCATTAATGAAGAGAGCTCTCAAAGTTCACAGATAAAGCACTCGAAGTTTCCCAAAATTTACATTTAAATTGAGGTTAAGTACAACACATGAATGCTAAAGTGTGGGATTACCTGTGATAAATCAGGATACATTTATGGACAGACTTTGCCCTGCCTATTAGCAAAATAAAATTGGAGAGATTTTAATATATTCCAGTAAAGTGAAAAAGAAAATGATTTTGTTTCTCCATTTCTAACAAAAGAGGTGTGAGTCTATTATAAAATATTAAATTTAGAGAGCTTATCTCAACAGCCACCAAGGGTCTTGTACTAAGCATTTCTCATTCTGAACGTGGTTAAGTACCCCCCTTGTTCAAATACTTATTTGTTAAAATTTGTTTTTTTCTAAAAGGATTTGTATTAACATTTAAATTCATTTCCCCAGGAAGCTAAGTGTGTAATGGTTTACTGGCTTATTTCTCAAAGGAAGACAAAATAGAAAATTGGAGTGAATTTAGCATTAGCATATATTGTGTTTGTTTAATGAAAGAATGTACAATCAATAATTATGCTTTGAATTTATATGATACTTCCTATCCACAAACCTCAGATTCCTTCAGGTAGACAGTTCTTATAATGGAGAATAGAAAAAGCTCACATAACTGCAGCAGGGAGAGAACTTAAGTAATTTACTTTCTCAAGCCTCCAAAGTATAAACTTTCCCTTCGTGGGGAGCTAACTACTCAAATTTTCTGGCCCTGTTTCTCCATCTTTAAAATGGAGATGACGATAATACCTAAGTCATGGGTTTGCTGTGCAAATTAAATGACACAACATACATAGAACATCCAGCACCATACCTGGCACTTATTAGGAATTTCAGTCCAGGAGAAGGACACACGTGGTGGTGGTAGTGTGATGTCCACACTCTATTGCATATAGATGGATGGGGGATGAATTTGCAGACATCAGCGTTGGGCTCCACTGGTCTTCAACAGTGATAGAAATTGAAATTCTCGGCTTTCGACCCAAAGATTTGGTAGCTGTGGTCTATTCTCTGTAGGATCCAGAGCAGAGGGGGTATCTCAGCCAGGTTTGAACAGGTGGCCTGTAGACAAGGCCCAAACACCTAGAGAAACTTGATCCAGCCATTGGTACTAACATCAGGTTATGTTAGATTGAACCACATGAAATTGGCATATTGGTGAGGTCAAAGAAGTCAAATATCAGCCATTTCATATGATTCGATCTAATAATTCCTGCAAGCTAGGTTCAGATTTATTATAAAGATGGGAGGGCAGTAAGTGGACTCTATATCAAAATGCAGGGTGCCCTGATCTGTACTCATTAAGTGTTTATGGATTAATTATGCTAAATTAGAAGACTCGTTAGGTGCATTAGTCCATTTTCATGCTACTATGAAGACATACCAGAGACTGGATAATTTATAAAGGAAAGAGGTTTAATTCACTCACAGTTCGGCATGCCTGGGGAGGCCTCAGGAAACTTACAATCATGGCGGAAGGGGAAGCAAACACGTCCTTCTTCACAAGACAGCAGAGGTAAGAAGAATGAGTGAAAGGAAAAAAGCCCCCGTAAAACCATGACATCTCCTGAGAACTCACTCAGTATCACAAGAACAGCCTGGAGGTAACCACCCCCATGATTCAATTACCTCCTACTGGGTCCCTCCCATGATACTTGGGGATTGTGGGAGCTATAATTCAAGATGAGATTTGGGTGGGGACACAGCCAAACCATATGTCATTAGGCTATGAGGAAACAAATTGAATTAGTAGAGTTTTCACACTCTGGAGGGCAGAAGAAGTTGATGCAGCATGTTCCAAAATGTGGTACATTTACCACTGATTATACAAAATATAATAACTACTATTACTGCTACTACAACCAAGCGTTATAAAGTACTCACTAGAACAGTTTACATTTTATCTTCACAATAACCTCACTTTAAATATGAGGAAACTAAGGCACAGAGAAGTTAATTTGCTCAGGATCCCACATCGGGTTAGTAGAAGAGCTGAGATTTAAGCCAATGCCCTTACAAATTCTGCCATACTGCAAGATAATTCCAGTTAGTGCATAAACAAACACCTTGATTTGGATAGTGGTAATTATTTTAGTGCATATTAGAAAAAGTATTTTTTTACCAGCTATTAATGACTTAGGACAAAGCTAAATGTTAAGTTGATTAACATACGCTTTAATAGCTAATAATATTATAGTAAACCTTTTAGTAAATAAATAACAATTTTATAGAAAACAATAGTACATAATACACGTATATTCTATATGTACATTGTTTATATATGGTAGATAATAGTAATCATTTGCTTCTGAAATCAATCCTAGGAGGGGTTAATATTATCATTCTGTTTTATAGCTGAGGAAACTGAGGCACAAAGAGGTTAATTAGCATGCCCAAGGTCACCTGGTGAATAAGCAGAGTGTGACTATCAGGTGCTGTCAGTTGGACCATAAAGCCTGCACTTCCAGGGGTGTGGTAGAGTAGCTAGCACTGGTTCCCAAGGTCAATTATGTGCATCTCTCTCCAACTCCGCCTTCAATGAGAGCACATTGGTAGCTCAAAATTAGCCTTGATGGGAGTATTTACACCATGCAAATTGGTAAACACTACAAATCAGGGTGTTTTGTTTTGTTTTGTTGTTGGTTTTGAAGAGTCAGTTTATGCCGGGCGAAGCAGCTCACGCCTATAATACCAGCACTTTGGGAGGCCAAGGTGGGTGGATCACCTGAGTTCAGGAGTTCAAGACCAGCCTGGCCAACATAGTGAAACTCCGCCTCTACTAAAAATACAAAATATTAGCCGGGTGTGGTGGCGTGCACCTGTAATCCCAGCTACCTCCTCCAGAGAGGCTGAGGCAGGAGAATCACTTGAACCTGGGAGGCAGAGATTGCAGTGAGCCGAGATTGTGCCATTGTACTCCAGCCTGGGCAACAAGAGCGAAACTCCATCTCAAAAAAAAAAAAAGAGTCAGTTTACCAGCATACCACTAACTATTACCTATTAAGTCAGCAGTCCCCAAACTAGAATGTACAGCAGCAATACTTGGCAAAAAAAAAAAAAATTTCTGGTTTGTTTTTGTTTTTTATTAATTAATATATTCAGCTTTTATTATTATTTTTTAATGGGCACATAATTGTTTTTGTTTTGTTAATACAGAGTCCCAGGCCCTCACCTCCAGAGATTCTGATTCAGTCATTCTGGGGTGGAGCCTGGATATTGCTTTCCATTAAGTTCTTCACATAATTCTGATAAGTAGTACAAGTTGGGAAACCAATGGACTAAATCAGTGATTCTTGACCTTGGCTACATATTGGAAACTAGGGAGCTTTTGCAAGCATTAATGCCCAGGTCACTTGCCAGACAAAATTGAAACAGCATCTTTGGGGTTCAGGGCCCAGACATCAGTATTTTTAAAGCTCCCCAGGTCCTTCAGATTTGCAGCCAGGCTTAAGAACCATCAGATAAAATCATTTCTCAACTCATTTCTATCTCTGAAGCCTCTGAGATCACCTGTGTTTCCCTGTGAGGTTTTTGTTAGAACATTTAATGGTTTAGTTCCATGTGGGCACTAGCAGTTAGTCACCTTTGAGATTTGTCTCTTAACTATCCACACTACTGGAGGGAAGTTCTAGTACCAGTCACCTAAAACATTACATGATCCCCAAAGCATATGTCTTTGTTTTAGATGTAGTTTTTGACCCATTGGTATATGTAGGAGATTTGCATTCATAAGTAGGGCTGACTTAGGATGCTGGAAGTTTGAGCTCATTTTTCTCAAGCTCAGAAGTATTCCGGTAGGGGCAAGTTCAGATTAAAATGTTCTTCTTTTTCTGAGCCACAGGGTAGCTTATTCACAAATTATGTCTTCCACACATGGATGCAGTTAACTATACAGATATTTGTTTAAGTGTTTTCTAAAATCTGTGTCATATTCAATCAGTCTGTCCAAGCCACATTTAAAATACACAATGTCATTATGAGATATTAAAAAACATCTAAAAGTTTGTCCCAGTGTGTGCGGGTAGCACAATGATATAAAAGCATAATTTAATAGTATCAGCTGTCTGGTCAAGTATATTTTCCAGCTATAACTAAGGGTTAGCTTGTTTGTGAACAGTTTTTCTTTTAATTGTTTTGATTGGAAATCTACTTGAAATGCATTACACAACCTTCTTGCCTTTTTAAACAGGGTACTGACTATAATCTTTTCTCAATGACTCAGGATCACCATTGTGACCATGTCTTTCCCCAGTGGCTGCATAGTGACCCACTCCCCTCCAGGGCCTCCCAAGATATAGGGGAGGCTTGCCCCTGCCCTCGATAGTCCCAAACCCCAGCGGTTGGTGAGTCTGCATGTCTGGTGTTGCAGTTGGGCAGCCTCCTCCCTCACCGTCAGGCATAAGGAAAAATGATAGCTCTCTCTTATCTGCACAGTTTTTTCAAACAATCCCCCTCTTCCCTATTTCTGCTCCATCAAGGGATGGAAACCAAACTTGTTGGAATTGGTTGGGAGTGGGAGCTTGAGGACTCCATTATGAGAAAACTACACATGTTTTGTGCTGAGGCTTTATCATTTTTATTTTGACGTTGGCTCCTCTGAGGCCCCCTTTTCTTCTTGGTTCTAGAGTAGATTCTAAAGGTAGGTAAGGCTGTGGAATGGTATAATATTATGGGGGGGGGGGGGAATCATAGTAATTCATGTTTGTATTACAATATATGGCTTTCAAAACATTTTTACATACATTATTCTAGCTGATGACCATAACAGTCCGTGGAGGTAAGTAGGGGAGCTGTTAGTAATCCCATTTTATAGATAGCATAACTAAGGCCCAGAGAAGTTTTTTTTTAACTCTTCTTTTACAGAAAAGTTTAAGTGATATTCACAAATTCCAATTTGTGGGAGATCCAGTAAAAATCCATGCAGTGTGACTGAAGAGCTTGAAAAAGGAGGAGATGGAGAAAGGATTTGCTCATTCATTCTTGAATTTGTCCATTCAGCAAATATTTACTGGGCCCCTACTATATGCTAGGTACCATTTTGTATGCTGGGGATGCAATAGAAAACAGGCCAAACAAAGTTCCTGGGTTCATGGAGCTTATGTTCTAGTGGGATAAGAGAGAAAACAAATAGTGTATAATACAACATCAGCTATTGGTAAGTGCTATTGGAAAAAGAAGAGTCAAAAGGGAGCAAATCATGGAGTTTCTTAACTACATGGGTAAGATGAACCACACTGATTTTTTAAAATACCAGAGTTTTTAAAACTTGAATGAAGTGCCCCTTTGAAGACAGTGAAACTTCGTGAAAAGAGAAGGAGTGGTGCAAATACGCATCATTGTAGATTACTGTTTCTTCTAACATTTTGGGTTACTGATAGATCTGCCGCACTTGACTTTGTACCTTAGCTCTAAGATGGTTGCATGCGCCCAGGAAAAGGCCATATTGCCACAAGCATCACCAGGGGAGAAATAGAAACAATAATAAGTTTCTCAAGTCCCCCAGGTAGAGATCCCCATCCCTACTGAGAATGCCCTTTGATGCACAGTTGCCAAACGGAGAGAAGGAGAGAGGTGCCTGCTTAGAACTGATAGCTATCACTTACATCTCATTGGAGAACCTCTATTGTTTTGTATCATAAAACTGCAACAATTATAGGACCATCATGGAACCTGCTCAATCCATTCGCTGAAAATTGTTTGAAAGTGTAACACTTGACTACTGTGGCTTTGGGTTGTCCTCATTGTTTTTCAAATTAATACCTTGTCATTGTTTCAGCAGGTGTTAAGAAATGTTACTAGCATCCCAGGGGCCAAGCATTGGCCCTTTGCATGATAATTGTTTGCTTTGTATCAGGAAAAAAAAATACAGTCCTACTGTTTCTAAACCTTCCTCATTTTCACCCTGGAAATTACACAGAAGTGTTAACTAACTTCAATTTACAGTGCCTGACAGTCACGTCTAGTAGAGAAATGATACTTTGTGATCTAAGGTAAATCACAGTAATGAAAACTAATCTTTTTAGTTATTAGCAGACATATATATCTACTGTGGAAATTTGAGGGGTTTGTGGCCACTCTCCTAATGACCTATATTACAGTGTTTTAATAGGTTTCTTTGGAGATAACTTTGATTGTGACATCTCAAGCAGAGTGCTTTCTGAGTTTCTTTTTTTTTTTACTTCCCTACAATAAGTCATTTCCTAACTGCAGGATGAACCACCAGCTTACCTTTCCAGAAAATCTGATTTATTTAAAAATCAAATCCTCTCCTCCTTCCCCTGCCTTTTGTTTCTTCTCTTCTTCTTCTTCTTTTTAATCCTTGGACTTTAAGGCTGCACTGGAAGCAAAGACAAATGGTTTAGTGTCTCCTCTGAGTGAACTAATTAATTAGCAAATACTATATCCACTCAGGTTAAGCTATACACACACACACACACACACACACACACACACACACACACACAATGAGACTTGGGTAGGAAGAGGTATAGATTGAAACACAATTTTTTTTACTTAGTACTTTCTCAATATTTTAAAAGAGGAAAAAGGAATGGGAAGTTCCATCACCCGTCTGATAATATATTAAGGACAGTGGAAAACAGTATGTTTGGATATTCTTTAATGCAGGTTTCAATCCAAGGCAAAGTCAGAGAACATCTATGGGTTATGCAGTAAAGATTTATCCATTAGATAAATTTGCCAGGAAAAAATTTATCATAGAAAAACTATTTATAAAATCCTACAATCTCAATGCCCTTCTTAGCCAGGCTTGATTTCTGGAAAGAGGAAGCAGTTCTAATATCAATTCCTACCAGCCCAGGCTGTGGACAGCAATCCCATGCCTACAAAGCTGATCCAGCAGAAGCATCTCAGGGTGTGTGAGGGCAAGTAGAGGGTACAAGTGAATGGTAAACAAGGAAGAGTGGCTGTCTGAAAATTCGTTTTCATGTTTTCCTGTTTCTTTACAGAAACCCGGGATGGACGTGGCCGACGCCTACGTGACTTTCGTCCGCCATTCTCAGGATGTCCTGCGTGATAAGGTCAATGAGGAGATGTACATAGAAAGGTTATTTGATGTAAGTAAATGCCTTCTCCTCCTTGAAAACCAAGGAGGAGACCCTCCAAAATGTGACAAAATAAGAGACAGGAGGATAAGTCACATTTTGAGAAAATGGATTGGTTCTGATTCAGACTAAATCTTTTCCTCTCCCTCTGCCTTAGGCTCTTATCTGTCTTGTGTCTGTTCTGAACCCACTCTGGTGTGGCAGTGTCTCAGTCCCAATCTGTGTGATACGTAGGACGGCACACAGCCTCTCGGCAAGCAGGCTCATTCCTGCACGAAGCTTGCAAGGCAGCTCTCTCTAACTGGCAAAGACCTTTCTTGGTCATGGTTTTCCTCCTTGCAATCTGGCCTCACTTTAGGGAGATATTCTCATCAGGGAGGCTGAGACCAACTCCCTCTCCTGGGGGTGGCGCCTCCCTGACACCAGCTGTGGTGTGCAGATGTGCAGTAAATGTCGCATCGTTATCACTTCAAAGATAATTTCATTCCTGGAAGACTGGAAATCCTTACCCTGGGTTTTGGCAAACACTTACATTAGAGTTGCTCAGTCAGTTGCAGCTTTAAACCATGGCGCCCCCTGCCCACCCAGCCAGCTGATAATTTATGAGAAACAGGTGTACAAAGAATGAGTACATTGGGCTGCGGACCCAGATCAAACTTCAGAAAATGCAGATTACCAAGGGTTAATCATTTTTGAGCAATCTTATTTCCACTGAGACTGCATCTGCACAGCAAAGCAAGCCACTGAGGCAAAAAGAAAAAAAAAAAAAAAAAAAGGAACCTGCTTCAGTCTCAAATTGCCTATCTCTTTTAGGCCAAAGCAGATGAGGCTACCTAATTTAGCCAGATATTTCATCTCGGGTTTCCACCGAATTTGCCAGTGTAGACCCGGCCAGAGTGCATGGAAGCTGATGTTCTTGTCTCCCTGTGGCTCTGAGTGTGCAGCCTACTTCTGTCTTGTGAAACGTGAGCTCCTCCTGTCCAGGTTTCCATATTTTTAGTGCCAATGCGAACATTAATGTTTTGGTCTACTATGGAATCCATGTTTCTATTTTTTTTTTTCTGTGATTGTGTTCAGCAATTTACATTGAGTTTGTGTGTGTGTGTATGTGTGTGTGTTTTTGTTCCACAGCTAAGTGAGCTCATTGTTGGCACCGCTTTCTGATTCTGCGGCTTCTGACTTTTATATGCTTTGACTTCCAGCTCATTTGCTTTCCTCGTGTGTAGAAAGGCTCCTTTCTTTTTTTTTCTTTTCTTTTCCAATCGTCCCCTTTCTGTGCTTGATACCCCTCTTTCCCCTGCATCACCTTTCCTCGACAAAACCCTTCTTACTTTTTAATTCCCACCCATCCTCTCTCAGATAAAAATGGAACTTATCTCTCATGTCAAATGTTTTATCACATTATATCAAGTGGCATGAATTAGAATCAAATAATCTTCCTGTGTACATCTTCTAGCATGACCCACATCCACTGAGAATGCCTCATACATGCATAAAGCTCACCAGCGGGTCCTCCCCCTTCTCTGCATGCATGCCTTATATGAAAGTACTGAGCCTAGAATGTCCGGGGCACAATCACCATCCAATAGGCATTGAAAACAGAGACAGGCAGGACCCTCGGGTCTGCAGTTAGGAGTGTGGACACTCTGCCCATCTCCATTGAATTAAATTCCAAACCACAAATATTCAAGAAGCCTGTGGGTTGTCCTTTTCAATGCCTAGGTTGCCTTTCTTTTTCCTTTGATCAGTATCTTCCGATTCTCAGTTTTATGTGGCCCGTGTGTACGTGTGTGTGTGTTATTGTGTGAGTGTGTGTGAATAACCAATAACCTTGTGTTCTCTAAAACTTAAATCTAGTACTGAATTTGATGTTTAATCTGCAGTTTAGCTTGTTACTTAATTGACAAATAATCCACCCTTGCCTCTCTTTTTTTGAAATTAGAAGTACAAGCAAGGTAGCCTTGCTGAACGCAGCAAGGCACATTATCTCTTTTGTGGCTCTTCTTAAAGGAAAGTGCAACCAAATCTTCATTTAAAAAGGAAAAGTGCAGCCTTGGCTAGTACAGGTGGTAAAACTGGACTTGCCTGACTGTTGAAGACCACAGGCAAAATTCAAGCCCTCCAGCCTTTAATTAATTAATTAATTAATTAATAGTAAATTAATAGTAAAAAGAAATATTACTGAGAATATTTTTTTCCGAAAGCAAGTTATAGTTAGGGACATTCAAAAATTCACAAGTAACTCCAGTCCCTTGTTGAATTCCACTGACCAGCATAAAATAGCATCAGTAACATTGTGGAAACCCCCACAATTTAGTCTGATGTTGTCCCAATTTGGTTTTCCCAACGGAGTCTTAGTTATACCCTCCTGAGTATATCTGATGGTAAAGGCTTAACTATTACAATCACTCACTGCACATCACTCCCGGCCCCGTGGAAAAAAAAAAATTTTTCAGGAGCTTATTTAGAGATAACAAGTTTCTTTGCCATTTACTTTCTTACTTTCTAAATAACCTGATCTCCTACTTTACAGAATATTGGTGCTAGGCAACCTAACTGATGTAGTGCAAAAAAAGTTATTGAATCTGTCATGGATTTAAAACATTTGTCATTTTAAAAACCCAGAGCTTCTCGAAAAGCTTCATTACCATGCAGCCTTAGTAATTTAATTCAGTACTTACTGTTTTTCTATAATCTAGCAGCAAAACATCAGATTACCAACATGTTTGATTATTTTCGGCTTCTGTTTCCTCAAGCATGGTGTTTATTTCTTTGTGTACATGCTCTGCAAATCTCTTGTGTCCACCAAGCTAAACAAGGGAATAGGAATATCAAGGCAGAAGGGTCTGTGAAAGCTGCCACTCTAAATTTCTTGCTGCAAATGAACTTATTCTTTAAATCCCATTCCTTAATGATAGGGGTCCTGGGGCAAGTTTCTAAACAATTGGCAGAAACCTATTGAGAAAGACTTGTTGCTCTGTGAGATTTTTCTTCCAAATCGTTGCATTTTGATAAATGGCAAAAATGAATAATAGCAAATTAACATTTTGAATGAAGAAAAAAATATATATCTCCGAGATTGTTTGCTGTTTGGGGGTTGTTGATTCTGACTGTTGTGTCATTCTCTGGTTTTTAGTTCCTGCTGGCATCTGTCATTCAGAGGCATGTTCTAAGAGTTCCTGTTGTGTTTTTAACTGTGTTTCAAGTCTCAGTTTTATTTACCTGATAAGTCCTTTAAGTTGTTGCTGTTTGGTATTGTTCCTGTTTTTGCCCTTCTGAGTGTGCCCTTGTAGAAAAGGCTGGATGGTTTTAGTGTGTGTTTGTATTTGAGAATATTTGGATTAATAGCTGGTCATTTAACGGTGCATTTTCTGCTTTAACTAGGCCCCTACCCAGTGCTCTCTGAGCTAGTTTTCTCTCTGCCACGTCATTGTACTTTTGGCTGGAAGTGGGTGCTTGTGGGAGATTATCGGCATAGCATTTGGGACTCTATATTTGATGTTCTGCATTTTTATCTATTTTATTACGTAACTTAAGAACAGGCTTTCCAAATTCATCCTCACCGATTTTTTTTGTTTTAACCAAGCATTCTCTAGGTTTATTGGAGAAATACATTTGGACATAATGTTGCCTAACTGGGTTGCTTTTGCCATTAAGATTCCTTTGTTTATTAATATAATTGATTTACCTAGTCTTTCTATAAAATACTAATGACTTTTTTGATAACGCACCTAAGAAAAAAACTAACCAATCCAAGACAAAGTGCTGATCAGAAAAGAATCGGCAAACTGTTTCCCATAATATTTCAGATGTGCAGCTGGACATTTTTTATCTGCGTTTTTATATTTTTTCATAAAAAATGAAGTGTAATTG